>NC_000002.12:43826715-44129746 GCF_000001405.40 Homo sapiens
CTCTGGAGCACATGTGGGCTCAAATCCTCCAGGGCACAGGGAGTAAGGAGATCAGGCCTCTTACGGGCCATCTGGGCTCTGCTCAGGGCACCCTGTCAGGGAACAAGGGCTGGCAGGCTGGCATCAAGTTGTTTTAAAACAAGACTGAGAGAAGGCTGGTCAAAAAGACAACCCCATTTCATGTCTGTAACACTTTCCAACACCAGCAGGGTCTTTGCACAGAAAAGAAAAAAATCTGACGAATAAAACAAGGCCTGAAGTGTGGCAGGCATTTGGGTTCTTTAGAGGGTTTAAAGTAACTTATTTCTTCCTAAAAAGTGACAAGGGGGCCGGGCGCGGTGGCTCACGCCTGTAATGCCAACACTTTGGGAGGTCAAGGCAGGCAGATCACCTGAGGTCAGGAGTTCGAGACCACCCTGGCCAACATGGTGAAACCCTGTCTCTACTAAAAGAACAAAAATTAGCCGGGTGTGGTGGCAGGCGCCTGTAATCCCAGCTACTCAGGAGGCTGAGGCAGGAGAATCGCTTCAACCTGGGAGGTGGAGGTTGCAGTGAGCCAAGATCGCACCACTGCACTCCAGCCTGGGCAACAAGAGCGAAACTCTGTCTCAAAAAAAAAAAAAAAAAGTGACAAGAGCTGTTAAAAACATCTCTCTTATTTGCCTTCTAGTGACCAAGCACCATTTGAAGAACAGGCCGTCCTGGTCTACCACAGTGCAAAGAAAGGATCCAGATGCAGTTTGTCCTCTCCAGCTGCATGAGTGGCGAGGTTTCCCCAGGTGATGGGGAAAATGACCAAACCTGGCAGAGGACTGACTACTCTGTTTTGATACTCCCTTCCCCACAACATATACACTTTTGAGTTTATCATTCAAATTCCTATTTTAATTCCTGCCATTTCATGAACACCTGTGGTCATATCAAAACTCATTGGCTTTCCCCAGCCCACACAGTGGTATTGCCCTGGTGAGAAGAAATGATTGGCAGGGCAAGGCTCCATATTCAAGGAAAACCCCAATGGAACACTTCAACACCAATGCAACGCTTCCGGGTCCAGGAGCTGTTTTGTTTGGATGATGGAATCGCATCAGGAAATGAACTGTACAGCATTTCCAAAAAAACTGGGTCCTCAGTTTGAAAAACCTGTGATTTCAGTTGTACACAAACCCCTTTCCAAATGAGGACCGTGAAGAAAGGGCCCAAAGTATCTGCACACACACAGAAGATGCCCAGACAGCAGCTAGTAACAGTTCTGGGTGCCACTTACTAGGATCCTGGAGCAGCTGGGCTGCGATGGAGACCCGGCGCCGCTCACCCGTGGAAATGCCCCCCAAGCTGTAGTTGCCAATCAGTCGGTCTGCCACATGGCTCAGACTCAGCTCTGCCATGACGGCCTCCACCTGCAGGAGACACAAATTACAGGAAGGCTGGGAGTCTCTGTGGCTGCTATTTCAATTCATGGGCTGGGGAGGACATGAAAGAGGCAGCACACCGCCCAAGAATCCAAGGGCCACTTCCAGACTCACCACACCCTGGGGAAAGCATGTCTTTGATAATAATATGATCCAATTCGGCTTAAATCGTAATACATGTGTCAGATTTAAATAAATAATATGAATTTTTTAAAACGTCCCCAGAGGCTGGGTGCAGTGGCTCATGCCTGTAATCCCAATACTTTGGAAGGCTGAGGAGGGAGAATTGCTTGAGGCCAGGAGTTTGAGACCAGCTTGGGCAACAAAGAGAGACCCTGTCTCTACAAAAAAAAAAAAAAAAAAAAAGAAAGAAAAAAACAATAAATTAGCCGGGTATGCTGGCACGTGCCTGTAGTCCCAGCTACTCAGGATGCTTAGGCAGGAGGATCGCTTGATCCCAGGACGTTGAGACCACAGTTAGCCATGATGGCACCACTGCACTCCAGCCTAGGTGACAGAGCAAGACCCTGTCTCTAAAATAAAATAAAATAAAATGGGCCTGGCATGGCGGCTTATGCCTGTAATCCCAGCACTTTGGGAGGTCGAGGTGGGTGGATCACTTGAGGTCAGGAGTTCGAGACTAGCCTAGCCAACACGGTGAAACCCTGTCTGTTCTAAAAATACAGAAATGAGCTGGGAGTGGTGGCAGGCACTGGTAATCCCAGCTACTCGGAGGCTAAGGCAGGAGAATTGCTTGAACCCGGGAGGCCAAGGTTGCAGTGAGGCAAGATGGCACCACTGCACTCCAACCTGGGTGACAGAGCGAGACTCCGATTCAAAAAAAATAATAATAAATAAATAAACAAATAAAATAAAATAAGATTCCCTAGAACACAAACTGCTTACACTTGCTTCAGGAAAATTAACCAGGAAACAACAGATACTTCATTAAACTCCTATTTGCAGGAGCCATAGTCACTGCAGCCCATACAGAAAAATCCCCCAAATTCATGATTACAATATCGCTTACTTTCATAAGTGTTTGGGTTTTGAAATTTTATTATCATAAATGCTTTATGTGTTTACAAAAATCCAACCTGATTTGAACTAAACCTGTTTCCCACTGTATAACCCAAATAAGTGCTGGGGTCCCATGTGGTACAATCTCAGTGTGAGTCCACATCAAAGACATATAATCCAGCCTTCAGAAGTAATTAAAAATAATTCCAATCTTTACTTGAATTTCTTTAAGGACTTTAATGGGGACCCAATTTATAACCCCCAGCCACATTTAAAATTCCCTTTCTTCCAATTCTCTTCGCTGTACTTAAAGCCTGTAACTCCCTGAAACCGTTTTTCCTCCTCATTCTCAACTCTCCCAAAACAATAACGACTAAAAAAAATTCTTTACTGAATTTCTAATCAAGAAGCTTGGCTTTTTTCCTCCCTCACTGTCTTTCCTTCCTCAGCTTATCTCCTCTCCAGAGACCTGTTCACAAATCTGTTTCTGTCCCCCTGTACTGATTACCTCTAACTGCAGAAACCCCAGGGGGAAAGCAGAAAGAGACAGAAGATACTCATATGGTAATAAGTTTTGTTTCCAGACACCCCTAATAAGGCCGTGTTATGAAAATGGAAACAAAACCATTGCATTAAAAAACAATAAGCTAGATTGCAGAAGAAGAGGGAATGACTTGTGGACCAACATTCAAGAGGAGTCAGGGAGTGGGGTTGACGGCATAGATGTAGCTTTGACCCACCCAAAGAATGGACATATCTGAAATAGGTACAAAGGAATAATGAGAAGGTAAAAATGCATAAATAAACTAGATATAGATATATTCTGGAACAAAAGAAAGCTCTTCTCTTGCCATCAGGGTAGAAGGATCCTAGAATTAAGCTTTGCTTGACACAGTGAGATTTCTGTGCTGACCAGCCAGGGTAGATTCCCGAGCCTCCTTCTCATCTCTGTAACATCATAAGGAGTAAGCTTGCCCCTCCTGGCTTGGAAGAGATGGACAGAGAAGACATTTACTTAATTTGTCTCAGAGGTTTCACACCCCAGCAGGAATGCTCTCCCACATTTTGGAAACAAATTTTGGAAATGGAATTCAGAGTCCCTGGAAGGACTATTGGGATGAGCAAGTCCAACCCTCCATGCTCTGTGCTTTCACGTAATCTGATGTATTCTTCACATCAAACCCAGGAGAAATGCATTCTTATTGTATTTTTTATAGAGGAGAAAACAAAGTTCCATAACTTGCCCAAGATAATGCCATTAGCAAATGGCAGGGCCAGGATTGAGAGGACTCTCTGGGCTCTCTGAAGTGGTCCAGGAAGCCTGAGCCTTAGCCAACAGCCCCGCAGACATAGCCTGCTCACATTGGCCTTGCTTTATTTCCAGGTTCTTCCAAGGACAGAAGCAGATCTGCCATGCTATCTCCTTTATTATCATCAGCACTTCCTTCCCACTGAATTACTTATCAGGATTTTACACGCTGTGGGCTGGATTTGCTCAGAAATGACTCTCAATTGGAGAGAACTCTGCTATCGGGAGTTCTCCTGCTCCCAGGGAGCTGTGCCCCTTGAAGGAGGCATGTCCACCTGTCATTGGTTCCCTGGGTGCTTGTGGGCCTTCCCAGTCTAGAGAGAAATGAAGCAGTTTCCAGGTAAGGTCCCCGGTGGGTTTACCTGTGGCTACTTCCAAACTGGAGACAATTAAGAAAGAGATTGGAACCTAGAAGGAGTTGACAATTCAATCATTTCTTCCTTCATTAACTCAGTCCAGTTTGGATGAGGCACATTCAAGATGCCTCCAAGCAAGCTGAGAAAAATCAGTGGCAAAAATAACTATGTCTGTTCAAACAGGGAACTTGTAGAACAGCATGGTCCCAGAGAAGGGTAATGCAAGCCACAGACAGAAGTGAAATTTTAGTAGCCAAATTTTGAAAAGTAAAAAGAAACAGGTGAAATTAATTTTAATAACATATTATTTACAGCCAAAAATACCATTTCAACCTGTAATCAATACTTTTTGAAATTTATTTATTTATTTGGTTGGGAGAGACAGAGTCTCTTTTTGTCCTTCAGGCTGGAGTGCAATGGTGCAATCATGGCTCGCTGCAGCCTCGACCTCCTGGGTTCAAGAGATCCTCCTGCCTCAGCCTCCTTAGCAGCTGGGAGTGCAGGCGCACATCACCACGTCCAACTAATTTTTGTATTTTTTATAGAGACTGAGTCTCGCTATGTTGCCCAGGCTGGTCTCAAACTTCTAGACTCAAGCAATCCTCCCATCTTGGCCTTCCAAAGTGCTGGGATTACAGGTATGAGCCACCCTGCCCGACCTAAAAATTCTTAATGGGCTTTTTCACGTTCTGTTTTCCTCAGACTAAGAGTCTGAAATTTGATGTGTATTTTGCGCTCAGAGCACGTTTCAGTCTGGACTAGTGACATTTCAAGTCTCCAAAGGCACATGTGACTAGGGGCAGCACAGGGTGCACGGTGCAGGACGCAGGGCGCGCTCTAGAGTGAAGGAGTGACGAGCAAAGGGAAGGAATGGGCAAGCGTAGGCGAAGAGAGGAGGGCAGCGGGGGGTGCAAAGGTACTCAGTTTGCCCTCTGTGAGCGGGGGGCTGCACCCACCTTCTTCTGGAAGGAGCCGGGATTGCCGCGGCGGATGGCCAGCAGCGCGGTGTAGTGCAGCGTCTCGCGCACGGTGAGGCTGCTCAGCAGGGTGTCGCTCTGCAGGAGACTCGGGCGTCAGTGTAGCCTAAGCCCCCGGGGCGGGCGGGGGGGCCAGGGGTGTGGGGGACGCGCCCACCTGCAGGACGTAGGAGAAGCAGTCCTGGAACTGCTCCCGGCGCAGCGCCCGGCCGTTCACATACACCTCCCCCAGGAAGGTCCCCGCGCGCCCCAGCCTCCCGGACATGGCGTCCAGCAGCGTGGTTTTCCCGGAGCCTGCGGGGCGACAACAGAAGGCCCTAGAGGAACCACTCTGTGCCGGCCTTGGAGGAGCTTCCCGAGACCCTCTGTGCAGGCATGACCCCGCGGGCCATGAGTGCTACATGACGGACCCTGTTCTAGGTGTTAAGGACACAGCAGGATACAGGCCCTGCCCTATGGAACGCGCACTGTGCGTGCAGCAGTCTCACGCGCAAGTGAGTCTCTGGATTGTCCCCTGAGTGAGAGGGGACATGCCATTTCTCTCATCTGGGTCAAGACCGAACGTGCTTTCTCTGCTTGTTTATTTGTCTTTAAAACTGTTTTGGATTGAAAAACAAAATACTTATAGGTATCAGAATAAGAGGAAAGCCAAGACTCTTGGAAACGTTTGGATCCTAGGACGGATTTCTTTTTGTGCCCCCCTGGGGTGGTCTGGTTGTACCTGGATGTAGGTGACATTGTCTAGAGCCTTGCTCACAAAGCAAGCAGCATCAGCAACCCCTGAGAGCTTGCCAGAAATGCAGAGCCTCAAGCCGCACCCAAGACCTGCTGAGTCAGCTCTGCTTCAGTCGAGTTTGAGAAGCACTGGCTTGGTAAGTCCTTTGGTAAGACCAAGTTGGCCACAGCCTGCACTAGAGCCTGGGGCATAGCCTAGCTGGATGTCACTAGGAAGTTCCCACAGAGGGGTTGTGGTGAACTAACTGCCTGCTGGAGGTGACTGGGGGATGATGCTTCCCTTGGTTTGCTTTTTTCTTGAGTGAGACTGAGTGTCACTCTGTCACCCAGGCTGGAGTGCAGTGGCACAATCTCAGCACACTGCAACCTCCGCCTCTCAGGTTCAAGCCATTCTCCTGCCTCAGCCTCCTGAGTAGCTGGGATTACAGGCATGCACCACTACACCCGGCTAATTTTCGTATTTTTAGTAGAGATGAGGTTTCACCATGTTGGCCAGGCTGGTCTCGACCTCCTGACCTCAGGTGATCCTCCCGCCTCAGCCTCCCAAAGTGCTGGGATTACAGGCGTGAGCCACTGCTTTTTTCTAAGGTTAAAGGTTAGGTGATGCCTTTAGGACAAGAACCTGATGGCCCCTCAGTCATATTGGACACAAGTTTACCATAGGCCCAGAGTTCATGGAGACAGAATAGACCTCCCAGGCCTTTCCTATCCAAGGAGGCTGAGAAGTTGGGACTCATAACAGAGAAATAGGCAGGAAGTTCTGAACTATCTGGGAAGATAGCAAGAGAAATCTACTGATGAGATGGCTTGTGCAGAGCCAAAGAGATCTTTTGTTGAAATATTATTATTATTATTATTATTATTATTATTATTATTGAGACGAAGTATCGCTCTGTTGCCCAGGCTGGAGTGCAGTGGCGCAGTCTCGGCTCACTGCAACCTCCACCTCCCAGGTTCATGCCATTATCCTGCCTCAGCTTCCTGAGTAGCTGGGACTGCAGGCGCCGGCCACCATGCCCAACTAATTTTTTTTGTATTTTTAGTAGAGATGGGGTTTCACTGCATTAGCCAGGATGGTCACAATCTCCTGACCTCGTGATCTGCCCGCCTCAACCTCCCAAAGTGCTGGGATTACAGGCGTGAGCCACCGGGCCCAGCCCTTTATTTATTTATTTATTGAGATGGAGTCTCACTCTATTGCCCAGGCTGGAGTACAGTGGCAAGATCTCAGCTCACTGCAACCGCTGTCTCCCAGGTTCAAACAATTATCTTGCCTCAGTCTCCCGAATAGCTGGAATTACAGGCGTGTGCCACCACACCTGGCTAATTTTTGTATTTTTGTAGAGACGGGGTTTCACCACGTTGGCCAGGCTGGTCTTGAACTCCTGACCACAGGTGATCCGCCCGCCTCGGCCTCCCAAGGTGCTGGGATTACAGGTGTGAGCGACCGCACCTGGCCCTTGTTGAAATATTTTAAAGAAACTTGCTTGTTGCTGTGAGAGGTACAAAGATGAATCAACTCCCTTAGCAGTTGTCTTCTTTTCTAATGCATCATTGACAAAACTCAGAAATAGCCCCTGCGTGTTCAGGAGGTGGACAGAGTGGGGAAAGAGAGGAAAACCCATTATAAAGAAACAAAATGTGACTTCATTGGGATTGTCTTTCAAAATGTGCCCTGTAATTTCCCAGTCGTGTGGTTCTTCTAACCAGAGCCATCCTGGCTTTACATTTTTTGGATCCAATCTGAACTCTGGCAGAAGCTGCAAATATCCTGCAGCCTGGGTCCCAGCCCCACCACTTCATCAAAACTGGCCTCCCCAGGGATATTAAAGCCACTTTATTGTTGCCAAATCCAGTGTATACTTCTCTGGGAGGGATCCCAAGACAGGACTACCCAACCAAGTCACTTCCAGAGTTCTGATCCATAGACATTCTGAGAGATCATGAATGGTGTTGTTTTAAGCCACTAAATTTTGGGATACTTTTTTTTTTATAATAATGAATTTAGTTTTTTAAAAAAATGTGTCAAGTATTTGTTAACTCATTAATGAGGGAACCAGCAAGATGACAAAGCTCATTCAAAAGAGGATATGAGAGGCTGGGCGTGGTGGCTCATGCCTGTAATCCCAGCACTTTGGGAGGCCAAGGCGGATGGATCATAAGGTTAATGCCCTAAAGGGCGATAAAACTATGACATTTGCAACTAAATAATCTGCAAAGAAGCATCTAACCCAGAGTCTACGCCCTCCTCAACAGCAAATAACAATTCAAATAAGTTGGAGTTCCCCTGGAGTTGGATGGCTCTGTGCAGGCTTGCTTTAGACTATACTCTAGTGAGACTTTGAACGTATATGTCATCATCTTTTGCCTCGCTAATGAAGATTTGATAGATAATACTGCTTGAGATAAGACACCAATGAAATTGTCATTTTATGCAATACTATGGAGTAATTCATAAAATTATTTTACTCCTTTATTCAACAAATATTTATTAAGCACCCACTACGTGACCGACCCTGTTCTAGGTGATAAGGATACAGTAGAATACAGTCCCTGCCCTTGTAGAACTTGCAGCCCACTGTGGATTCATTTCAGTATAAAGTGTAGGCATTGTCCCAAAGCCGTAATTAGGCATCTCATCAGAAATCAGCCCACTCCCCCACCCCAATCAAGAGCCCCTCCTGCTGTCCTGCTGTATGTGCATGAAACACAACATTGGCCTTTGGGGTGCACTTCTGAGCATTGGCCTTTGGGGTGCACTTCTGAGATGGGGGGTTCCATTTCTTGTTGTTCTTAGAAGTGGGACACACTTCTGAGAAGGGTGCTAAATGCCACCTTGTTTACTTCTTTATAAGGACTGCAACAGGTGAAAATTTGTTAAAGGAGAAGAGGCAGTTTTTTTTCTTTTTAAAGAAGCACACTGTATTTATCAAAAGGAAGCTGAGAATGACCCTGGATGTTACGGTACATGTGTATAGCTAGATGTTGGTTAAAAATGGAAATAAGAACTGACAAAGTCTTTGAAAAGTGTAACAGCTTTAGTCAGTGCTATAGTCTCAATGTTTATGTCTCCCTAAAATTCATATGTTGAAATCTTCACACCCAAGATTATGATATTACGAGGTGGGGCATGCAAGGAGGTGATATTGGGAGATGATTAGGTTATGGAGAGCTCTTACAATTCAGATGAATGCCTCAGAGACCCCTCCCCACTTCTGCCATGCAAGGTTAGGGTGAGAAAATGGCTGTCTAGGAGGAAGTCTCCCTCACCAGACACTGAATCTGTTGACCCCCTTGATCTCGGACTTCCCAGCCCCTAGAACTGTGAGAAAAAAATTTCTGCTTTTTATAAGCCACCCAGTCTATGGTATTTTGTTGTAGCAGCCTGAGTGGACTGAGACAGTCTGGGAATTCCTCTTCTTTTTTTTTTTTAAGATGGAGTCTCACTGCTGCCCAGGCTAGAGTGCAGTGGCACAATCTTGGCTCACTACAACCTCCACCTCCCAGGTTCAAGGGATTCTCCTGCCTCAGCCTCCCGAGTAGCTGGGATTACAGGCACCTGCCACCAGGCCTGGCTAATTTTTTTTTTGCATTTTTAGTAGAGACGGGTTTTGCCATGTTAGCCAGGCTGGTCTCGAATTCCTGACCTCAAGTGATCCGCCCGCCTCTGCCTCCCAAAGTGCTGGGATTACAAGCATGAGCCACCGTGCCCGGCCTGGGAATTCCTCTTAACAACACTACTGTTGGCATCTGGTTGTGCACCTGCTGTAGCAGGTGAATAGCCATGGATTCAATTCCCTGAGTCTAAGGAGGCTGACCATGCCTACATTTGGTCATAGACTTCAATGGAGTCCCCATCTCCATTGAAGAGAATAACACAAGTAGAGAGTGGCAGTGAATGTCAACAATTTGCAAGCAATAGCTCAATCAAGAGGCTTCTGTGGAGCCAATTTGTCAGAAGCTTTTAACCTTAAAATGTAGATGGTAATCCAGTGTAGCAGACACTGTGGTGTGCCACACAGAACCCCTCTTCAGGGCCAATGCAGCCATCCCCCAGCTGCTGAGAACGTCAGCTGCAGAAGATTCACCACAGGGACCCTCCCAGGGAATTGCCCTCGGCCACAAGGAGCTGTCTCACCAAAGGCTAGACTCTCTGGGGCAATGACTGGCTGATGCAGGGGCACAAACACCGACTGTAGGCTCAAATGCAGCTACCCTGGGAAAGAGGAGGAGAAGGATGATGTGGAGAACGGGCAGTGGATGACCTCAGTGCAATTTGTAATGTTTAATTCCTTAAAAAAGAAAAAGAGTCTGGGAAACATAGCAAGAACGCTGTCTCTACAAAAAAAGATAAAAATAAAAATAAATTAGCCGGACATGGTGGTGTGCACCTGTAGTCCCAGCTGAGGTGGGAGGATCACTTGAGCTCAGGAGGTTAAGGATGCAGTGAGCCAAGATCGCACCACTGCACTCCAGCCTAAGTGACAGAGTGAGACTCTGTCTCAAAAAAGAAAAAAAAAGAAAAGAAAAACGACCAGATAAGATCTGATAAGGCCCGATGTTAATACATGAACTTTTAAATATTATTCTCCAGTCTTTTTTTTTTTTTTTTTGAGACAGGGTCTTGCTCTGTTGCCCAGGCTAGAGTGCAGTGGCACTATCTCAGCTCACTGAAGTCTTAATCTCCTGGGCTCAAGCAATCCTCCCACCTCAGCCTCCCAAGTAGCTGGGACCGCAGACATGCACCACCATGCCTGGCTAACTTTTGTATGTTTTTGTAGAGATGGGGTCCCACTATGTTGCTTAGGTTGCTCTCGAACTCCTGGGCTCAAGCAATCCTCTCACCTCAGCCTCTCAAGCTGCTGGGATTACAGTCATAAGCCACTGTGACCAGCCTATTCTCTATTCTTGATTGTATGTCCAAAATATACCATCATAAAAAAGCACCACTGGAATCAAAGATAGGGGCTTAATGGGCATTTTTGTGCTTATTTAATCCTTTTCCTGTCTCTAGGCAGTGTACAGATAGGGGAAATTGTGTTTCCTGAGTACTTTTATATGCCATGGAACTGTGGGGGCTTTTTATATTTTGAAATATGAATTCACGTACATGTTAGGCAGAATTTTATACTCTTTCAAGGATCTTTCTAAAGATTTCACATTGGTAGCAGTTCCATTCACAGTCAGATATCAATAGAATTCATTCTAATATCAAACCTGTGGCTTTCTTGTTACAACTTAATCTGTTTCTTCAATGTGGAGTTTAACTCAAGCCAAATCCTTTTTAGAATCCTCCTTCCCAAGCTTACCTGAGCTTCCTAGGATGCACATGATCTGCCCGCTCTCCACGTACAAGGAGACATCTTTGAGGATCTGCCTGGTCCACTGCTGCCGGCAAGATGTGATGTCCCACCAGGGCCTCACGCGGTGGCTTTAAAGGAAACCCCAGGAAGGCAAAGGCAGCTTGGGGCCCTGGAAGGGGCCACACCCAGGTCCCCAGCATTGATCCTACCTGTGCCCCACCCCAGTAGTCTCCGGACAGGCTCCTAACGTGTTTCAGTCTCTGCGCCCTCCTCTGTAGAACCTGGCAGATAGCGACTGAGGCTGTCTGCCACGTAGGGAGGGGGCCTGTGCTGGAGTTGCTCTGAATGTCCTGTCCGTTTGGCTGCGAGGTGGCTGTCCCTGCATTCTTTCACCAGGTTTCAAGACTCCTTGCATTCGCAGTACCCCCATTCCCATCCACAGAGGGCAGGCCGTAGACACTGGGTTGGCAGGGCACTGCTGCCACTTTGTTTATGCCCAGGCCCTTCCCTGGGCAGGGGGAGGGGCCATTCACTGTCGCTCCATGTTTCCCAGCACAGCCCTTCTCCCTCTCCTCTCTCCACCCGATCCACTAAAGAGGGAGCCCGAAGTGCCCAGACTGGCACTTAAAGAGTGAAGAAAGGCAGCAGAGGGGTGAGCGCCGGGCCCCGCACTCCTGGGGGAGCAGCAGCAGCAAGGGCTCTGCCTTACCTGACGCTGTAGGAGGCATGGAGGATGCCCAGGCTGTGAGGCTCCGGGGCGGTGGCAGGAGCCCCCTCCAGGGAGCTCTGGGAGCCTCTGTTTACTTGGAGACCCATGGACCCTCCGGGGGTCAAAGATGAGAGGTCACCCATGGCCAACAGGCAGCAAAGCTGGGCAAATTTTCTGGTGGCCGGACCCTCCCCAGAGTGGCTTCAGTTGGGGAGCCCGTGGCAGACTGCCCTGCCTGCTCCACCTGACCCCGGAGTCCCTTGGGACAGCAGGACTGGGACTTGGCCACGGAGACCATTATCTGATGTACCTTTAGCCAGCGCGTCCTTATCTTGACAGTGGGCAGAACACACACGTTTGTAGGTGGGCTTGCCAGCAAGGAATGCTGGGAGAGACGGGCCCAGGGCAGGAGGCCGAGGTGTCCCTGCTCCAGGAAACAGAGTGAAGACACTGGCCCTGGCAGGCAGCAGCTGGGTCTAAGAGAGCTGCAGCCCAGGGTCACAGACCTGTGGGCCCCATGGCCGGGAAGGCGGCAGAGGAGAGAGGGCTGCCGAAAGGGGCCACTCCCCAGGATACCTCGGTGAGTGAGCAATGGGAAGTCGGCCCAGGCCTGGTGGGCGGGTAGGAGAAATCAAACCTTTCTCTCTTCCCTCAGGAGCCTTCTGTCCTAGCACCACCCGGACATCAAGCAGTGTGAGGACATGGCCGCAGGACTGTTTCCTGCATGTCAAAGGGCGGAGGGGAACAGATTCAGGGTCCCAGAGGCCTCTGAGGTCACTTCCTGCCCTAAGAAATGCTCTTTTAGGGAAATGATGTTCTTTTGTGTGATGTGGGACAATTTCACTTTTTCTTTTTTCTTTTCTTCTCTTTTTTTTTTTTTTTTTTTTTTTTTTTTTTTTTTTTTTTTTGAGACGGAGTCTCGCTCTGTTGCCCAGGCTGGAGTGCAGTGGCGTGATCTCGGCTCACTGCAAGCTCTGCCTCCTAGGTTCAAGTGATTCTCCTGCCTCAGCCTCCCAAGTAGCTGAGATTACAGGCACCTGCCACCACACCTGGCAAATTTTGTATTTTTTAGTAGAGACAGTGTTTCACCATGTTGGTCAGGCTCAAACTCCTGACCTCAGGTTACCCACCCTCCTCGGCCTCCCAAAGTGCTGGGATTACAGGCATGAGCCACCGTGCCTGGCCAGTTTCGCTTTTTCCGAATGAGACTCCATCATAGAAATGTGCTCACACATGCCAGGGACTCCACTGGTGTCTCCTCCATCCATGTGGCTGTCAGGTTGGTCTCAGTAATGAAGTGATGGGTGAGACAGGGTGACAGACGGCTTTTGTGGGAACATCAGCATGTGTGGCTCTAACAGGCAATCGTAAGTTCTGCGAGAAAGCTGGAAGGAGTAGAAGCAGCCAGGTGGCAGGAGGTGGAGGTATGTTTCCTTCCTCATTTTACCTGAGAAGTGTTTACTCAAGAAATAGCCTTTGACTGAATTCGGGATGTGGCAGGATTTGAAGCAGGAGGCTAAACTGGAAGACAAGCGAGAAGCAGATCCCCACTCCCACCACCTCACCCCATCCTACCTTTCCATCTTTGCCTGTTGTGGGTAGGAGGGAGGAGAGAAAGACAAGCATGATCGAGGATTCCACACCCAATGGGGAAAACAACCTGGACTGGCCTTGAGTTTCCAGGACTTGACTCGGCCAGACCCAAGGAGCCCACCATTTCTAGTCAGTTCTGCAACCACCACATCTGACCAGCTCTGCTCTCTGAATACCCTGTGGGGCCCACCACTTCGGGAAATGTTTAAAGCCTGAATAGAATAGAAAGTCAGCGGGACTTTGGGAACACTTCCTGCCTGGGAGGGCTGACGATTCAGCCACCACAGCTTGAGAGGCAAAGAAATGCTAGGACCACACCAGAAATGCACGCAGGCCCTGCCATTTCTGCTTCCCTTCTGTCCGATCCTGTCACTCCAGGTGCTGAGTGACGGTCTGCCCGTAACACCTGTGGGTCTTGGAACAAGAGGATGAGGGTCACATTTCCTATGTCTAGATATATAAAAGTCATCAGTCAAGCTATAAGAACAGTTAAATAAAATAGTTTCTATCCTCTTATCTTGACATATCTTCCTCACAACCTGAAAGGCCATGTGTAAATTGAGAAATTCTAAGGCAACTTGGCTAGAATGCGCTGGTACGGGGGAGCCACTTCCAGCCCGAGCCACAACCTGTCCCCCTTTTCTGGCCCCCTCAGCTCCATCCCACTCCATGGGGCCCTCAACACCCTGGATGGTCACCCTCCTGCCTACCTGCATTGCAGCCCTGCCCTGCACAGACATATACTTCTCTGGCCTAAAAGTCCTCAGGAGGTTGGGCCTGGGAAGAGGTGTACAGACCCTGGGGATGGACTTGGGGCCATTTGCACAGAGAATATCTGGCATCTTGGGCACCTGGAGTGGCAAGTGCCCTTAACCCACAAACTCCTCATGCCATGGGCAGGAGCAGCAACAGAGAAGGACAAGAGAAACCCTGGCAGCAGGCAGAGCTGTGTGTGACCTAGGCTGAATGTTTCGATAAAATTTCTTCAGCCAGGAACAAGTCCTGCGTGTCCTCTTGCCAACCCTCCAGCCGTGAGTGTCAGCACATCACTCCCCCCGGGGCATAGGCTCCTCATCTCAGAACTAGAAACATGTGCTCTGTGAGTTTCCTTCTTGCCTAGGCATCTGACTCAGGAATTTGATCAGAAGTTAATACGAGGAGAAATTACAATGTAGCCCAGCATGAGCAGAGCTGGTTACCTACAAATAAACCTGCTTTTGCTTTTTTGGGTGTCACCTGTCAGAAATTCAAGTGATGTTCTGACAGTCGTACTGATTAAGATGTCAGCCGAATAGATACTTAAGTATTTGAAAAATACAGAGAGTTTGTCAAAACCTCAGGAAGAGTCTAACAAATCCTTCCTGGGAGCCAAGGAAAATATTTTAAAATGGAACAGAGGTCGTCCCCAACCCAGGCACGAATTTTCTTCCTCCGAAAGATGAGCTGCCTGTGCAACTCCTGGAAGGCACAATCCCTCAATGGTGGTTGGAGTCAGGGCTGGCCCACACCTGCCTTCCCAGGCCACAGTGAAGGGGCTTGGGGTGAGCCTTGGAACAAGCAACCAGGCACCTCTCCCCTTCCTCTTACCCAGTTTCTGCTCTGCCTCCTCTGTCTGCCAGCTCCCTCCCCTTCTCAAAGCACCACACAGTGGAACCCAGTTGGGCTGCAGGTTACCTCCACACATTGCTCCAGACTCCAAATGTCTGACCTTCCTTCCTCAGCGCCTCCTCCATGCCTAAATCCGACCTGGGGATGTTTTGGCCAGCAGAAGTAATTTCTCAGCTCATTTACATTGTCTAATATCCCTCCTGCAGATATTTGTTTTAAAAACAACAACAGCAAGATGCATGTTAGCCCACATGAGTCTCTTAGAAATGGATAAGATTTTTTTTTTTTTGACAGAGTCTCACGCTGTGGCCCAGGCTGGAGTGCAGAGGCACGATCTCGGCTCCCTGCACCTCCACCTGCCGGTTCAAGTGATTCTCCTGCCTCAACCTCTTGAGTAGGGTAGCTGGGACTATAGGGGTGTGCCACCATGCCCGGCAATTTTTTTTTGTATTTTTAGTAGAGACAGGGTTTCACTGTTTTGGCCAAGCTGGTCTTGAACTCCTGGCCTCAGGTGATCTGCCCTCCTCAGCTTCCCAAAGTGCTGGGATTACAGGCATGAGCCACTGCGCACAGCTGGCAATGGCTAAGATTTTTTGATGATTCAACAACAACAACAAAAATGGGACAATGAAGCAATGTGCACAGTGACAGCGGAGAGGGCGAGTGAGGGGCAAGGCCGAAGGGCTGATCTGCCAGGAGTCCAGCATCTGTCCGAGCTGCTTTCAATCTCCTCAGGAGCTTGGGGCACAGACCTTCTTACCTCCTCTCCCTCAACCTCCCTCCTGCTTGGGGGCTTTGGCAACTGGGGTTGAGGTGGGAATGGAACTCTGGAGTTCTACTCACTGGCTTGCTCTCTCAATTTGACAACATATTGTGAAATATCGTACACAAATCAGCTTAAAGAACTCTCATGTACACACCACCAATTACCAAAAGCTTTGAAGCTTGATCCCCGCACTCCTACTGTGTCCCCTTTCTCCTTTCATCTCTCCCCGCTCCCCAGAGATAACCCCTCTCCTGAATTAGGTGTTTATCTTTCCCATTTTTTTCTGTATAATTTTGGGTCTTTATGGTGATAATTCAAACATTAAGCAATGGAAGTCACTTTCGTCTGCTGTTTTTCATACTCTCCCAGAACTCTAAGGGTTCCCCACAGCACGCCTGCGGCATACTGTCACCGAATTTCTTTCCCTCCACCTCCACTGACCTGGAATGTTCTTTCCGAGAACTTCTGGCCCCCATCATTGCAGGGGTACTTTGACAAGAAGACTGCTGTATGTTATTTGTTATTTTCACGTAAGGCATAAGTCATGTTAGTTTCACCTACAGCATGTGCGTGCATTGTGTACATAGTGAAAATAAACCCTGGTCAGATGCTTGAGGTCAGCCTCCCTCTCTGCCTGGTCTGTCTCGCTCCATCGTAATCACCTGTCTCATCTGCCAAAATCTAAGCTTTTCAACGGCCTTTTCATTGTCACATCCCAAATTCCAAGCCTGAAGGGTGTTCTGGGCTCCCCATAAGTGTTTGTTGGGTGCATGGTTGATTGAAGGAATGTATAGTGTGAGAATGGTAGCTTGAGGAGGAAAGTCTATGGGAACTTGTTAATGAAAGTGTACTTGTTCCTGCCTGACAGAAATGTAAGAAAAATTGAATGCAGTAAAAAATGGAGGTCAGACGAGGTGGTTCACCCTTGTAATCACAGCACTTTGGGATGCTGAGGTGGGTGGATCACTTGAGCCCAGGAGTTTGAGACCAACATGGTGAAACCCTGTCTCTACAAAAAATACAAAAATTAGCTGGGTGTGGTGGGGAGGCTGAGGTGGGAGGATTGCTTGAGCCTGAGAGGTTGAGGATGCAGTGAGCTGTGATCATGTCACTGCACTCCATCCTGGGTGATAGAGCGAGACCCAATCCAAAGAAAAAGAAATGATGGGGGACTTCCTGTTGCTTCTTTGTTTGGGCCTCAATGGTTTAAATGATTGAATTGTCAAAATAGGAGGAATTGAGATCTGCAGATGGTTAATACCATTCAAAGGTATCAGCCGACACCATGAAACATTGATTTTTTAATGTACATTCAAATATACCACCACTTCGACAATAACAACAACATGATGATGATGATGAGAGGGACTTCCTCTCAAAGCTCCCAGCAGCATTTTCCATCACTTTGTTGCATGAACTCTTCATCAAAATCAGATATGAGGAGAAGTATGCCAGATGTTAGTGAGGACTAAGATGTTGGTTAGAATTTTTCTCAGGGTGGTATCTTCATGAATATTGGGCATTAACTCTCAACAGCTGCTTCCCTCTCACATGCTGCAAGTGTCATGTCTGTTTGGCCTCAGGAGATATTAAGCCAGCTGCAGGGAAGAGAAAGTTAAAGGCAAAGAGTTTGCCCACTCCAGTCAGGTCTTCTCAGAGCACAGAGGTTTTTTTATAGAACTCTCTCCGGTCCAGAGTCTGGGTCTCTTTACCAGAAGCTGCTTGGCTTCAGGCTCCACCAGCCTGAGGTTGAGGTTCTCTGGGAAGGTGCCCCGGGAGAAGCCCCAAACCTCTCTCTGAAGGGAAGAGGAGATGGGCCCTTGTCAGCACTCCTATTTTCCCAAAGCCCTGAGGTTCCACCTGTGCAATCCCATCTGTTGCCAATTTGAGATTTAACCACGTCGGCTCTAAGAAGTTGCTCTCACCTGTTGGTTTCCTTCTTGTCTTCTCCTATGTTCTCAGCAGCTTCTAAAGGAGCCCCTCATCTCTCCTGTCTCCCACAGGGCCTCCAGGATAGATTGTTCTCCTCTGAAAGTGACAACAGCCTGTACTTCACCTACAGTGGCCAGCCCAACACCCTGGAGGTCAGAGACCTCAACTACCAGGTAGAGGCACGCCTGGGTTCAAGGGGAGAGGAGCAGGCAGGGACAGCCAGGAAATTCCCCGGGTGGAAATAAAAGGGTGGGCCCAACTTGCAGGCCCTCTGCCCGCAAGGACAGAGTCCAGTCCACATTGATGCCTCACGTGTCAGGTGCAATAGGTGTCATCAATGGCATATATCAGAGCTGGAGGTTGAGAGGCTTGAAAAGAGAATAAAACTGTTGTATAAACATAAAACAAAATGCGTGAACCTATAGAAAAATGTCTCTGGGACTCTTTTTAAACTATATTTTGAAATAACTTTAGATTTTGGAAAAAATTGCAAAAATAACACAGTGTTTCCATATACCCATTGTCCAGCTTCCCCTAATGTTAACATCTTGCATACCCATAGTATAATTATGAACACTAAGAAATGAACAATGTACAATGCTATTAACTACAGACTTTATTCAGATTTCATTAGTTATATATATATGTGTGTGTGTGTGTGTGTATATATATATATATATATATAATTTTTTTTTTGTAAAATGTACTATCCCTGGAGCTTATAAAACATCCAGAGTGCAAAGACAATGACTGACCTTTCAGAGGCACCCAGGAACCCCCTGGTCAGATTCAAGGATCCATATTCCCACAGCTCCCCAGGGACCCAGATGGGACATGGTGGGGTCTGGGATGGTGAACTTCAGAGGCCTGAGTCTGGCTTCCTGTGGGTGTGAGTTGGGACAAGCCAATGAGCCTTTCTCTGCTCTGCCACTTACCAGCTGTGTGACCTTGAGCAAGTTGCTTAACTGCCCTGAGCCTCATCTGTAAAACAAGGATTCTGAGCATATCTATGTTATAGATTTGCAGTGAGGATTGAATAAGGTGATGGATGTTAAGTGATTAACACAATGTCTTGCACATAGTAAACATCTGATAAATTATTAGTAAATTACTAGTATCAAGTGAAGACATTTTGCTTCGTGTTTTATTTTTATTTCTGTACCACTATTGCACATGATTTTCTTTTTTCCTTACTTTTTTTTTTGAGATGGAGTCTCATTCTGTCACCCAGGCTGGGATGCAGTGGTGCAATCTTGGCTGACTGCAATCTCTGCCTCCCAAATTCAAGTGATTCTCCTGCCTCAGCCTCCCAAGTAGCTGGGATTACAGGCAACCACCACCATGCCTGGCTAATTTTTGTATTTTTAGTAGAGGCGGGGTTTTACCATGTTGGCCAGGCTGGTCTCAAACTCCTGACCTCAGGTGATCCACCTGCCTCAGCCTTCCAAAGTGCTGAGATTACAGGCATGAGCCACCATGCCTGGCCTGTACATGCTTTTCATTCTTCTTATCTTCAGACCTAGAAACAGCAGCTACAGGTTCTCAGCATGGGTCCTGCTTCCGTGTTTGGTAGAACCTGGGTTGGGGCCTATTGTGTGTAGGTGAGGACATATCCTCTGTGGAGAGGGGCCACCTGGGGAACGAAGATGCTGAACAGAAGTTGCTGAAGCCCTCTGAACCATTCAGCTCTCTAAGGAACCTTCTGATATCTCCCCACAGGTGGACCTGGCCTCTCAGGTCCCTTGGTTTGAGCAGCTGGCTCAGTTCAAGATGCCCTGGACATCTCCCAGCTGCCAGAATTCTTGTGAGCTGGGCATCCAGAACCTAAGCTTCAAAGTGAGAAGTGGGCAGATGCTGGCCATCATAGGGAGCTCAGGTACCGGAAAGGCAAATCGCTGGGCAATGGTTTCTCTCCTGGGATACAGAATGGTCCTTTGGACAAATGGATGCTTCTTATGGAGCTCTTTGCTGACTAGTAGAATAATACAGCAGAATGGCTGAGAACACAGGTTCTGGGTCAGACAGACCTGGGCTCAAATCCTGGCTCCTCCATTTGCTGGCTTGAGGGTAGGTGCTGTTGTTAAGAGTCATGAGTGCGCCTCTTGTCCACCCGAGGCTGTGGCCAGAGCATCTGACTTTGGCTAACACCTGGACGGAGAGATCAGCAAACAGCTCCAGCATGTAATGTTCTTTTCAGACTCCTCCAGCCATGAGGGGCATTGGTTCAGGTTGTTCCTCCACAATCACATTCTGATTATGGCCAGACAGCCCCTGCCACACTCTCACCTCTCAGACAGCCTCTCCAGTGTCTTACTTAGCACAACTTTCACTCATCTGCAAAGAGCCAGGTTCTTGGAGTGCCTCAAATTGTCATTTCCATGGCCAAATTTAAAATGAGAGAATGTCTGAGCTGAAAGGGGGCTTGGGGAACAGAGGTCATTCTCATCATGTTCCACCTTTCTTTCTCCCTACCAGTTTGGAAGCATTTTCAGAGGAAGGTGTTCAAACTCCCTACTCCTCAGTGTGTCTAGAGTATCCTCCTGCACGCGCGCGTGCACACACACACACACACACACACACACACACACACTCCCCTCCATTTGACAGATGAGGAGACTCAAATCCAAAGAAATTGAGGGATTCTCGTAAGGACACATATTTAATGCAGAGCTAGAACTAGAACTTTGGTTTCATCATTCTCGGATCAAGACATTTCTCCCTGGGACACCCTTACATAGTGCTGGAGAGAGCATTTTATATCTTTTAATTAATCATTTCCAGAGGTAGAGATTACTCAATTTTTTAAACATTCTGCTCCAAACTTTTACACCCGTCTGGTAGATAAGTTCTGTTTACCGTATAACCAAAGATCAAATGAAATCTTATGTATAAATGCACTTTGTAACTGAAACAGCATCACAGTCATGAAGTCCCTCTCACTCTGTCCCTGTCCCTGCAATCCTGACCTAAATAAGAAAAAAGTAGATCCCGGCCAGGCACAGTGGCTCATACCTGTAATCCTAGCACTTTGGGAGGCCGAGGCGGGCAGATCACGAGGTCAGGAGATCGAGACCGTCCTGGCTATCACGGTGAAACCCCGTCTCTACTAAAAATACAAAAAATTAGCTGGGTGTCGTGGTGGGTGCCTGTAGTCCCAGCTACTTGGGAGGTTGAGGCAGGAGAATGGCGTGAACCTGGGAGGTGGAGCTTGCAGTGAGTCGAGATCGCGCCACTGCACTCCAGCCTGGGCAACAGAGCACGATCCCGTCTCTTAGAAAGGAATGAATAAATTACACTGAATAGTCTCCTGTTTTGTTTTTTTTGTTGTTGTTGTTTTGTTTTTTTGAGGCAGTCTCTCTCTGTTGCCTAGGCTGGATTGCAGTGGTGTGATCTCGGCTCACTGCAACCCGCTCCTCCTGGGTTCAAGCGAGTCTCATGTCTCAGCCTCCCAAGTAGCTGGGATTACAGGTGGGTGCCACTATGCCTGGCTCATTTTTTTTTGTATTTTTTGTAGAGATATGGTTTTGCCATGGTGGCCAGGCTGATCTCCAACTCCTGGCCTCAGGTGATCTGCTTGCCTTGGCCTCTCAAAGTGCTGGGATTACAGGCATGAGTCACTGCACCGAGCATCTCCTGGTTGTTTATAGATTCAGTGTTGTTTGGCTTCAGGTTTACTTGCCTGTGTAAAAAAAACAAAAACAAAAAACAAAACAACAACAAACAACTTTAGACAAATAAATAGTAGAGTTGTCTGAGCAAATAGTGATTAATGAATCTGGCAGCACTCAAAAACAGGACCAGTTCAGAGGCTCCCCCAAGCAATTTGGTCAGGCAGTATTTATAGACAGAAAAAGGAAGTGCCCTACAGAAATAGCTGATTGGTTACAGTTGGGTGTTCACCTTATTTATTTGAGGGTGATGTGATCAGGTGTTGGGTATGGACAGGAGCTCATCAGTCGGTAGCCTGTGATTGGCTGATGCTTGGCTGCCATGATTGGCTGAGACTCAGCAACTTGTCTCAGCCAGTCTCTGTCTTAAGAGAATATACTGCTAAGATAAGTTGCAGTTTGTTTACATACTAAGTTTGCTTGCAGTTTGCTCTGTGGGAACTCAAAGTATGCAGGCAGCCTCAGGCCAAATTTAGTTTAACTGAGCAGCTGAAATTATTAAAATGATTTATTAGAAAGGTTCATCAACTACACTTCCTGTGACTTTTACTGCCATCCCCCTCTCCCCCTGCCCAACATACACACAAAAGAACGCTGGCCATAATTTTTAAAATACAAAGAAAACAGCCAGGCTGGGCACGGTGGCTCATGCCTGTAATCCCAGCACTTTGGGAGGCTGAGGCAAGTGGATCACCTGAGGTCAGGAGTTCGAGACCAGCCTGGCCAACATGGTGAAACCCTGTCTCTACTAAAAAAAAAATACAAAAAATTAGCTGGGCGTGGTGGCACGTGCCTGTAATCCCAGCTACTTGGGAGGCTGATGTGGGAGAATCGCTTGAACCCTGGAGGTGGAGGTTGCAGTGAGCTGAGATTGCACCATTGCACTCCAGCCTGGGCAGCAAGAGCAAAACACTGTCTAAAAAAAAAAAAAAAAAAAAAAAAAGGAAAAGAAAAGAAAGCAGCCCTAGGCATTTTAGTTTCTTTTATACTCTCAGCAATGCCAAAAGTGGTTTCCAATTGATGAGTTTATTGATTTGGAGATTCCAGCCATTGAATAAGGGTCTTGAATGCCAGTGGGTGTTTTGTCTTAGTTCATGGAAGGTGTATTAGTCCGTTTTCACACTGCTCTAAAGAACTACCTGAGACTGGGTAACTTATAAAGAAAAGAGGTTTAATTGACTCAGAGTTCCTCATGGCTGGGGAGGCCTCAGGAAACTTACAATCATGGTGGAAGGCAAAGGGGAAGCAAGGTACATCTTACATGGTGGCAGGAGAGAAGAATGAGGGGAGGAACTGCCAAAAACTTTTAAACCATAAGAGTGTAAACTTTTTAAACTCACTCACTATCATGAGAACAGCATAGAGGAAATCTACCTTTATGATCCAATCACCTCCCACCAGATCCCTCCCTCGACACGTGGGGATTACAATTTCGGATGAGATTCGGGTGGGGACACAGAGCCAAACCATATCAGAGAGTCTCCCCAGATGCCACAGGCATCCTCCATTGGAAGGCTCCCCACCGCTCTCACAAAGTTTTGCTCAGAAAACGTGGCCTTCCTGCTTTCTGAGTGGGAATCCGTGGTCCCTGTGAATGTTGGTGAAGTCCTCTGTGTCCCTGGAGCCTGGCTCTGAAGCTTCTCTCCCAGGTTTCTCTCCTGGCTATTTTGTTCCACTCATGTTCTCAGGGATCTTAAATGAGGTACACCCAGAGGTGGTGCACAGGCCCCTTCTACCCTGAGAGCCTCTGCACAGTAACCAGAAAGATCATGTGAAGAAGCTTCTTGGTTTTTGGAGATCAAAACTCCATCTGGGGCCGGGCACGGTGGCTCACGTCTGTCATCCCAGCACTTTGGGAGGCCGAGGCAGGCGGATCACCTGAGGTCAGGGGTTCGAGACCAGCCTGGCCAACATGGTGAAACCCCGTCGCTGCTAAAAATACAAAAATTAGCTGGGTGTGGTGGCGGGTGTGGTGGCAGGCATGGTGGCAGGTGCCTGTAATCCCAGCTACTCAGGAGGCTGAGGCAGGGGAATCTCTTGAACCTGGATGGTAGAGGCTGCAGTGCTCCAGCCTGGGCCACAGAGGGAGACCCCATCTCCAAAACAAACAAGCAAACAAGCAGAAAACACTCCATCTGCGGGAGTGGAAAGAGCTCATTCCTAGCTCCACGGTAGGAAGATGTTCTGAGCCTGAGCCCAATCCGCATTCATAGCTTGAACAGCTGTCACAGACAGAGGCTCACCGAAAGTTTTTGGAAACTGGATCCAATCTGATGCTTACTTTCTCAAATCAATAATAATTAGTACATCATTCAGAAGAGGGTGCTGTTAACTTGAGTGCAATGAATCTTTTTTTAACTTTTATTTTAGGTTTGGGGATGCACAAGTAGGTTTGTTATATAGGTAAACTAGTGTCACGGGGTTTTGTTGTACAGATTATTTAATCACCCAGGTAGTAAGCTTTGTACCCAAGTGTTTTTTCCTGCTCTCCCTCCTCCCATCCTCCACCCTCAGTTAGGTGAATCCTTTTTTAAAAAAGAGTATTAAAAATACCACTGATGCACTTTGGGAGGCCCAGGCGGGTAGATCACCTGAGGTCAGGAGTTCAAGACCAGCCTCGCCAACATGGCGAAACCCTGTCTCTACTAAAAATACAAAAATTAGCCGGGCATGGTAGCGCCTGTAATCCCAGCTACTCAGGAGGCTGAGGCAGGGAGAATTGCTTGAACTCGGGAGGCAGAGATTGCAGTGAGCTGAGATCACACCATTGCACTCCAGCCTGGGCAGCAGAGTGGGACTCTGTCTCAAAAAAAAAAAAAAAAAGAAAAAGTAAAAGTACCACTGATGAAAAGAAGAGAGATGGGTGTAGATACAGTCAGAACATATATGTACACTGTGCTGTAGTTTTAAATTGTTTCCACTTCTATTATTTCTCTATTTTTTTCTCCATTATTTCTCAAAATAGATTTGGTTTTGCATGTTTAAAAGACGCTCTATAAATGCTCCAAATTAGTCCTCACAAAGCCAGCTTCTGAGCCAACCGACATTGAATAATGAGACATTGCTGGCATGTTTGCCAGCCAAAAATAGTTATGTTAACACCAGCCTGCCTTGGGGAGAAAGGGCCTTGGTGGGTGGCAGGAGGGGACAAATGCTCCAGGCACCAGCTGGCCCTGTGGCATCTAGGACTCTAGCTTTCTCCTGTCAGGCCACCACTGGCTGGCCTGGCCTGAACCCCCAGCGCCATCATGCCTTGCAGCCCCACAGGGGTGCTCACGTTGGCTGCAGACAGAAGGCTTGGAGCTCCATGTCCTGGGCCCACCCCATCTAGGTCCAGGGACTATGCCACCTCTCTAGGGGCTGGTCACATCTGCACGGACAGAGTAGTCCGGGGTCCTGGAGAGTGTATGGGGAGCAGTGGCTGACAGCCTGGCCCCCACAGAAGCTCCGCTCTCAGGGATATCCCTGGTGGCTTTGCAGGTTGTGGGAGAGCCTCCTTGCTAGATGTGATCACTGGCCGAGGTCACGGCGGCAAGATCAAGTCAGGCCAGATCTGGATCAATGGGCAGCCCAGCTCGCCTCAGCTGGTGAGGAAGTGTGTGGCCCACGTGCGCCAGCACAACCAGCTGCTCCCCAACTTGACTGTGCGAGAGACCTTGGCCTTCATTGCCCAGATGCGGCTGCCCAGAACCTTCTCCCAGGCCCAGCGTGACAAAAGGGTAACTAACTGGCCCCAGTGGTGACCCCCAGGTCCAAGAAGCTACAGTGTCCATGCCCCGCTCCTCCCCTGCTGCCTTGCCTCAGGACCCAGCCGCAGGTCGAGTTTGAACAACTCAGCTTGCCTTCCGCCAGCCCTGGGCTGCAGCCCACCCTCCACCCTCCTTTCAAACCCCACAGCCCGCCAGAAGCTAGCTCAGCCCATTGGTTCCCTTCACTGCACTTGTCAAGATGTGGGATGAGTGTATTTGTTTGTGTGTTTTCTGGGCCTCCATGTGGGTAGAGAGCCATGGTCCCCAATACACTGCCACGTTCCTAACACAGGGCACCATGCCCAGCACGTCGAGGCCCCTCGGGACCTGTGGAAAGAATCAGGGGAACCAATGTTGCAGCTTGGAACTCAAGTGCTGGAGCTGTCTCCCTTCACTTTCAAACCCAGCCGGAGGAGCGGGCGCCTTTATCCTTGGGGTCACAATGTGTCCAGCCCTGAAGGAGGCCCCTGAGGTGGCCTCAAAGCTCCTTCTGGCCCACAGGTGGAGGACGTGATCGCGGAGCTGCGGCTTAGGCAGTGCGCTGACACCCGCGTGGGCAACATGTACGTGCGGGGGTTGTCGGGGGGTGAGCGCAGGAGAGTCAGCATTGGGGTGCAGCTCCTGTGGAACCCAGGTGAGGGCCTGGGGGGCAGATGGGGGCAGAGGGACCTGTGCGGTCCCCTCAGGCTTGGCTTGGTCTGGCCAGAGCCCCACCGACTCACCAGGCTCCTCTCTGTGTTGGAAAGGAATCCTTATTCTCGACGAACCCACCTCTGGGCTCGACAGCTTCACAGCCCACAACCTGGTGAAGACCTTGTCCAGGCTGGCCAAAGGCAACCGGCTGGTGCTCATCTCCCTCCACCAGCCTCGCTCTGACATCTTCAGGCTGTTTGATCTGGTCCTCCTGATGACGTCTGGCACCCCCATCTACTTAGGGGCGGCCCAGCACATGGTCCAGTATTTCACAGCCATCGGCTACCCCTGTCCTCGCTACAGCAATCCTGCTGACTTCTATGGTGAGTCCCCAAGGCCAGCAGCCAGGGCCCTGGCACACAGGGCCTCCCCGATGCTTAAACCCTGCCCAAGCTTGCTGGAAAGATTCAGGGGAGAAACTCCCAGAGGTTTCAGGAGAGGAGGAGCAATGATGGGGAAGAACATGGGGTGGTTTGCCAGGTATCAAATGCTAGAAATGAGGGCCTGGAAATAGAAGCTTCTGACAAAGAGCTACCCTTCTGTGCATGATAGATTAGAAACTTGCAAACTCCAAAGATGGGAGGGCATGGAATTCAAGAGGGTGGGGATCAATAAATATCAGAGTCTTTATTCAGACTCAGTAGGGAAACAACCTTTAAGGTCAAGAAGTCACCAGATCTTAAAACATGCCCTGGTGTTCCCACAGTGGCAGGGAGCCTGAAGGTGCAGGGTGGCAGAGGGGGGCCCAGGGTGGTGGCCTTGGCCAGGGAATCTCTAGATGTGAAAATTGCTCTGGCAGCCCCAGGCTTGCCCTTTGCTTGGGTCCTGAACACTCAGCATATTACACTCAGGGAGCATGAGCCGCTTCCTTCATTCTGCAGGGGACAGTTGCCTTCCCAGGTACCTGGCCTGAAATCCTGAGTGCTGAGGAAGGGCATGGCTGCTGGACAGGCGTCATGGTTGTACCAGGTCCCAGGGAGACAGCTGTCATGGCTTATGCTATAGGTCGCCTGAGCCCCCAGCTTCCACCCAGGATGGCAAACTGTAGCAAGGACCCCACCAGTAAACAGGACAACAGCGATCATCTCCTTGAAGGCAAACATGGGGCCCAAACATGCCAGGCTCAAAGGGTCTCCTGTTTGACTCTCAAGCCCCGGCCAGGCCAAGGCCATCTCCATCTTTACAGATGAGAAGCCTGGAGCTTGCAGAGCTAAACACCTGTTCCAGCACAGTTGTAAGGCACAGAACTGGGACTGGTGCCCAGCCCTGGCTGTGACTCCTCGTCCAGCAGCCCACACCCTCCTCCTAGTGTCCCAAGTTCTCCACCATCCTTCCCCCAGGAGGACAGGCCGCCCCTTGCCCTCTGTACTCACATTCTGCATGAACTCACAGAAAGGTCACCTCCCTCCCTGTGCTCAGGTGGCAGCCTGGCTTCCTGACGGTGTGTCATCCTCAGGCCAGCCATCCCCAGAATAGGGGCCAAAAGGCACCTGCCGACCTGGCCATCGGGGAATAATTTAAAGTAACCCCAGAGAGGGGTTACCAGAAGTCAAGTGTCCACAGCAAACCTGAAAACTCTTTTTTACATTTTATATTGTTACTGGAAGGGGCTCTGGCCTGCAAGCCCTGGGGCAGGAACCTCTCACCAACCTGGGATGCAAGAGCTACACGGGGCCTGGGTTACCCAAAAATCTGATGTTTTGAGCTACAGTGCTGCACACTAGGGGGCCACATCATGGTTTATAAGACCCCACCTAGACATTATCTTGTCTTGAGATGTGTTATGAAAATGGGAGGAAGGGCCGGGTGCAGTGGCTCATGCCTGTAATCCCAGCACTTTCAGAGGCTGAGGCAGGCAGATCACATGAGGTCAGGAGTTTGAGACCAGCCTGGCCAACATGGTGAAACTCTGTCTCTAATAAAAATATATGAATTAGCTGGGTGCGTGACGCTTGCCTATAGTACCAGCTACTTGGGAGGCTGAGGCACGAGAATTGCTTGAACCTGAGAGGCGGAGGTTGCAGTGAGCTGAGATTGTGCCACTGCACCCCAGTCTGGGCGATAGAGTGAGACTCCATCTCAAAAAAAAAAAAAAAAAAAGGATATGGGAGGAGGGAAGGGGAAGAGAGAGGAGTGGGGAACCTCTAGCCAAGCCAAGGTTCTGGGGAAGGAATGAAGGGAGGGTGGGCAGGCATGCATGGTCCTAGACTGAGCTGGGTATAGGGAGATCCTGGCTGTGGCTGGGCTCAGTTTGCCTTTTCTGGCATTGCCAGGGCCTTGGAGGTAGAAGGCAGAGGCACTGCAAGAGGACAGCTGTGGTGTGGGGTTGCCTGGTGCTCCCTACAGGTTAGCATCCCTGGGATTTAGGAGGCAGGGGCTGATCAGATTGGGTCTACAGCCAAGTGTGCTGTCTCCCTCCTGGGGCAGAGCAGCCGACCAAGGGGTCAGTGAGAAATCTACCTGAAGTTGGCCGGTCCCTAGAACCCTCCAGCCAGACATTCTCCTGCTTTCGGCAGGGTGCCTGGGAGGCCAAGTTATTAATTTTCAGTGAGAATTCTCACCATCTGGATAGAACTCTCACAATCTGGATAGAATTCTCATTCTCTGGATAGAACTCTCAATATCTATCTGGATATAATTGTCGCCCTCTGAATAGAACTCTCACTATCTCAATACAATTCTCACCATCTAGATAGAACTCTCACTATCTGCATAGAATTCTCACTCTCTGTATATAACTCTCACTATCTATCGAGATAGAATACTCACTCTCTGGATAGAACTCTCACTATCTGGATAGAATTCTCACTCTCTGGATAGATCTCTTACTGTCTATCTGGATAGAATTCTCACTCTGGGGACAGAACTCTCACTATCTATCTGGATGGAATTCTCTCCCTCTGCATAGGACTGTCACTCTCTGGATAGAATTCTCACCATCTGGATAGAACTCCCACTATCTGGAAAGAATTCTCAGTCTTTAGTTAGAACTCTCGCTATCTTTGTGGATACAGTTCTCACCCTCCAGAGAGAACTCTCACTATCTATCTAGATAGAATTATCACTCTCTGGATAGAAATCTCACTATCTGTCTGGATAGAATTCTCACCATCAGGATAGAACTCTCACTGTCTGGATAAAATTCTCACCATCGGGATAGAACTCTCACTATCTAGATAGAATTCTCACTCTCTGGATAGAACTCTCACCATCTAAATATAATTCTCACTCTCAGGATAGAACTCTCACTATCTATCTGGATGGGATTCTCCCTCTATGGATAGAACTCTCAGTGTATATCTGGATAGAATTCTCACTCACTGTATAGAACTCTCACTATCTGTCTGGATAGAATTCTCACCATGTGTATTGATCTCTCACTCTCGGGATAGAATTATAACTCTCTGGATAGAACTCTCACTATCTATCTGGATAGAATTCTTACCATCTGGATAGAACTCTCACTATCTGAATAGAATTCTCACTCTCTGGATAGAACTCTCACTTTCTAGCTTGCTAGAATTCTCACCCTCTGGATACAGTTCTAACTATCTGTATAGAATTCTCACACTCTGGGTAGAACTCCCACTATGTATCTGGATAGAGTTCTCACTTTCTGGATAGAACTCTCACTATCTATCTGAATAGAATTCTCACCCTATGGGTAGAACTCTGACTATCTGTCTGGATAGAATTCTCTCCATCCTGACAGAACTCTCAATATCTGGATGGAATTCTCACTCTCTGGATAGAACTCTCACTCTCTTTGTGGATAGAACTCTCACTCCCTGTCTGGATAGAACTCTCACACCCTGTCTGGATAGAACTCTCACTCCCTGTCTGGATAGAACTCTCACTCTCTAGATAGAACTGTTAATAACTGGATAGAATTTTCACCATCTGGATAGAACTCTCACTATCTGGATAGAACTCTCACCATGTGTATAAAACTCTCACTGTGTGGGAAGAGAACTCTCACTTTCTGGATAGAAATCTCACTTTCTATCTGGATAGAACTCTCCCCATGTAGATAGAACTCTCCCTATCTGGATACAATTTTCCCATCTGAATAGAACTCTCTATCCGGATAGAATTCTCACTCTCTGGGTAGAACTCTCTATCTATCTGGATATAATTCTCACTTTCTGGATAGAACTCTCACTATCTATCTGGATGGAATTCTCACCATCTGGAAGAAGTTTCACTATCTGGATAGAATTCTCACTCTAGATAAAACTCTCACTATCTATCTGGATAGAATTCTCACCCTCTGGATAGAACGCTCACTATCTATCTGGATAGAATTCTCACTCTCTGGATAAAACTCTCACTATCTGTCTGGTAGAATTCTCACCATCTGGATAGAATTCTCACTATCTGGATAGAATTCTTACTTTCTGGATAGAACTCTCAGTGTCTTTCTGGATAGAATTCTCACCCTCTGGATAGAACTCGCACTATCTACCTGGATAGAAGTCTCACTCTCTGGATATAACTCTCACTAACTGTCTGGATAGAATTCTCACTATCTGCATAGAATTCTATCTGTCTGGTTAGAATTTTCACTCTCTAGATAGAACTCTCACTATCTATCTGGATAGAATTCTCACTCTCTGGATAGAACTCTCACTATCTATCTGGACAGAATTCTCACTCTCTGGATAAAACTCTTAACTATCTGTCTGGATAGAATTCTCACCATCTGGACAGAACTCTCACTATCGGTCTGGATAAAATTCTCACCATCTGTGTAGAATTCTCACTATCTGCATAGAATTCTTACTCTCTGGATAGAACTCTCTCGTATTCCTCGATAGAACTCTGACCATCTGGATAGAACTCTCACTATCTATCTGGATAGAATTCTCATTCTCTGGATAGAACTCTCACTATCTGGATAGAATCCTCACTCTATATAGAACTCTCACTATCTCTCTGGATAGAATTCTCACTCTGGAAAGAACCCTCACTATCTATATGGAAAGAATTCTCAACATCTGGATAGAATCCTCACTATCTGGATAGAATTCTCACTCTCTCGATAGAACTCTTGCTATCTGTCTGGATAGAATTCTCACCACCTAGATAGAACTCTCAATAAATGGTAGAATTCTTACTCTCTGGACAAAACTCTCACTATCTTTCAGGATAGAACTCTTACTACCTGGAGAGAACTCTCACTATCTGGATAGAATTCTCAACATCTGAGGATAGATTTCCAACTATCTATCTGGATATAATTCCCACTCTGTCGTTAGAACTCTCACTACCTGTCTAGATACAATTTTCACCATCCATGAACAACTCTCACAATCTGTATGGAATTCGCTATCTCTGGATAGAAGTCTTACTATCAATCTGGATATAATTCTCACTCTCTGGATAGAACTCTCACTATCTGGGTAGATTGCTCACCATCTGGATAGAATTCTCACTATCTATCTATAGAATTCTCACTCTCTAGATAGAACTCTCAATATATATCTGGATAGAATTCTTACCATCTGGATAGAACTCTCACTATCTGGAGAGAATTCTCACTCTCTGTGTGGAACTCTCACTATTTATCTGGATAGAATTCTCAACATCTAGATAGAACTCTCACTATTTGTCTGGATAGAGTTCTCACCATATGGACAGAACTCTCACTATCTGGTTAGAATTCTCACTCTCTGGATAGAACTCTCACTATCTGTCTGGATAGAAATCTCACCATCTGAATTGAACTCTCACTAACTGGATAGAATTCTTATTCTCTGGATAAAACTCTCACTATCTTTCTTGATAGAACTCTTACTAACTGGGAGGAACTCTCACTATCTGGATAGAATTCTCAACATCTGGATAGAATTCTCACTATCTATCTGGATAGAATTCTCTGTCTCTGGATAGAACTCTCACTATATATCTGGACAGAACTCTCACAATCTGGATAGAATTGTCATTCTCTGAATAGTACTCTCACTATCTATCTCGATAGAATTCTCACCATCTGGATAGAACTCTATCTGTCTGGATAGACTACTCACCATTTGGATAGAACTCTATTTTTCTGTATAGAACTCTCACTATCTATCTGGATGGAATTCCCACTCTCTGGATAGAACTTTCACTACCTGTCTGGATAGATTTCTCACACTCTGGTTAGAACTCTCACTATCTGGATAGAATTCTCACCGTCTGGGTAGAACTCTCACTATCTGGATAGAATTCTCACTCTGGATAGAACTCTGACTATCTATTTCAATAGAATTCTCACCCTCTGGATAGAACTCTCACTATCTATCTGGATAGAATTCTCACACTCCGGATAGAACTCTCAATATCTATCTAGATAGAACTCTCACTATCTGGATAGAATTCTCACCCTCTGGATACAACTCTCACTGTCTATCTGGATAGAATTCTTAGTCTCTGGATAGAAGTCTCACTCTCTGTCTGGCTATAATTCTCAAAATCTGGGTGGAACTCTCACTATCTATCTGGATAGAATTCTCACCATCTGGATAGAACTCTCACTATCTGTCTGGATAGAACTGTCACTCTCAGAACTTTCTGGATAGAATTCTCACTGTCTGGATAGAATTCTCACCAAATGTCTGGATAGAATTCTCACTCTGTGGATAGAACTCTGACTGTCTATCTGGATAGAATTCTCTCCCTCTGGATACAACTCTCACTATCTGGATAGAATTCTCACACTCTGGATACAACTCTCACTCTCTGTCTGGATATAATTCTCACCCTCTGGATAGAATTCTCACTATCTGGATAGAATTCTCGCCATCTGCATGCACGGGATTCTAACTATCTGTCTAGATAGAATTTTCACCATCTGGATAGCGCTCTTACTATCTGGATAGAATTCTCACTCTGCATAGAACTCTCACTATCTATCTGGATAGAGCTCTTACTATCTGGATAGAATTCTCACTCTGCATAGAACTCTCACTATCTATCTGGATAGAATTCTCACTCTCTGGATAGATCTCTCACTATTTGTCTGGAAAGAATTCTCACTCTGTGGATAGAACTGTCGCTATCAATCTGGATAGAATTCTCACCCTCTGGATAGAACTCTCACTATCTAGAAGGATTTCTCACCATCCAGATAGAACTCTCACTATCTGGATAGAATTCTCACTATCTGGATAGAACTCTCACTATCTATCTTGATAGAATTCTCACCCTCTGGATAGCACTCTCACTATATATCTGGATAGAATTCTCGCTTGCTGGATAAAACTCTCACTATCCGTCTGGATAGAATTCTCACCATCTAGTTAGAACTTTCACTATCTGGATAGAATTCTCACTCTCTGGATAGAACTCTCACTATCTATCTGGATAGAATTCTCATTCTCTGGATAGATCTCTCATTATCTGTCTGGAGAGAATACTCATTCTCTGGATAGAACTCTCACTATCAATGTGGATAGAATTCTCACCCTCTGGACAGAACTCTGAGTATCTGGATAGAATTATCATCCTCTGGATAGAACTCTCACTATCTATCTGGATAGAATTCTCACCCTCTGGACAGAACTCTGAGTATCTGGATAGAATTATCATCCTCTGGATAGAACTCTCACTATCTGTCTGGATAAAATTCTCACTCTCTGGATAGAACTCTCACTATCTGTCTGGATAGAATTCTCACCATCTGGATAAAACTCTCACTCTCTGGTAGAATTCTCATGATCTGGATAGAACTCTCACTATCTGGATAGAATTCTTACACTCTGGATAGAACTCTCACTATCTTCCTGGACGGAACTCTCACCCTCTGGATAGAACTCTCACTATTTGGATAGAATTCTCACTATCTGGATAAAAGTCTCACTCTCTGTTTGGTACAGTTCTCACGATCTGGATAGAACTCTCACTATCTGGATAGAATTCTTACACTCTGGATAGAACTCTCACTATCTTTCTGGATGGAACTCTCACCCTCTAGATAGAACTCTCACTATCTATCTGGTTAGAATTCTCACTCTCTCGATTGAAGTCTCACTATCTGGATAGAATTCTCACCATCTGCAGAGAACTCTCACTGTCTATCTCGATAAAACTCTCACTACCTATCTGGATAGAACTCTCGCTATCTGGATAGAATTGTCACCATCTGGGTAGAACTCTGACAATCTCTCTGGATAGAATTCTCACCCTCTGGATGGAACTCTCACTATCTGGATAGAATTCTTACTCTCTGGATAGAACTCTCACTATCTGCTGTATAGAATTCTCACCCTCTGGATAGAACTGTCACTATCTGTCTGTATAGAATTCTCACCCTCTGGATAGAACTCTAACAATCTGGATAGAATTCTCACTCTCTGCATAGAACTCTCACTGTCTATCTGGATAGAATTCTCACTCTCTGGATAGAACTCTCACTATATATCTGGATATAATTCTCACTCTCTGGATAGAACTCTCACTATCCGGATAGAATTCTCACCATCTGGTTAGAATTATCACTATCTATCGGGATAGAATTCTCACTCTCTGGATAGAACCCTCACTATCTATATGGAAATAACTCTCACCATCTGGGTAGAATTCTCCCTATCTAGATAGAATTCTCACTGTCTACATAGAGCTCTCGCTATCTGTCTGGATAGAATTCTCACCATCTAGATAGAACTCTCACTGACTGGATAGAATTCTTACTCTCTGGATAAACATCTCACTATCTTTCTTGATAGAACTCTTACTACTTGGAAAGAATGCTCACTATCTGTATAGAATTCTAACCATCTGGGTAGAATTCTCACTATCTATCTGGATAGAAGTCTCACTATCTATTTGGATAGAATTCTCATTCTCTGGATAGATCTCTCACTATCTGTCTGGATCGTATTCCCATTCTGTGGATAGAACTCTCACTATCAATGCGGATAGAATTCTCACCATCTGGATAGAACTCTCACTATCTATCTGGATAGAATTCTCACTCTCTGGATAAAACTCTATCTGTCTGGATAGAATTCTCAGCATCTGGATAAAACTCTCCCTGTCTGTCTGGTAGAATTCTCACCATCTGGATAGAACTCTCATTATCTGGATAGAATTCTTACTCTCTGGATAGAACTCTCACTATCTTTCTGGATAGAACTATCACCCTCTGGATAGAACTCTCACAATCTGGATAGAATTCTCACTCCCCAGATAGTGGACACTATGTCTCACTATCCGGATAGTGGACATAATTCTCACTATCCGGATAGAAATTTCACCATCTGCATAGAACTCTCACTACCGGGATAGAATTCTCACTCTCTGGGTAGAACTCTCACTATCTATCTGGATAGAATTCTCACCATCTGCATTGAAATCTCACTATCTATCTGGATAGAATTATCACTCTCTGGATAGAACTCTCACTATCTACCTCGATATAATTCTCACTCTCTGGATAGAACTAGCACTATGTGAATAGAATTCTTACTCTCTGGATAGAACTCTCGCTATCTGTCTGGATAGAATTCTCACCATCTAGATAGAACTCTCACTAACTGGATAGAATTCTTACTCTCTTGGTAAAAATCTCACTATCTTTCTGGATAGAACTCTTACTACCTGGAAAGAACTCTCAGTATCTGGCTAGATTTCTCACCATCTGGGTAGAATTCTCACTATCTATCTTGATAGAATTCTCACTCTTTGGATAGAACTCTCACTATCTGTCTGGATAGAATTCTCAGCATCTGGATAGAACTCTCACTATCTGGGTAGTATTCTCACTCTCTTGGTAGAACTCTCACTATCTATCTGGATAGAATTCTCACAATCTGGATAGAAGTCTTACTGTGTATCTGGATAGAATTTTCACTCTCTGGATAGAACTCTCACTATCTATATGGAGAGAATTATCACCAACTGTATAGAACTCTCACTATCTGAATAGAATTCTCACTCTCTGGATAGAATTCTCGCTATCTGTCTGGATAGAATTCTCACCATCTAGATAGAACTCTCACTAACTGGATAGAATTCTTACTCTGAATAAAACTCTCACTATGTTTCTGGATAGAACTCTTACTACCTGGAAACAACTCTCACTATATGGATAGTATTCTCACTATCTGGATAGAATTCTCACTATCTAACTGGATAGAATAGAATTCTCACTCTCTGGATAGAACTCTCACTATCTATCTGGATAGAATTCTCACCATCTGGATAGAACTCTCACGATCTGGGTAGAATTCTAAGTCTCTTGGTAGAACTCTCACTATCTCTCTGTGTAGAATTCTGATAATCTGGTTAGCACTCTTACTAACTGTCTGGATAGAATTCTCACTCTCTGGATAGAACTCTCACTCTCTGTCTAGGTAGAATTTTCACCATCTGGAAACAACTCTTACAATCTGGATAGGATTCTCACTCTCTGGATAGAACTCTTACTATCAATCTGGATAGAATTCTCACTGTCTGTATAGAACTCTCACTATCTGGATAGATTTCTCACCATCTGGATAGAATTCTCACTCTGTGGGTAGAACTCTTACTATCTATCTTGATAGGGTTCTCACCATATGGATAGAACTCTCACTATCTATCTGGATAGAATTCTCACTCTCTGGATATAACTCTCACTATCTGGATAGAATTTTCACTCTCTGGATATAACTCTCACTACCTATCTGGATATAATTCTCACTCTCTGGATAGCACTCACTATCTGGATAGAATTCTCACCATCGGGATAGAATTCTCACTATATACCTAGATAGAATTCTCACAATCTGGATAGAACTCTCACTATCTATCTGGATAGAATTCTCACTATCTGGATAGAACTCTCACTATCTGCATAGAATTCTCACTCTCTAGATAGAACTCTCGCTATTCATCTAGAGAGAATTCCCATCTGAATAGTACTCTCACTAACTGGATAGAATTCCTACTCTCTGGATAAAACTCTCACTATCTTTCCGGATAGAACTCTTAGTATCTGGAAAGAACTGTCACTATCTGGATAGAATTCTCACCCTCTGGATAGAACTCTCACTATCTATCTGGATAGAATTCTATGTCTCTGGATAGAATTCTCACTATCTGTCAGGATAAAATTCTCACCATCTGGATAGAACTCTCACTGTCTATCTTGATAGAATTCTCACCATCTGGATAGAACTCTCACTATCTGTCTGGATAGAATACTCACCATTTGGATAGAACTCTCACTATCTGTCTGGATAGAACTCTTACTATCTATCTGGATGGAATTCTCACTCTGTGGATAGGACTCTCACTACCTGTCTGGATAGAATTCTCACTCTCTGGATAGAACTCTCACTATCTGTCTAGGTAGAATTCTCACTCTCTGGATAGAACTCTATTTGTCTAGGTAGAATTTTCACCGTCCGGAAACATCTCTCACAATCTGGATAGGATTCTCACTCTGTAGGTAGAACTCTTACTGTCAATCTGGATATAATTCTCACTCTCTGGGTAGAACTCTCACTATCTGGATAGATTTGTCACCATCTGCATAGAATTCTCACTATCTGTCTGGATAGAATTCTCACTCTCTGGGTAGAACTCTCACTATCTATCTGGATAGAATTCCCACCATCTGGATAGAATTCTTACTGTGTGGATAAAATACTCACTCTCTGGATAGAACTCTCACTCTCTCTATATATAGAATTCCCACGATCTGGATAGAACTTTCACTATCTGGATAGAATTCTCACTCTGTGGGTAGAACTCTCACTATCTATTTTCATAGAATTCTCACCATATGGATAGAATTCTCACTATCTGTCTGGATAGAATTTTCACTCTCTGGATGGAACCCTCACTACCTATCTGGATATAATTCTCACTCTCTGGATAGCACTCACTATCTGGATAGAATTCTCACCATCTGAATAGAACTGTCAGTATCTGAATAGAATTCTCACTCTCTGGATAGAACTCTATCTATCTAGATAGAATTCTCACCCTCTGGATAGATCTCTCACCATCTGTCTGGGTAGAATTCTCTCCATCTGTATAGAACTCTAACTATCTGGATAGAATTCTCACCATCTGCATGGAACTCTCACTATCTGTCTAGGTAGAATTCTCACTATGTGGATAGAGCTCTCACTATCTGGATGGAATTCTCAATCTCTGCATAGAACTCTCACTATCTATCTGGATAGAATTCCCACCCTCTAGGTAGAACTCTCACTATCTGGATAGAATTCTCACCGTCTGCATGGAACTGTCACTATCTGGATAGAATTCTCACTCTCTGTATAAAACTCTCACTATCTATCTAGATAGAATACTCACTATCTGGATAGAACTCTCACTGTCTATCTGGACGGAATTCTCACTCTCTGGATACAACTCTCACTATCTGGATAGAATTGTAACTCTCTGCATATAACTCTCACTATCTATCTAGATAGAATTCTCACTCTGTGGATAGAACTCTGACTATGTATCTGGATAGAATTCTCACCCTCTGGATACAACTCTCACTATCTGGATAGAATTCTCACTCTCTGGATAGAACTCCCACTATCTGTCTGGATAGAATTCTCACCCTCTGGATAGAACGCTCACTGTCTGGATAGAATTCTCAGCATCTGCATGGAACTCTCACTATCTGTCTATGTAGAATTCTCAACATCTGGATAGAGCTCTCACTATCTAGATAGAATTCTCACCATCTGCATGGAACTCTCACTATCTGTCTAGGTACAATTCTCATCATCTGCTTAGAGCTCTCACTATCTGGATAGAATTCTCAGTCTCTGCATAGAACTGTCACTATCTATCTGGATAGAATTCTCACCCTCTGGATAGAACTCTTACTATCTGGATAGAATTCTCACATCTGCATGGAACTCTCACTATCTGTCTGGATAGAATTCTTACCATCTGGATAGAGCTCTCAGTATCTGGATAGAATTCTCAGTCTCTGCATAGCACTCTCACTATCTGTCTGGATAGAATTCTCACTCTATGGATAGAACTCTGACTATCTATCTGGATAGAATTCTCACCCTCTAGATAGAACTCTCACTATCTGGATAGAATTCTCACCCTCTAGATAGAACTCTCACTATCTGGATAGAATTCTCCCTACTGATAGAACTCTCACTCTCTCTCTGGATAGAATTCTCACTGTCTGGATAGAACTCTCAATATCTATGTGGATAGAACTCTCACTGTCTATCTGGATAGAATTCTTAATCTCTGGATAGAAGTCTCACTATCAGTCTGGATAGAATTCTCACCATCTGGATAGAACTTTCACTATCTGTCTAGATAGATCTCTCACTATCTATCTGGATAGAATTCTCACTCTCTGGATAGAATTCTCACTATCTGTCTCGATAGAATGCTCACTCTGTGGATAGAACTCTGACTATCTATCTGGATAGAATTCTCACCCTCTTAGGCTACAGTAACCAAAACATCATGGTACTGGTACCAAAACAGAAATATAGATCAATAGAACAGAACAGAGCCCTCAGAAATAACGCCGCATATCTACAACTATCTGATCTTTGACAAACCTGAGAAAAACAAGCAATGGGGAAAGGATTCCCTATTTAATAAATGGTGCTGGGAAAACTGGCTAGCCATATGTAGAAAGCTGAAACTGGATCCCTTCCTTACACCTTATACAAAAATCAATTCAAGATGGATTAAAGAGTTAAACATTAGACCTAAAACCATAAAAGCCCTAGAAGAAAACCTAGGCATTACCATTCAGGACATAGGCACGGGCAAGGACTTCATGTCTAAAACACCAAAAGCAATGGCAACAAAAGCCAAAATTGACAAATGGGATCTAATTAAACTAAAGAGCTTCTGCACAGCAAAAGAAACTACCATCAGAGTGAACAGGCAACCCACAAAATAGGAAAAAATTTTCGCAACCTACTCATCTGACAAAGGGCTAATATCCAGAATCTACAATGAAGTCAAACAAATTTACAAGAAAAAAACAAACAACCCCATCAAAAAGTGGGCGAAGGACATGAATAGACACTTCTCAAAAGAAGACATTTATGCAGCCAAAAAACACATGAAAAAATGCTCACCACCACTGGCCATCAGAGAAATGCAAATCAAAACCACAATGAGATACCATCTCACACCAGTTAGAATGGCAATCATTAAGAAGTCAGGAAACAACAGGTGCTGGAGAGGATGTGGAGAAATAGGAACACTTTTACACTGTTGGTGGGATTGTAAACTAGTTCAACCATTGTGGAAGTCAATGTGGTGATTCCTCAGGGATCTAGAACTAGAAATACTATTTGACCCAGCCATCCCATTACTGGGTATATACCCAAAGGACTATAAATCATGCTGCTATAAAGACACATGCACACGTATGTTTATTGCGGCATTATTCACAATAGCAAAGACTTGGAACCAACCCAAATGTCCAACAATGATAGACTGGATTAAGAAAATGTGGCACATATACACCATGGAATACTATGCAGCCATAAAAAATGGTGAGTTCATGTCCTTTATAGGAACATGGATGAAATTGGAAATCATCATTCTCAGTAAACTATCGCAAGAACAAAAAACCAAACACCGCATGTTCTCACTCATAGGTGGGAATTGAACAATGAGAAGACATGGAAACAGGAAGGGGAACGTCACACTCTGGGGACTGTTGTGGGGTGGGGGGAGGGGGGAGGGATAGCACTGGGAGATATACCTAATGCTAGATGACGAGTTAGCGGGTGCAGCGCACCAGCATGTCACACGTATGCATATGTAACTAACCTGCACATTGTGCACATGTACCCTAAAACTTAAAGTATAATTAAAAAAAAAAAAGAATTCTCACCCTCTGGAGAGAACTCTCACTATCTGGATAAAATTCTCACTCTAGATAGAACTCTCACTCTCTATCTGGATAGAATTCTCACCATCTGGATAGAACTCTCACTATCTAGATAGAATTCTCACCCTCTGGATAGAACTGTCACTATCTGGATAGAATTGTCACCATCTGCATGGAACTCTCACTATCTGTCCAGATAGAATTCTCACCATCTGGATAGAGCTCTCACTGTCTGGATAGAATTCTCAATCTCTGCATAGAACTCTCACTGTCTGGATAGAATTCTCAGTCTCTGTATAGAACTCTCACTATCTGTCTGGATAGAATTCTCACTCTGTGGATAGAACTCTCCGTATCAATCTGGATAGAATTCTCACCCTCTGGATAGAACTGTCACTATCTGGAAGGAATTCTCACCATCTGGATAGAACTGTCACTATCTGGATAGAATTCTCACTCTCTAGATAGAATTCTCACTATCTTTCTCAATAGAATTCTCACCCTCTGGATAGAACTCTCACTATCTCTCTGGATAGAATTCTGACTCGCTGGATAAAACTCTCACTATCCGTTTGGATAGAATTCTCACCATCTGGATAGAACTCTCACTATCTGGATAGAATGCTCACTCTCTGGATAGAACTCTCACTATCAATCTGGATAGAATTCTCACTCTCTGGATAGAGCTCTCACTATCTATCTCGATATAATTTTCATTCTCTGGATAGATCTCTCACTGTCTGCCTGGATCGAATTCTCATTCTATGGATAGAACTCTCAGTATCAATGTGGATAGAATTCTCACCCTCTGGATGGAACTGTCACTATCTATCTCAATAGAATTCTCACCCTCTGGATAGACCTCTCACTAGCTATCTGGATAGAATTCTCACTCTCTGGATAAAACTCTCACTGTCTGTCTGGATAGAATTCTCACCATCTGGATAAAACTCTCACTATCTGTCTGGTAGAATTCTCACTATCTGGATAGAACTCTCAGTATCTGTATAGAATTCTTACTCTCTGGATAGAACTCTCACTATCTTTCTCGATAGAACTGTCACCCTCTGGATAGAATTCGCACTATCTATCTGGATAGAATTCTGTCTCTGGATAGAAGTCTCATTATCTGTCTGGATAGAATTCTCACCATCTGCATAGAATATTCACTATCTGTCTGGATAGAATTCTGACCAGCTGGAGAGAACTCTCACTATCTGGATAGAATAATCATCGTCTGGATAGAACTCTGACTCTCTGTCTGGATAGCACTCTCACTACCTTTCTGGATAGAATTCTCACTCTCTGGATACTACTCTCGCTATCTGGATAGAATTCTCAGCATCTGGATATAATTCCCACTATCGATCAGGATAGAATTCTCACTCTGTGGATAGAACTCTGACAATGTATCTGGATAGAATTGTCACCCTCTGGATAGAACTCTCACTATCTGGGTAGAATTCTCACTCTAGATAGAACTCTCACAATCTTTCAGATAGAATTCTCCTCCTCTGGATAGAGCTCTCACAGTCTGGATAGAATTCTCACTCTGTGGATAGAACTGTCACTATCTGGATAGAATACTCACCATCTCGATAGAACTCTCACTGTCTATCTGGATAGACTTCTCGGTCTCTGGATAGAAGTCTCAATGCCTGTCTAGATAGAATTTTCACCATCCGGATACAACTCTCACTATCTGGATAGAATTCTCATTCTCTGGATTGATCTCTCACTATCTATCTGGATATAATTCTCACTCTCTGGATAGATCTCTCACTATCTGTCTGGATAGAATTCTCACTGTGGGTAGAATTCTCACTATCATTCTGGACATAATTCTTACCCTCTGGGTTGAACTCTCACTATCTGGATAGAATTCTCACCATGTGGGTGGAACTCTCACTATCTATCTGGATAGTATTCTCGCTCTCTGGAAAGAACTCTCACTATCTTTCTGGATAGAATTCTTACCCTCTGGATAGAACTCTCACTATCTGGATAGAATTCTCAACATCTGGATAGAACTCTTACTGTCTATCTGAATAGATTTCTCACTCTCTGGATAGAACTCTCACTATCTATCTGGATAGAATTCTCACTCTTTGGATGAAACTCTCAGTATCTGTCTGGATAGAATTCTCACCATCTGGATAAAACTCTCACTATCTGTCTGGATAGAATTCTCACCATCTGGATAGAACTCTCAGTATCTGGATAGAATTCTTACTCTCTGGATAGAACTCTCACTATCTTTTTGGTTAGAACTGTCACCCTGTGGATAGAAATTTCTCTATCTATCTGGATAGAATTCTCCCTCTCTGGATAGAAGTCTCATTATCTGTCTGGATAGAATTCTCACCATCTGGATAGAAGTGTCACTATCTGTCTGGATAGAATTCTTACCATCTGGAGAGAACTCTCACTATCTGGATAGAATTCTCACCATCTGGCTAGAACCCTCACTATCTGTCTGGATGGAACTCTCACTATCTATGTAGACAGAATTCTCACTCTCTGGATAGAACTCTCGCTATCTGGATTGAATTTTCACCATCTGGATGGAATTCTCACTGTCGATCACGTTGGAATTCTCACTCTGTGGATAGAACTGTGACAATCTATCTGGATAGAATTCTCACCCTCTGGATAGAACTCTCAGTATCTGGATAGAATTCTTACTCTTGATAGAACTCTATTTGTCTGCATAGACTTCTCACCATCTGGATAGAACTCTCAGTCTCTGGATAGAATTCTCACTGTCTGGATGGAACTCTCACTACCTGTCTCGATAGAATTCTCACCCTCTGGATAGAACTCTCACAATCTGGATAGAATTCTCACTGTCTGGATATAATCCTCACTCTCTGGATAGAACTAGCACTATCTGGGTAGAATTCTCACAATCTGGATAGAATTCTCACTATCTGGATAGAATTCTAACTCTGGATAGAACTCTCACTATCTATATGGAAAGAATTCACTCTCTGGATAGAATTCTCACTGTGTATGTTGATGGAATTCTCAGGCTGTGGATATAACTCTCACTATCTATCTGGATAGAATTTTTACTATCTGGATAGAATTCTCACTATCTGGGTAGTATTCTCACTCTCTGGATAGAACTCTCACTCTCTATCTGGATAGAATTCTCACCCTTTGGATAGAACTCTCACTATCTGTCTGGGTAGAATTCGCTCCGTCGTAATAGAACTCTCACTATCTGGATGGAATTCTCACTCTCTGGATAGAACTCTCACTATCTGTGTGGATAGAATTCTCACCATCTGCATAGAACTCTCACTATATGGGTAGAATTCTGACTCTCTGGATCGAACTCTCACTATCTGTCTGGAAAGAATCCTCACTCTTTGGATAGAACTCTCATTTTCTGTCTGGATAGAATTTTCACCATCTGGATAGAATCTCACTATCTAGATAGAATTCTCATTCTCTGGATAGAACTCTCACTGTCTATCTGGATAGAACTCTCACTCTCTGTCTCATTAGATCTCTCACTGTCTGTCTGGATAGAACTCTAACTCTCTGGATAGAACTCTTAATAACTCGATAGAACTTTCACCATCTGGATAGAACTCTCACCATCTGAATAAAACTCTCACTGTGTGGGAATAGAACTCTCACTCTCTGGATAGAACTCTCACTATCTATCTGGATAGAATTCTTACTCTAGATAGAACTCTCACTATCTGTCTGGATAGAATTCTCACCATCTGGATCAAACTCTCACTATCTGGATAGAATTCTCACCCTCTGGATAGAACTGTCACTATCTATCTGGATAGAACTCTCCCCATCTGGATTGAACTCTCACTATCTGGATAGAATTCTCACCCTCTGGATAGAACTCTCACTTTCTGGATAGAATTCTCACCCTCTGGATAGAACTCTCACTATCTGGATAGAATTCTCACTCTCTGGATAGAACTCTCACTCTCTGGATAGAACTCTCACTATCTGGATAGAATGCTCACTCTCTGGATAGAACTCTCACTATCTGGATAGAATTCTCACCCTCTGGATAGAACTGTCACTGTCTATCTGGATAGAACTCTCCCCATCTGGATTGAACTCTCGCTATCTGGATAGAATTCTCACTCTCTGGATGGAACGCTCACTATCTGGGAGCCTAACTACTCAGCCTCCCCCGACCAGCCCAACTTCTCCCCATGGAGGGGCACTGAGTCCTCATTAAAGCTTCCTGGACAGCTGGAGTTGGAGCCAGAGCATGACTGTCATGTGGCCCTTGGCTCTGAAGGCTCTTGCTCTGTCCTAAGATGTCCTCAAAATGAGCCTGGGTAGTGGGACTTGGGCGGGGCCTCTACTCTTTCCCATTTTTTGATCCACTGCTCTTACCCTGAGGCTTCTGCAGATGTGGTCAGGCCTGGCAGGGTGAAGGACCAGCCCTTGGGGTCCCTCTGCCTCTCTCTGCTCTGCCCCTTGCTTCATGGCTGAGGGTGGGGAGAATGTCCCAGAGCCCCACGAGGGGTGATCAGCATTGTGAGCTGGGCGTGCACCAAGCTCTTCACCTGTGAGCAGGTGCCAGGGAACAGGCCACCTGTGACTCCACATCCCCTGCTTGCAGTGGACCTGACCAGCATTGACAGGCGCAGCAGAGAGCAGGAATTGGCCACCAGGGAGAAGGCTCAGTCACTCGCAGCCCTGTTTCTAGAAAAAGTGCGTGACTTAGATGACTTTCTATGGAAAGCAGAGACGAAGGATCTTGACGAGGACACCTGTGTGGAAAGGTAAGGTGGCAGGCGACTCTGAGAGGAGAGCTCCCTGCAGAAGGTGGCTGCCCCCATGACCTGGCCACATCTTCTGCCTCCCAGCAGCGTGACCCCACTAGACACCAACTGCCTCCCGAGTCCTACGAAGATGCCTGGGGCGGTGCAGCAGTTTACGACGCTGATCCGGTAATTATCTGTCATTTTATTACTGAACCCGCCCCCCTGCCCAAGTCTTTGTATATCACATTAAGCCCTTTCTATTAAAGTGAATTTAAAGGAGAAAGTGAGAGGTAGAGTCATTTGAAAAAAACAGCATCCAGCAGGGCGTTGGTGGCTTATGCCTGTAATCCCAGCACTCTGGGAGGCTGTGGTGCGTGGATCACTTAAGTTCAGGAGTTCGAGACCAGCCTGGGCAACAAGGTGAAAGCCCATCTCTACAAAAAATTATAAAAAGTAGCCAGTTATGGTGGCGTGGGCCTACCTGGTAGGCTGAGGTGGGAGGATTGCTTGATTCCTGGAGGTGGAGGCTGCAGTGAGCCGTGATTGCACCTTCACTCCAGCCTAGGCAGCAGAGCAAGACCCCATCTCAAAAAAAGGAAACAGCATTGTTGGGACCAGCACTAACCTTCAGTGCGACACAGAACACCCCTATTGCTTTTATTCTTTAAGCAAAATTAAGATATCCTCACCGGCTGGAAGATCGTAGAAATAGCATAGGGTCATTGAGAAAAATGGAGACAATAGGAGAGAATCTCTGGTTAAAAGGGAAGTCGTGGTCATACCAGCCCTCAAAGAAAGCCAGACGGCACTGTGTGGCGTGTGTCTTTCCTGATGTTTCCATGCATACACACATTTGTAAACGTAGCGGGATCATACTCTGCATGCTGGTCTGTAGCTGGTTTCTTTTCACTTAGGGCAGCACCTCTACCTCCCGTCTGATTGGGTCTTCCTCGGCATTCCAGTTAGTCTAGCCATAATCACCCACCCATTAAGTCCATCTTGATGGCCAGATTATCTTCAGGCTTTTGCTACTACAAGCAATGAGGCAGCAGACATCATTGAGCGTACATTTTTTTTTTTTTTTTTAACACAGAGTCTCTCTCTGTCACCCAGGCTGGAGTGCACTAGGGCAATCTTGGCTCACTGCAACCTCCGCCTCCCAGGTTCAAGTGATTCTCCTGCCTCAGCCTCCCAAGTAGCTGGGATTACAGGTGTGTGCCACCACTCCTGACTAATTTTTTGTGTGTTTTTAGTAGAGATGGAGTTTCTCCACGTTGGCCAGGCTGGTCTCGATCGCCTGGCCTCAAGCGATCCACCTGCCTCAGCCTCCCAAAATGCTGGGATTACAAGCGTGAGCCACCACGCCCAGCCTGTCCGTACATCTTTATGGAAGTAATTGATTTTTTCCTCAGGATCATTTCTTTGAGTAACATTGCCAAGCTGATACATTCATGATAAAAGTAACAATCATTTATTGAGTACCTACTGTGGGACAGATGCTGTCATCAGTTTTCTGATTTAATCCTCAGAGCCACTCTATGAGGCAGGTATTACCATCCCCATTTTGCATAGGAGAAAAATGAGGCTTATGGAGACTGTGACATTCCCAGGGTCACGGGGCTGGTGTATGCTGTTGCCTCAGCATCTCTTCCTTTTGGTTTTTAAGTCGTCAGATTTCCAACGACTTCCGAGACCTGCCCACCCTCCTCATCCATGGGGCGGAGGCCTGTCTGATGTCAATGACCATCGGCTTCCTCTATTTTGGCCATGGGAGCATCCAGCTCTCCTTCATGGATACAGCCGCCCTCTTGTTCATGATCGGTGCTCTCATCCCTTTCAACGTCATTCTGGATGTCATCTCCAAATGTGAGTGTGGCCCACTGGCATGGGCAGGCAGGACCTCAGCCACCTCCAAGCTGTGTTCCTCTGAGCTCCTGGGGAGCGGGTTTGATTTCATTGTGATTGTGATATATAAGACAATAATGTTTTTAAAGTTTGCATGTTAATATTAGCATACAAATGAAAGTAAATTACCGAGTCTTAGCTGTTCCTATCCTAGCAGGATTTATATTTGACAGCAGAACACGAGCTACAGACTTGCAAAACCTGAAGAGCCTCATCAAACATCTAAATTAGGATGGCTTTACTGTGCCTATTTAAAAAAAAAAATTAGAGACTTGGGCAATATGATAACTACTTTGAATTGTATTAAGAGAGTCTCCAAAACAGAAGCACTGTAGATTTATTCTACTTCTTCATTCTCTTTTCCTTTCCCTTACTTTTTAGGTTACTCAGAGAGGGCAATGCTTTACTATGAACTGGAAGACGGGCTGTACACCACTGGTCCATATTTCTTTGCCAAGGTGACTGGGCAGGGTTGAGAGCAAGTGCCCCCCACCCACCAGGGTGGGGGTAAGTGTGGAGAAAACGTTGCTACAAGGAAGGCTTTTCTGAACCATGGGGCCGTGGGTCATGTGAAGTCACCGATGCCACCAGATGCCACATTTTCTAGGGGAGTTTCAGAGACTTGAACTTTTATTTTAAACATTTACCAAAACACCAGGACTGTGGACCAGGAATGATAGTTTTCTGGCCAGAAGGAATCTAAAAAAAAGAAGTCCTCATTGTATTTTACCTTTTCAGAGCCTCACTGTGGCCCCCCAGCAGGCCAGGCAGGTGTTTCCAGGAAGCAGAGGTTCAGAGAGGCTACGTGGCTCTCCAAGGCCACACAGCTACTTGATCTGGTCAGGGGGAGTAGGGACTTGAAACCAGGTCTTAGGACAGCAGGTGCCCATTGCTGCCCTGGGGGAAACAGGCTGAACTGCCCTAGAGGGAGCATTTGGTATCTGCAAGGGGGAGGCCAGCACTGAGCTCATGCTCCTGGGTCCCAGCACACCCTCCTGCCACAGCCTCATCATCACCAGGAGGGAAGGTTGCTATCTGGGGGCACTGCTACTTTTAAACGTTTATAATAATGGCAGTGAAGGTGCTGGCTTCATATCCTTGCAAGGGCTGTTCTTTGCAGATCCTCGGGGAGCTTCCGGAGCACTGTGCCTACATCATCATCTACGGGATGCCCACCTACTGGCTGGCCAACCTGAGGCCAGGCCTCCAGCCCTTCCTGCTGCACTTCCTGCTGGTGTGGCTGGTGGTCTTCTGTTGCAGGATTATGGCCCTGGCCGCCGCGGCCCTGCTCCCCACCTTCCACATGGCCTCCTTCTTCAGCAATGCCCTCTACAACTCCTTCTACCTCGCCGGGGGCTTCATGATAAACTTGAGCAGCCTGTGGACAGGTAAGGCCTGCCCCCGGGGCCTGGGCCAGCTTTGTTAGGACTCATGTGACTGGATGAAGCCTGCTTTCATCTGGAGATGGACACTTATCACTTAGATCCAACTCGAGGCTGGCCCTTCTGGAAGCAGAGGCCTTTGCCCACTGCCCTGGAGGCCAAAGGAATGATTCCATTAGAGATTCCAGATGCACCTCCTCCTATCCCACAGCTGATATCCAGAAGTCGCCCTTGACTGTCTCCCTCCCTCTCCACATCCACCTGTGAGCCAGGTCGATTCTGCCTCCTGTTTCTCTGAAATGTCTGCTTGGCTGTGTCTCCATCCCTGGCCACCATTGTTTGAGCCTGGGCCACTGCCATAGCCTGGTCTCTGTAACCTGGGCCCCTCCACATCCCTCTCGACTCAGCCACGCAGAGTGAGCTTTCCAAGGTGCAAACCCATGCCCCCCTTTGTTCAAATCTTCCCAGGGTTGCTCAATCCCTGCGGCCTCCCCAGCTTTCTGAAGCCCCCAGCACACCCCACCCTCTCACCTCTGAGCCTGCCCAGCTATTGTCTCTGGGAATGTCATGCCCGCCTTCCATGGGGCATCTCTTCTGCCAGGGCTTTCCTGATGCACCCAGGCAGGGCTCATTGCCTCCTTCCCCTCCCCATACCATGCCACCTCCATAGGATCAGGGCACAGGCTCCATTGTCTCTGGTGTGGGGCCGCTGAGTCTCCTCAGCCCACACAGTCCATGAAGCTGAGCACGTGCAGGGATGCCTCATCACATCCCTCTCGAGAATTGCTATGGATCAAATGTGTGGGTGACCCCGTGGCCTCTCAGCTCCCTCGGCCCCAGTCCATGTCCCCAGCAACCCCTCTGCCCTTTTGCCTCTTGGTCTCTGGTCTCTCTCCCCTCCTTGCTCATCAGAGAACTTGGGCCAGAGCCACCATGGCCCTGTCTCAGAGAGTGGGATGTGCCCTTGTGCAGGTAAGAGAGACTGTGTGACTGTGGGGAGACCATGGGAATATGGGGAGACTGAATACGGGGGAGACTGTGTCGATATAAAGGAGATCATGGGAATACGGGGAGACCATGAGAATAGGAGGAGACCGTGGGAATATGGGGAGACGGTGAGAATATGGGAAGACTGCAAGAATATAGGGAGACCATGGGAATATGGGGAGACTATGGGAATATGGGGAGATCACATGAATATGCAGGAGACTGTGAGAATATGGGGAGACCGTGAGAATATGGGGAGACTGTGGGAATATGAGGAAAGTGTGAATATGGGGGAGACCATGTCAATATAAAGGAGCCGTGGGAATATGGGGAGACTGTGGGAATATGGGAGAGAGAGTGTCAATATAAAGGAGACTGTGGGAATAGGGGGAGACCGTGGGAATATGAAGAGACTGTGTGAATATGGGGGAGACCATGTCAATATAAAGGAGATCGTCGGAATATGGGGAGATTGTGCGAATATGGGGAGACCATGGGAATATGGGGAGACTGTGGGAATATGGGGAGATCATGTGAATATGCAGGAGACCGTGTCAATATAAAGGAGACAGTGGGGATATGGGGAGACCATGAGAATATAGGGAGACCATGGGAATATGAAGAAACTGTGTGAATATGGGGGAGACTGGGAGTATGGGGAGACTCTAGTAATATGGGGAGACTGGGAATATGAGGAAACTGTGAATATGGGGGAGACTGTGGGAATATGGGGAGACCGTGGGAATATGAGGAGACTGTGTGAATATGGGGAAGACCATGTCAATATAAAGAAGACCATGGGAATATGGGGAGACCATGGGAATATGAGGAAACTGGATATGGGGGAGGCCGTGTCAATATAAAGGAGACCGTGGGAATATGGGGAGACTGTGGGAATATGAGCAGACTGTGTGAATATGGGGGAGACCACATCAATATAAAGGAGATCGTGGGAATATGGGGAGATCGTGCGAATATGGGGAGCCCATGGGAATATGGGGAGACTGAATATATGGGAGACTGTGGGAATATGGGGAGATCATGCAAATATGGGCAGACCATGGGAATATGGGGAGACTCTGTGAATATGGGGGAGACCATGCGAATATGGGGAAACCATGAGAATATGAGGGACACCTGTGAGTAACGCGGCTGTCTGTCTCCAGTGCCCGCGTGGATTTCCAAAGTGTCCTTCCTGCGGTGGTGTTTTGAAGGGCTGATGAAGATTCAGTTCAGCAGAAGAACTTATAAAATGCCTCTCGGGAACCTCACCATCGCGGTCTCAGGAGATAAAGTAAGCGGGGAAGGCCTCGGGTTCTAAATTATTGGACGTCCGGCTTTCCATCCTCCTCATGAGCCCACTGCATGTCTGTGTCTCCAGATCCTCAGTGTCATGGAGCTGGACTCGTACCCTCTCTACGCCATCTACCTCATCGTCATTGGCCTCAGCGGTGGCTTCATGGTCCTGTACTACGTGTCCTTAAGGTTCATCAAACAGAAACCAAGTCAAGACTGGTGATTCACGCCAGACGTCTGCCCGCTGGTGGGGGACCTGAGCAGACCCTTCAACTGCACTCCCTCCTCAGGAGCCCCTTCCTGGGGACAGTGAGGACAATGACCCTACAGATGCTCAGCTACATCCGGCCCAGGGTGCTGCAGTGGCACAGACCAGCCACAGGATGGCAGTAGAATAAAGACAGTCGAAAGGGATTTCTGCTCACTGGCAGGAGACTGCGATGACTGGGAGAAAACCTGCACTCGGTGGCACCTACAACGTTGCTAATTTATTTCCTTTTGATATGCATTTATATAGGCAACTCGATATAGGATGGGAGCAAACTAGGAATGAATTGGGTAGCTAGACTGTGCAGGAATTGTTGGAACCTGGAGGGAACAATAACAGTAGCTAGCAGATTTGGCTTCATCTTCCAGGGGCCCCACACTCCGTGGTGAGCCACCATCAATACAGAAAGTGACCTAAGATGTACCAGCAAGATGCCATCCCTTCTTTTTGTGTGGGGTCATGGGCTCCAAAAGCCAACGTGAACAATTAAAAATGTATTGAGCATCTACTCTGTAGCAGGTCCTGTGAAAACACTTTAGGTGGACAATCCCTTGAGGTAAGTGGTATCCCATTTTATAGGTGTGAAAACTGAAGCAAAAATTCATTTTCCTAAGGGCACATGGATACTTTGTGGTGGAGTCATATGGGGATCAGAAAAGCCTTTGAGGCCTTTGGAGTTAGAGGGCAGAAGGCAAGGCCTGAGCCGCTGTAAGCCTTAGGAGTTTAGGAAGGCTCCAGAAGACAAATGGGGTCTGTAGAGGCTGTTAACTCAGCCAGGCTTCTTAGAGTTGCATTTCACTAACTGATATGGTTTGGCTCTGCGTCCTCACCCAAATCTCACCTTGAATTGTAATAATCCCCAAGTGTCAAGGGCGGGACCAGATGGAGATAATTGAATCATAGGGGTGGTTTCTCTGATGCTGTTCTCCTGAGAGTGAGTGAGTTCTGATGAGATCCGACGGTTTTATAAGGGGCTTCCCTCTTCGCTCGGCTCTCATTCTCTCTCCCGCTACCCTGTGAAGAGGAGCCTTCCACCACGACTGCAAGTTTCCTGAGGCTGCCCCAGCCGTGCTGAACTGTGAGTCAGTTAAACCTCTTTTCTTTATAAATTACCCAGTCTTGGGTATTTCTTCATAGCAGTGTGAGAGCAGATGAATACACTGGCCCTGCCTGGGTTTCAGAACCAGCCTTGAACCTTTCACAGTGGCCAGAGGATGGGGAGGCAGAGGCCCAGGTTGCACACTTCTTGCCTGAGTGTTGGGGACTATCTGACCCAAAACAGGTGCACAGAGGGCAGGAGAGGATGTTCCCAAAGGAAAATTAGAGTTTAGAATCAAAAGAAGGGGAAGGTGCGTGTTTGGGAGGTAAATAGCAAATACTCTTCATAGGTTCACTAGAGTCTTGCTACTCCAAGTACGATCCCTGGGCCAGCAGAATGGGCACAGCTGGAGCTGATTGGATAGGTCCCATGAGCCTCAGGCCCCACCCAGGCTCAATGAGTCAGAGTCTGCGTCTTAAGAAGACCCCCTGGTGATCTGTGCACATTCAAGCATGCTGCCGTTTTCCAAAGCACTTGCAACACTCAGGATGCTTGCACGGTCATGTTGCCACCATCCAACCTGCAGACCCCATTCTTGAGATTGACTGGGAGTTCCTATCATGTCCTCCATAGCAAGGGGATCTAGACCAGAATCAAGCCTTGGATCTAGTTCTCAAGTCTCTTTTGTCTCTTTCAGTTTAGGAACAGTTTGTCAACTTTCCTTCACTTTTGTGACCTTGATACTTGAGTTTGAAGGCTGTCTCTCAATTTGTGTTCTGCCCAGTGCATCCTATCAGAAGGCATGTGATTTCAACTTCTCCCATACCAACAACGTTCACTTTGATCACTTGATTAAAGGGGTGTCTGCTAGGCTTCTCCACAGCCAAGTTACTATTTTCCCTCCCTTTATAATTAATAAGCATTTTGTAAGTGGGTACTTTGAAACTATGTAAATTGTAAACTTTCCATTTATGCATTTTAAAATTTTGATTGATGTAAACTTGTGAATTCCCATTGTATCCTTACAACCCTTTATTATTGTGATTAATTCTGATGCTCAGCTTGTCCCTGATTTGGCCAGTGGGAACCCCGTCGAGCTGGCTTCTGCATCCTTTTGATATGTCCTCATCATCCTTTGAGGGCTGAAACAACCAAGAGTTTCAGGCTCATTTTTTGTTTTGTTTTTTTTTTTTTGAGACAGAATCTCATTCTGTGGCCCAGGCTGGAGTGCAATGGCGCGATCTCGGCTCACTGCAACCTCTGCCTCCCAGGTTCAAGCGATTGCCTTGCCTCAGCCTCCCAAGTAGTTGGGATTAACAGTGCCCACCACCACACCTGGCTAATTTTTGTATTTTTAGTAAAGACAGTGTTTCACCATATTGGCCAGACTGGTTGTGAACTCTAGGCCTCAAGTGATCTGCCTGCTTCGGCCTCCCAAAGTGTTGGGATTACAGGTGTGACCCACCGCACCTGGTGTCACAGGTTCATCTTGTATTTTCCCATCTCAGCCCTGGAATCCGATGTTTCTCCAGAGAATCTGGGTTCCTCTTAGTGGAAAATGGTATTTAGAAGCCAAGGTTTTGGTGATAAGTATGCTCTTTGCTTGTGGAACATCTCTGCTCCCAGGCTCTCTCAGTGAACAGAGTTAGGGAGTGTGTGTGTGTGTGCGCGCGCGCGCGCGCATGTGCATACATATACACCTAAGTACACATGAGTTTACTCTGATAACATCCATTTCCAATCCAGCATCACAGAGTTGATCCTAGGTTCTTCCCTCTTCTCTAATTGTGAGAAACCTGGCTTCCATTACCCTTAGGTTATTTACTCATTTGATTAACCGCCTGCAGGTAAGTAATCTCCCATCTACACTGCCACGCCTTCTCCTGTATGGACGTCCTGCCTACCCTGCTCAGGCTCTAACTCCCAAGTCCAGCTTTCCCTGAGTCTGCAGCTGTCTTCCTCACACTCCCGTGGCCCACCACAACTTCCCCCCACCTCCTTGTCACTGTGGTCCCCTAATGGCGTTAGGCCTGAATGAAGAAGGGGGAAGGATGAAGAGGACATTGGTAGCTTGCCTTAACTCCCCAGGTAATTCTAATGTGCAGTGATTGACAGCCACTAAGATACATCACCTGACTTTGTGAGTTCACCATTCGGTCTGCAATGGGTTTTGGTAACTCAGTGGCTCTGTATGCCGTGCTGAAGGGGAAAAGGGCAAAGTGCAAAGGCAGGAGGGATGGAGAAAATATAGCAGCTGCCATTTATTTGTGTTTTTCCTACAGCGGTGGTTCTCCACCCTGGTTGCCCATGCTGGAGCTTTAACAAAAGCCAATGTGGACCCATTGCCCAGAGACTCTGATCCCATGGGTCTGTTTTGTTTAAAATGCTCTTCAAGGCATTGTGAGGCCAGGAAAACAAAGAACCAAGGCTCTCCCGGGTGCGGTGGCTCACGCCTGTAATCCCAGCACTTTGGGAGGCCGCGGAGGGCAGATCACGAGGTCAGGAGATCGAGACCATTCTGGCCAACATGGCAAAACCCTGCCTCTACTAAAAATACAAAAATTAGCTGGGCATGGTAGTGCGTGCCTGTAGTTCCAGCTACTTGGGAGGTTGAGGCAGGAGAATCGCTTGAATCCGGGAGGCAGAGGTTGCAGTGAGCCGAGATTGAGCCACCGCACTCCAGCCTGGTGACAGAGCGATACTCTGTCTCAAAAAAAAAAAAAAAAAACCCAAGGCTCTCGAGGCATGCATGCTGTTCAGCGAGCCCTGCCCTGCATTGCGAAAGGGTAGAGATTTGTTTATTTGTCAGTATTGAAAGCATGGCTTGCAAAGTTTTCCTGTTAAGAGTCAGATAGTAAATATTTGGGACTTCGTGGGCCTTATAGGCTCTGCTGCAATTACTTAACTCTGCTGTTACAGTGTGAGAGCAGCTGTAGACTATAGTAACGTACAGCCGGTGTGGCTGTCTTCTAAGAAAGTATTATTTACAAAAACAGGCAGGTTGCTAGATTTGACCTGAGGGTGTAGTTTGCAGAGCCTTGGTAAAGGTTTTCAAATTTGCATTTTAAGCCCTCCAATTTCAAGTTATGCTATTGGTGGGGAATTTTAATTAAACAGAAAATAATCACCAATATTGGCTCAAATATTTCCTGATTTAAAAAAAAATCTGCTCTTGTTCCTATAAATAGTATATAAGATGTAATCTTGCCCTGGGTTAAACCAGTCTACAGAGGTAGATCTCGCATTTGCTTTTGTTTTCTTCTACTTCAACTCTTGTCATGATCCCAAATTAAACAACTAGCAACAGAAATGTTCAAATCTGTCAAATCCAAGTGTTAACAGACCTGGGACCAGGGGTTCCTCATAGTGGCTTAGCACAGCATACAGACCACTTTCCTTTGGCCCAACCGGCCTTGGGGTCTGGAGCACCAAACAGGCCCTGAGGAAGCGTGCAAGGAACTGGAATGCGGGGAAAGTGATGAAATATTTTGTTGGTTGGCCTTTGCTTGTTTGCAAAATATATCCAATGCTCACACCTGAGAGACAACAGACATCCTTATTTGTGAATAGTCTGCACTAGATAATTCAGATTTCAAGTCATCTGTCATTCGTACTTGATAATGATTTGTTCTTCATTTAAAGTGGCCTGGGTACAGAGCAACATCCCCTGTCTTTATCACATGAGCTCTGCCTGAGGCAGCTTCAGCAGGTAGGCAGGCAGGCAGATGGAGCACAGCCCATTCTCTGCTGGTGCACTAGGAACAGCAGCACGTGTGGTGTTAGCAGCTAATAATTAAAACAACGTTTAAGCAGTGGGTTGAGATTTTTAAACACAAACCAACTCAAAAACACTTCTCTGCTTTCTATGTAATAGTGCTCACATCATTTGTATGATTGTCTCGTCTCTTTAAAATTGGAAATATTCTTGTTTCCCCAAACTGCTAATAAGCTCTACTGACCCATGCTAAAAATAAAGCTCTTTCGGCTGGGCGCAGTGGCTCATGACTGTAATCTCAGCACTTTGGAAGGCTGAGGTGGGTGGATCACTTGAGGTTAGGAGTTCAACATCAGCCTGGGCAACATAGTGAAACACCATCTCTATCCCAAATACCAAATTAGCCAGGCACAGTGGCAAGTGCCTGTAGTCCCAGCTACTCAGGAGGCTGAGGCAGCAGAATCACTGGAACCTGGGAGGCGGAAGTTGCAGTGAGCCAAAATCGCGCTACTGCACTCCAGCCTGGGCAACAGAGCAAGACTCGATCTCCAAACAAACAAACAAAACAAAACAAAACAACAAGAAAAACAGAACGTGGTGGCTCATGCCTGTAATCCCAGCACTTTGGGAGGCCAAGGTGGGTGAATCACCTTAGGTCAGGAGTTCAAGACCAGCCTGGCCAACATGGTGGAACCCCCATATCTACTAAAAATAACAAAATTAGCCGAGTGTGGTGGCACATGTCTATAATCCCAGCTACTTGGGAGGCTGAGGCAGGAGAATCACTTGAACCCAGGAGATGGAGGTTGCAGTGAGCCAAGATCACACCGCTGCACTCCAGGCTGGGCAACAAGAGCGAAACTCCATCTCAAAAAAAAGAGAGAAAAGAAAAGCTTTATTTGTGTTGATTCCATTATTCCACTATTGCACAGAAGCCCTGCACTGTGCTTGGAATCAGCTTGATCTTGAGTTTGTCTGGTTTTCACAGGCCTCCTCTTCCTGACAGTAAACTTGAAAATATTTTTATGTGGGCACTTGGGTTTTGAAGGACTCCTTGGGCCTCAATCCCCGGTGTCCTAACTCTGAGCTACAGAGCTGACTAGAAATCCTGTAAGAAGACCACCATGTGGAGGAAACCCTCCAAAGCACACAAATCATCCATCTCAGAAGGAACACGACTTGGAAAGGGGAAGGACATGGTGGTGTGCCCATTGATTGACTCATTCAGTGATGCCTACCGGGTGCCTATCATGCCAAGCTCTGCTAATTGGCAGGTCTGCAGAGTGCTGGAAGAACTCACCTCCTCAGGGAGAAAACAGACAAAAACAAGTAAATAATGGGAATGTCACAGCAAGGGCACATCCAGGCCTGGGTTGAAGACGCTACTTTATGGTGGCTCACACCTGTAATCCCAGCACTTTGGGAGGCTGAGGCGGGCGGATCACCTGAGGTCGGGAGTTCAAGACCAACCTGACCAACATGACAAAAACACGCCTCTACTAAAAATACAAAAATTAGCCGGGTGCAGTGGTGGGCGCCTATAATCCCAGCTAGTCTCGAGGCTGAGACATGAGAATAGCTTGAACCCGGGAGGCGGAGGTTGCAGAGCCTAGATAGCGCCATTGAACTGTAGCCTGGGCAACAGAGCACGACTCCGTCTCAAAAAATAAATAAATAAATAAATAAATAAATAAAAAACAACACGCTACTTTAGAGAACTCTCTGAGGATAGATCTCAACAGCCAACCATTGTCCAAACAACTGTGCAAGGGCAGGAAGACTGAAGCTGGTTGAACACTTTTGCTTTACCTGGACCTGATTTTTTTTTTCCTCCATGCAGAAAAGAAAAAGATAAGTGCCTATTTTTGATTTGCTAATGCAGCTTTTCTTTATTTGTACTAAGGCTGCATAATGTAGGCTTTGTAAAGTCCACGGGCCTGAAAGCACGATACATTTCTAATGGAAACACTCCCATGCATGATTGTACAACAGGAAAGCGATAAATTACCGTGATTTTGTACTCCCTGCAGCTATTAGTTCGGCCCTCCTTCAGGAATGTTGCTTTCGGTTATAGAAATTCTACAAATATTGGTTCATCAGAAAGACAAATATTAAATGAAAATTATGCTCAAGGACATGAGAAAAAGTGTGCAGAGTACACACATTGCAGACTTGAGAAAGAAATTGTCCTCAGAACAATTTGCAATACAAAGCTTGCTTAATAATTTACTGGAACTGGTAAACTCAGCGATTATGCCAGGCACTGGATCTTCAATTAAGTGTAAGAAAATAGGCTTACAGTGTAAGATGTCTGGAAACTGGGAGCACTTCTATTAATGTGAATGTGAGGGTTTTTTTTTTTAATTAGAATATTCTTACAGTTTCAATTCCAATTTGACTTTTAACTGACTTTAAACCGATTGCTTCCATTTCCTATTCATAGGAAGTAAATGATTTTAGTCAGAGTCCTAGCCATGCAACTTATCAAGTTGATTCTGGGCAAATTCACTGCTGTGACCCTAGGTTTCTCACGGTGAATTCTCATTGCAAAAGGGCTGCCTGACCCATAGCAGTAGGTGCAGTGTTTAGAACGCACAGAACTGACTACAGACGGCTTGATTTACTGTGACAGGATTATGCTAGGTCTGGGGACACATAATGAGACCAAGAACTGGTCCCTGTGGAGTTCAGAATCTGTGTGGAAGATAGTGTGATACCTGCTCTGCTCAAGCAGCCGTGGAAGCCCTGGAAAGGGAACAATATGCTGGGTGAGGGGCCCAAGAGGCAGAGGTGACACTGACGGTATCTCAGCATTCTCGAAAAAGGGTGCAGGTGCTGAAGGCAGCCTGTCCGTGAGGTGGGTGGGCCCCAGCCATCTAGGGGGATGTAAAATGCTCTGATACAGATAGAACCTCCTTCATTTTAGGTGTCAATTTACCACACACCCAAGCTCTACCTTCTAATTTTTGCCAACTTTATTCCACAGAAGTCTCAAATTATCTGCTTGTCCTTAAAACAGATAAGCACTGACTTTTGTCAGTTGTCTACATACAACCTATAGGCCATTTAACAAGGAAATTCTAGCCATAACAGAGGTCCCTGCCTAAGTTTTAATTTATAATTCTAAGACTGAAGTCTTTTGAAATGGCTTAAAGCACTTGTGCAAACATTTGACAAGATAAAAATGAAGGTGCCAGTTGGGTGCAGGGCCTCGTGCCTGTAATCCCAACATTTTGGGAGGCCAAGGTGGGCAAACTGCTTGAGCCCAGGAGTTCAAGACCAGCCTGGGCAACCGGACAAAACTCTGTTTCTTCAAAATACAAAAAATTAGCTGGCCGTGGTGGCATGCACCTGTAGTCTCAGTTACTTGGGAGTCTGAGGTGGGAGGATCACCTGAGACTGGGAGGTCAAGACTGCAATGAGCCGTGATCACGCCACTGCTCTACAGGCCGGGCAACAGAGTGAGACTGTTTGTTTAAAAAAGAAAAAAAAAAAGCAGCAGCAGCCCACAGATATTTACAGTATACTTTATTCAAAGCATTTCAGTTAAAATTATTTTGGGTTCAAATACATGAACATATAATTATATATAAAATACTATAGTTCTCAATAGTTTACAGTGACATCTTTTTTAGAATTAGCTGCTTATAATTTGAGTGTAAATGTATTACAGAAAGCTGCTAAATTGTTTATATTTCTACTTATTTCAATTTAGCTATTAGATATTTAGAACACTCATAAGCCCACCTACAGTATAGTTATTATACTTTAAATATTTATATTCAATAGGGGAATCAATACAATACAAAAGATATTTGAACAGCTAGTCCTTTGTAACACCCCCCCGCTGCTGCCGAGAGGGCTAGATAAGGGGGTCTTACCTATTTCCTCTGTACCACACTCACATTTTACCAGAGTCCATATACAGGGCCAGTGTGGAGTCACTTCATGCAAATGAGATGGTACTTTCAGTTTCCCCAAAAAGATGACTGCGAAATCCAGATTACACCCCAACGTTATGCCTCACCTTGGAGACCTATTCTAATGAATGTCAATTAGTGAATGTTGACTAACTTGTGGTTAGCATGACTGCAAAAAAATGAGGCCTGCTTCAGTGCAATCACTAAAGACAGGAGTGAGGCTCTTGGCCAGGCGTGGTGGCTCACACCTGTAATCCCAGCACTTTGGGAGGCTGAAGCGAGCGCAGGGGGAGGATCACTTGGGGCCAGGAGTTCGAGACCAACCTGGCCAACATGGTGAAACTCCGTCTTTACCATACAAAAATTAGCTGAACATGGTGGTGCAAGCCTGTAATCTCAGCTACGTGGGAGGCTGAGGCACAAGAATCACTTGAACCCAGGAGGCGGAGGTTGCAGTGAGCTGAGATTGCGCCACTGCACTCTGGCTTAAGCAACAGAGCAAGACTATCTCAAAAAAAAAAAAAAAAAAAAAGATGCTTTTGGCAAACCTGTAACATGTGCAGGTCCTGCATCTGGGCAGTGCTCAAGGGAAAGCCGCACTATGTCCACTGGGCCAAGACTCAACGTTGGCCATGCCCCCTGCTTCCTTAAATCTAACGCCACAAAAAGAGTTGAAGTAAAAGCCTGGCCAATACCATGATGACATCTACTTCCTGGCTTCCCGCCATCAACCCTCCCTCACACCATCTGCGGGCAGGTAGCAGATGCAGGAGAGAGAGTTCCACAAGACAGAAGGTCAACAGCACAAGTTGCAAGAGGCCCGCCTACGTCCCCAAGGCAAGGTCTCCCCTGATGTGAACAGTGTGACCCAAGTTGGCACTGAAACTGGAACAGTAGGGAGTCACCAAATTCAAATGAACAAGGAATACCCCAAAATGGGGAGAGTTCTCAAAACATTTTCAACATTTCGGTAATTAATTACCTCATCTCCAGTTAGGTCAATATTCCATATTATTAAGACACCTTTTATAATGGCAAACTCTCCTGACTACCTATCTTAGAATTTTTTTGAAGTCACTACTTACAGTGTAGATATTAACAGGCATGAGATTCAATATAGGGATCACTTTTATTTCAAACAATTAAATACAAACCAATATTTTACCCCTTCATAGATGAAATCACATCTTTTCAGGATATGAGTATAAAGTAACAAGCCTAGGGCAGAGCTTGTACTGACAAAGTCCTGAAACTACAATGAGAGGAAACACATTGCTCTACTTCGGGATAAGTCATGACCGAGACTCAATTTCAGAGACGCTCTATGAACAGAGGTGCTTGAAGCCACAGTGGCAGAAGGGAAAGATGGGGAAGTGTGCCGAAGAGCCTCCAGGCATGACAGACAGTCCCCTGACCAAGCACAAGTAACAGGCCCTTTGGGTCTCTGCTTCTCACTGGAAAATGATGAAGCCTAGATCTGATGACTCCTAGTGCCAACATTTAACAAAGTTCGAAAGTTATGCAGGACTTCACACATGTACGGAATGGCTGTATCACAGAATATTATGCGTTAGAAAGTTCACGGTCACTATACCTAGCTCTAAAATTTTTCAGAGAAACAGCAGACTAATAAGTGAATCTTAAATAAAGGAATAACATTTTAATGAAATAAATGAAACAGAGCAGGGAAACCAAAGAGCCAATTAGGGGAAGAATCCTGAAAAAGTATGGCTTCACACAGCAGCAGCATTGAAGAAAACACTATCGATTTTTCCCAGAGAAAAAAACTCCAAAAATGTCCAATAACCAAGTGCACAGAGTTATGGTCAATAAGACTTTGAACATGCATCACACATACATAAGTACATAAAGAAAATTTTCATTTATTTTTCCCTCAGATATACTTCAAAATAACATGTAGACACAGAATCACAAATATATACAAAACAAAGTATCGCCTGGTTATTTCAAGAAGAGTTTTCCCTCAATTTTCTTAGCTGCTGTGCATAAAATTCAAAGCTTTCCTGTTAAGGAGAAAAAAAGAGGGAAGTTAGAGATACCAGCAAGAGGTGATGGTACATAACTTAAAAAATCATAAAACACTACCAACTGGTAGCTAAGACTGCCAGGCCCATGGAAGATGCTGCCCCTCAAGCTTCAGTACTCCTTCCTTGTTTCATGAAATCACAAGTTCAAGGGCCTCGGGTTCAGAGTTAAAGCTAGCAGCAGGAGGTAGGGTGCGTGTGTGTATACGTGTGTATGTGCAAGCATGTGTGTGTGCACATATGGAGGTATGGGTATGGAAGGCTGAGGTGTTTGAAATAAACACGGTGTATTGACTCAGTTCAATGACATAACAAAAAGGAATTGTGCATATGTGATTTCTCTTATTAAAGAAAACATGCCGGGCACAGTGGCTCACGCCTGTAATCCCGGCACTTTGGGAGGCCGAGGTGGGCGGATCACGAGGTCAGCAGTTCAAGACCAGCGTGGCCAACATGGTGAAACCCCATCTGTACTAAAAATACGAAAATGTGCCAGGCATGGTGGCAGGCCCCTGTAATCCCAGCTACTTGGGAGGCTGAGGCAGGAGAATCGCTTGGACCTGGGAGGCGGAGGTTGCAGTGAGCCGAGACCGTGCCATTGCACTCCAGCCTGGGCAACACAGCGAGACTCCATCTCAAAAAAAAAAAAAAAAAAAAAAAAAGGCAAAATTTCCTAGACGAAGAAATAAAAACCAACTTATGTAAATGAACAAGTAATTACCACTGACATAATATGCTTGGCTGTTGAACTACAGGCCATTAAATCCTATTTCAAGTTGAAATGAGAGAACTGCCCCAAGGACATTTGGTAAATCCATGCCTATAGCTGAAGGTCTGAGACAGACCTTGTATTTTAAACTGTGGCCCCAGAGAGCTATGTTCTCCGACTGCCGCAGCCAAGGCATGCTGCTCAGTCCCTCAAGCCATCCCCTGAGGGCTCTTCACAGAGATCTAATCCTCATGTAATTAAGTCTTCAACTTATTTTCTTACACATTGTTATGAAGTGCACATAAATCTGCAGAGGTATTTTTTCCCCTTAATTAAGAAATACTCACAGGGGGTTCAATGAAAGGGACAGGCTCTCCAGCATACTTCAGCAAAGATGCGTAACGCTTTAGAAACAGATCATCCAATTTTGTATTCTTTGCAGTCAAATGTTCATACAGTGCTTTAGCAGATGTGACATCTTTCTCTGAGACTGACATAAAGAAAAAAATATATTAATCAGAGATAAAGACAACCTATCTTACTCTTTTCACCAAAACAGCCACTCAGGGACGGCTGGATCCCTTTATCCCACGGCAAATGAACACTTAACTACTTTCAGTAAGAAGCCACATTCAGAATCTACCATCTCCCTCACTTCTCTACATCCCTCATTCGGCATCACTCACTTTGAAGGAGAAGAAAATGACAAATATGGCTACATTTAAAGGACTTTAGAATAATATTGATACCATTCACTTAGGTTATTACATTATTTAAGACCTATGATAGTTCAAGTGACCACAAACTGAAGTCCTCAGTTATAAAATAATACACACCATTCAATCCCCTTTGGCTTAAAACCACTGTGAAATCAAGATAATCCAGGAACTGTTGTGGAGAGGGACATGTCAATTATGTAGAAATCTACATCAACATCAAGATCATCAGCTCAACATCAAAAAAGCTTTTCATTTTTCTATTGTAAAATAAACAAATATGGAAAGTATAGTTAGCTACAATGATACACACACACAAAAAACCTATAGGCCGGGCGCAGTGGCTCACGCCTGTAATCCCAGCACTTTGGGAGGCCGAGGTAGGCGGATCACGAGGTTAGGAGATCGAGACCATCCTGGCTAACATGGTGAAACCCTGTCTCTACTAAAAATACAAAAAATTAGCCGGGCGTGGTGGCGGGTGTCTGTAGTCCCAGCTACTTGGGAGGCGGAGGCAGGACAATGGTGTGAACCCGGGAGGTGGAGCTTGCAGTGAGCCGAGATGGTGCCACTGCACTCCAGCCTGGGCAACAAGAGCGAGACACCATCTCAAAAAACAAACAAAAGCAAAACCTATAAGGAGACATTAACAAGTTACACTAGTTTCACTTAAGTGAATGATGAAATATGTTAGGAGCCAAATTTGGCTGGCTCTCTACTTGTGGCTGATTTGTGGAAATTTTTTAGTTTACCATGGAGATGGTAAGGGCTCTGCTAACAATTACTGCTGGTAATTCAACTCCTTAATTTTGCATTAGATTGTTAGCATCTAAGCATCACATAAACCCCTGCCCTACACTGACTCTGATATTGTCAACCGCAACTCCGGCAGCACCAGGGGAACCCCTAAGACAGAGGTGAGACGTTCAGCAATCAAAGAGTCTCCCAAAGTGGAATGAGGGTGACTCATCAGCTCTTAGTGGAGTTGGAACACATCTTTGCTGTTTCCATGAAGTCAACTTCTTGTGTAAATCCTTTATTTCCCTTCCTGAGGAGCTGAACCCTTTAAGGGCTCAAGCTCTATCTTCTAGGAAGCTGCTCCGAAAATTCTGGCATCTTGCCTTTCTTTACTTCTTGATTTTCTACCTTCCTCCCAAAATGGATTACCTAATTTAGTAGTAACACACACAGATTTATGCGCTTGACACTATTTCACATTACAGGCATACCTTGGCTTTAATGCACTTTACAGATGTTGCGTTATTTACAAATTGAAGGTTTATGGTAACCCTGCCTTGGGCAAGTCTATCAATGCCATTTTTCCAACAATATGTGCTTACTTTGTGTCTCTGTGTCACATTTTGGTAATTCCTGGAATATTTCAACCTTTTTCATTATTGTTATATCTGTTACGGTGATCTGTGACCAGTGATCTTTGATGTTACTATTGTAATTGGGGGATGCTATGAACCATACACATGGAAGATGGCAAACTTGAGAAACGTGTTCTGACTGCGATGCTGACTAGTAATTCTCCTGTCTTCCTCTACTCAGGCCTCCCTATTCTGAGACACAACAATATTGAAATTAGGCCAATTAAAAACCCTATTATAGCCTCTAAGTGTTCAAGTGAAAGAGTCATACATCTCTCATTTAAATCAGAAGCGAGAAATGAAATGATTAAGCTTAGCTTAGTGAGGAAGGCATGTCAAAAGCCGAGATACGCTGAAAGCTAGGCTTCTTGCGTGGAACAGCCAGTTGTGAATGCAAAGGAAAAGTCCTTGAAGGAAATTAAAAAGGTGCTACTTCACTGAACACACAAATGATAAGAAACTGACACAGCCTTACTAGTGACATGGAGAAAGTTTTATTGGTCCGGATAGAAGATCAAACCAGCCACAACATTCCCTTAAAAGCCAAAGCCTAATCCAGTGCAAGGCCCTAATACTAGCAGAGGCTGGTTCATGAGGTTTAAGGAAAGAAGCCATCTCCATGACACGAAAGTCCAAGGTGAAGCAGCAAATGCTGATGCAGAAGCTACGGCAGGTTATCCAGAAAATCTAGCTAAGACCACTGATGAAGGCGGCTACACTAAACAACAGATACTCCATGTAGATAAAACAGTCTTATATTAGAAGATGTCATCAAAGATTTCATAGCTAGAGAGGAAAAGCTAATGCCTAGCTTCAAAGGACAGGCTGACTCTATTTTCAATGGCTAATGCAGCTGGTGACTTTATGTTGATGCCAATGCTCACTTACCATTCCCAAATCCTAGGGCCCTTAAGAATTACGCTAAATTTATTCTGCCTGTGTTCTATAAATGGAACAACAAAGCCTAGAGGACAGCATGGATGTTTATACATGGTTCACTGAGTATTTAAAGCCTGCTGTAGAGACCTACTGCTCAGGAAAAAAAAGATTCCTTTCAAAATATTACTGCTCAGTGATAATGCACCTGGTCACCCAAGAGCTCTGAAGGAGATATACAGGGAGATTAATGTTGTTCTCAGGTGCCCTAATAAAACATCCATTCTGCAGCCCATAGATCAAGGAGTAATCTTGACTTTCAAGTCTTAACACATTTTGGGCTCACTTCGGCAACACATATACTGAAATTGGAATGATACAGAGAAGATTAGCATGGCCCCTGCACAAAGATGACACGCAAATGTGTAAAGCGTTCCATGTTTTAAACATAAAATTAAAAAAAAAAAACATGTTTCATAAGGCTATAGCTGACACAGACAGTGATTCTTCTGATGGATCTGGGCAAAGTAAACTGAAAACCTTCTGGGAAGGGTTCACCATTTCTAGATGCCATTAAGAACATCTGTAATTGATAGGAGGTCAAATTATCAACATTAACAGGAGTTTGGGAGAAGCTGATTTCAACCCTCATGGATGAACCCCTTGAGGGTCTCAAGATTTCTGTGGAGGAAATCACTGCAGATGTGGAAATAGCAAGACAACTAGAAGGAGAAGTGGAGCGTGAAGACGTGACTGAATTGCTACAATCTCATGATCAGACTTAACATGAGGAGAAGCTGTTTCCTATGGATGACCAAAGAAAGTGGTTTCTTGAGAAGGAATCTACTCTTGGTAAAGATGCTGTGAACACTGTTGAGATGACAACAAAGGATTCAGAATATGACATAAATTTAGTTAATAAAGCAGTGGTATGGTTTGAGAAGATTGATTCCAATTTTGAAAAGACATTCAATTGCAGATAAAATGCTAACAAACAACATCGCATACTACAGAGAACTCTTTCGTGAAAGGAAAAGTCAGCTGATGTGGCAAACTTTATTGTTGTCTTAAGACATCTCAACCTTTAGCAATCATCACCCTGATCATTCAGCAGCCATCAACATTGAGCCAAGACCTTCTACCAGCAAGATTATGACTCACTGAAGGCACAGATGATCGTTAACTATTTTTAGCAATATCTTAAAATTAAGGTATGTACTTTTTAAAAACATAATGCTATTGCACACTTAATACACTACACTATGGTGTAAACATAACTTTTATATGCACTGGGAAACCAAAAAATTCATGTAACTTTGTTCATTATATTTGCTTTATTGTGGTGGTCTGGAACCATATCTTCCAGGTATGCCTGTGTTTAGTTACTGGAAATTTGATAAATTTTATGACTATTAGCTCTATTTTGAAATAATACAGAATGTTCTCCCTGTAAGGACGGAAAAAGAGAACTGACTTACTAATTCTGATTCTTGAGTCTGTTGTCCTCCCATAGATAAAATCAATGAAGCAATTCTTTATTTACCCCATGCCTCCAGTGAGCAAATCAGTGGGCCACAGATGGAGAGGTGATCATGATTGAGAAATGCTAACATTTATTTTGATGACTGAGGAAACTTTAGACAATTTCCTTTCATATGTGATTGTCTGGCAATCAGGGAACAAACTGGTTAAAAGACCAGAATTTGAACTGGGACGTAAAAACCTTGGGCTACTTTTTAATCAAGGGTCTGTCATTTCAAAGGAGTAGCAGGCAAGCAGAGAGGGTACTGAAGGAGCAAGAAGGCCAGTTAAGTGAGTCTCAAATGTGTACTTGTTTCAGGTGGCAGGCCCTTGGGGAGACTGAACTGGTTTCTGATATATAAGTCCAAGAGGATTTCCAGGTCTTCCCAGGAGCCTGGGATTCTACTCAATATACCCGGACTGCTCGGAAGATGTTCAGTGATACTTTTTAATGTTAAAGTTATATGCATAATTTCATATTTTTCTTAATAGTTTAAAAACATATTCCAGAACTGAGTTATTTATATCATAATTATCTGATATTTAGGATTACTGCCTTTGAGCTGAAGACTAAGACTTAGTTCACTATACTACAAGTCATTTACATGATATAGTCACTTAAATAATAAAGCCATTTAAATAAATAATATAGTCAAATTAAACTTATATTACCATAGCTTTTCATGAGGGAATTGTATGCTTCTTCCTTTTCATTTAATTCAGGAATCAATTCTAACACAGATTTCACAGTTGATGCCTAGGAAATTACATAAAGGTAATATTATGAAAACCGCAAATTAACAGTGAATTAGAACACTGACAAATCAACACTATATTAAAAATTTTCACAATAATTATAACAGAACTACCTATTAAATTTAATGCACTATTGTCCCTTGTATATTAGCATTTGATATTGACTCAATAATCTACAGCTAAAAGAAACCAGCATTTTTCCACAGGTTAATGCAATTCCACTTACATTTCTATGAATATTTTTCTAGAATATGATAAACACATTGCTTCTTTTGTCAAGTGGTGACCATACCAAGAAGTTATGAGATCCCAAGGGTAGAGAGATAACAACCCTATCTTTAGGTGCCACAACTGGTTGATGAAATTGTAAAGAATTCAGTTAAAACATTCTGAAGTGTTACACACTTGACATACAAAAAAGAGCATTTCCAGAATCTCACTGAAATTTTTACTTATTTCTTCCAGGAATATGCAGACTCGGCTATGGCTTTATTTCCTGTAGCGAGTGAATACAGAACTGCTATGCCGTAATGAATATCTGCTGAGTATTTCCCGCCCTACTCCAACGTTACTGGATAAACCCATGATGGATATATAAACATCTATGCCCTCTTCCCATCTCACCAAGAGGAGCAAAATCTGGCTTAACTATTCTACTGTCAAGCAATGGAACACTGTTAACAGGCATCTTAAAAATCCTAACTCCTTTCTATAGCATGTTTATTCAGTCAATCCACACCTGGACCTGCATCCTCCCAGGGCTTCTTCTATTTTAAACTGTCCTGGGTGGGATGTTCTAAGCAGACATATTGCCGTGCATTTCCCGTCCCATCTCCTGGACAAGGCAACAGGGACTTGGCACAGTCCCACAGGTGGACTGACAAGTGCTTTTCAGATTCCTTATACTTTTTAATCACACGTATAAAAACACAGCCTCTCTGAAAGGAAAGAAGGGGCAATTAAATATTTTCTAAAAGTTGTTGGTAGTAAATAAATACATGAGTCACAGATGCAATGAAGCAAATTTTTTAAAAGTGTAGGTATATCTAGGGGAAGGGTGTAGAAATTCAGGAAAACGTAGACCTCCCAAACTGGACACAGCCTAAATGTTTCAAATAAAACAAGCATCACAGTTGGCATGTGGTTTGAAACTTCATAAAGAACCCAAATAAACTAAGAATGTAGTTTCTCGTATACAAGAGGTAAAATCCGATCTAAGAGAAATTTAATTTTATACTTACAGTTAAACATCAAAGTAGAATGTGATATACCTACTATGTACCCACAGAAATTTTTTTTTAAAAAATTTTTTCAAAAGGACTTGGTTCTATTACATACCCACCCACCCCTTTTACAGTGTAAATAAAGTAACTGCACAAATTAGAATTAATTTGTGGCTCCATATCAATTTGAAAGCCAAGTGGCTCATTTACCTGATGGTTTATACCTGATAAATGCTCAAAAGTAGCCACGTGCTAGGAGACACTCTGGAGTGTACATTTTCCTTGGTAGTGCTTCTGCATTGTTAAATGTCCCAAGGTGACCGAAGCAACATAATTTTAATCTTCCATTTCTTTCTTTCTTTCTTTCTTTCTTTTTTTTTTTTTTTTTTTTTGTAAAGACCAGGTTTCGCCATGCTGGCCAGGCTGGTCTCAAACTCTGAAACTCCTGACCTCAAGTGATCCACCCGCCTCGGCCTCCCAAAGTGCTGGGATTACAGGTGTGAGCCACCATGCCCAGCCTAATCTTGCATTTTTTAAGGGCCTTTTCTTGGGGCTCTCAATGCATACCTGTGTAAGTGGAAAATTCCTGCGTGAACTTGTTTTACATTTCCAGTACAGCTAACAGACGACAAAACTGACTCTAAGTAGAGACAAGCAAAGTCTTGAATCTCTATAGTATTCTCAAATAAGGTCCTGAAACAACAGGCTTTTATGTTAAATTCAATACTTCTGAGCAAGGCACGTACAGTATCATTGATTTGTAAGCAGGTAAAGCACAGTACCTTTCCTTGTTTCCTAGAATTCCTAAGGAGGAACAACAACAAAATCGGGGTTTGTTCAGCAATTGCACCACATCTCTAAAAATTAAAACATTATTCAGTAAGTGAAGGTTTCTGATAAACAAGTGGATCAAACTGAATATTTCCAATTAAGAAAGTTCACAATAATACAGTAGTGTATTATTACCAATAGGAAGGCCTAATAGTCGACTATTATTTTTTAAGGCAAGAAAAAAGAAAACAAGTGCAAGCTATGCCAAGCTTTGGTGAATGCTGTCCTTGGCATTGCAAGTATAAAGTTTGTTTAAAAAGAAAAGGGAAAAATTAAACTAATGCTTCAACAACCACAGAATAAGGTTTAGGACTGCAAAGAAAGAGGAAAAAAAGAAACATTATTCCTCTCCAATTATACTGCCAAGCATTCACAAGTGAGCTAGGGATCATAAGGTTAATTATACATTTAATAAGGTGTCAGGGAGATAACTGCTCATTTCTTTATAAAAATTAAAATGTACAAAGCAAGTTCTCTTTAAAGTATAATTACCTACACTTATGCATACAAAAGGACTGATTTCAATCTCTCTATTTTATAAAAGGCTTTCACTGCAACAGACAGCCAGCGCTTGAGAAAGAGACCAAAGTTAAACTAAAAAAAAAAGTTTACATGACAGACCAGATAAATCAAATGTCTATCCAATCTTAGATGCTATAGTAAAATCAAATATGGCAAGACAATATTTTAGTTTACACTCATCACAGATGTCATTCTTTTAAGTTTCTAAAAGAACACTGCTCTTTCAAAGCTTTAAAACACTGTCAATACTAAAACGAATGGTATAAAAAGAACTTTTTGGGGCCACACAGAACATTTACATTACGCACTGATGTTTTTGACATCTGTGAATAAAGTATTCTTCGCTACGGCAAGAATAATCTTTTACTGTTTGACAAGCAGGTAAAGGATGGGTGAAGGGTTTATCATCTGAAACCCCAGTCTAGTGATGAGATGGTAAATGAAAAGACTCTGCTGTTGCATCAACACTCAGCTACCACCAAGAGCCCTTCAGTGAGGTCACTGCAGATAACGCAGTTCTTTCTGAGGGAGCAGGCGCCATCCCTGCTGCCACCCACCCAGGCGGCTGTCAATTGTGCTCTTCCAGAAAAACCTTGATTATGGCAGAGAACAAGCTAGTAGATGAAGTACCAAGTGCCACTTTCTAAAGAACTATCAAAAGGATGTGTTAAAACTGATTGCATACCATCATGTGTATAATTAGATATGTATATGCTTATTATACCCCTAGTAGGTACTTAGACATGTACATATGAAGATAAAGCATGAGTATCTTCCTTCTTTTTTTTTTCACCACGTAAGATAGCAAGATAAAACAATTTTAAAAGTCCTGAAATCCCTATCATAAACTGCCTTTTCCTTAAAATTAAAAAAAAAAAAAAAAACAAAGGAAAAAAAGTAAACAAGCAAAGCAAAACAAGAAAATTCCCAGTGAACCGGAATTTCCCTTCTCCAGCAACAAAAGTAAGAGTCTGAGAAGCAGTGCTAATTCACCCTTTATAAAACTGTTAACAGAGATACAGTTTTTCAGGTATTCCTTTTAAAAATGGATTGGATTCTACTGTCAAACTAGATGAACTTGAAGAATAAAAACTGGAGGTCAAGCACATGGGTAGTTTTACCTTCCCTATCTACTACTTAAGATCTTTCACAGCTGGTAAAAATGTAAGGGAATATAATACTATTTACGATCAGAAATTGGTCCCACGCCTCAATTTGACACAGGGAGTCTACACAAACACAGCCGTTGGCGGGATCACGGTGACTGTTTGACTGCCACCTGCTGGGAAGGGGCTCCCCGGCGGTGCCTGTTTGTGTACATTGCCAGTGGCAGCTAGGATCACCCACTGTTCTGTCGGCACTTGGCATAGCTTTATATTTAGTGCTGTTAAAATGGCATGAATGCAGTTGTCTCCTTCCCTGAAGGTTGCTAATTTAACTGAGAGTGCGGGCCACAGAGACCTGCATTTGTCATTTAATGTGTCTGTGACACACAAGTGAATAGAAAGCATATTCAACTCTTAATAAACCTTGAATAAGGCACTGAGAATGTTTGAGTATTCAAGTGAGAAGCTGTACTTGAAAAGCAAACATTTCCTACTTTTTGTTTGCAAACTGTGTTGCCATGGTGACGCACAGTATCTAGCGCATTTGAGAAATTAAAGTAGAAAATCAAAGGAATTGTTGTTTTGCATTATCTATCTGCACAGAAAGATTTGTCTTTAATCATTTCAGCGAAACTCGCTGCCCCATACCTACCCCCGCACCACCCGCCGCTCCCCGCTACCTCAATTCTAAAGACATTTCTAGTTTGATCTGGCATCTTTAAAACCAGTAACCTAAAATCTACCATCCAGTCCTTGTCCTGCAACCGTGATTCACACTGAATGTAAACAAGCTAGCTGCACACCACACTGAATTTCTAGTATTCCACCACACGCCTATGTCTAGTAATTTCTCAATTTACTTCTTGCAAGCCTCGAGCCCCACTGCTCCATGAGTGGAGGGTCATTACCTGTAGGAGAGCTCTGGCATCATCCACCTTGCCTGCATCCACAAGTTGAAGGAAAAAATCAGTGACAGGTTTATAAATTGCAAACTGATTGGCCAATCTCTCCGCCATGATGCTTACTGGAAAAATGACAGGTAAGAAAAATCTTTCATTAGAACAGTGGTATAACTCACCTACCAAAGAAATTTGGTCTAGTCTCACTAGAGAGAAAATGTGCTTGTGTGTTCTTTAGCACAAACAACTAACTTACTCTTTTCAACTGCTGGTTCCAACTGCTCCTCTATTACTTTTCTGAATAAGTATGCCAAGCCGAAGTATTGGGGTTCAATGACTTTATTCTCTGAAGTAAGCATATTTTCAATGTTTTCTATTGCGGCATCTATGTTATTACTGTTAAAAGCAAAATAAATTACTTAAAAATTTGCTTTTATGTTAATATTACAGGCAGTTTAGTCTAAGAACTTACTTTTATATCCACTCATGCTAATACTTTAGGAAAAAAATGAAATACATTTACACTTAACCAAATAAACACTAGGCAACTGAAACCCTGAATCACATTTAAGTAGCAAAAACATTCACTAGCTGGTTCGTGCTGCAGTGGTTGTTTATTTTGCTTCACAGCAGTTCAAATAGTTGCTTGTTTTAACAATGCTCTACAGACAAGATCAAACAACTATATACAGGAGAATTAATGAAGATAACTTTTAAAATTCTGTATCTTAAATATTTAACTTAATTTTTGCCACTCTTTGGATATAAAATGAAAACTTGTATAAATGCTACAATTTTGGCTTTATGATCCACAACTTGTCACTACTGCATAAAAATAGTATTTAACATCTCAGGATTCTTAAAGATACTGATGATGTTTCAAAAGGCATATATGCATGTCTCTAACTTATGGTCGCCTCAATTTCTTTTTGTCAGGTATTATACATTTGGAAAATACTCAGTTTATACTAAAAATCTCAGGAAAAAGTATCTTCACACTTTACATTGAAAAAAATCAGTTACATGGTCTTATTTAGCAAGTTATGGTAAAAATTATCTCTATGACTATCTTTTTGGTTAAGGTAATCTATAATGGATACTTTACTGTTACCATATGGCATACTAAATCCAATCAGTCAATATTGTGTTGAAATTATTATATTAAACATAATTCTCTAACTAAAAATGAATACTGTTACAATATATTTCTCTTACAAGTTTTAAGGAATTACTTAATAGTGAATATGTTCTCCGAATCATATAAAACTGTGTTTATGTGGTAAAACTTTAAAATTCACCCAGTTCTTAGATGAGTAATTTCTTCAATCTTCTAATGTAAAACAATCACATTTTCTTATTAAAGGGAAGTTCTATCTGGCGAAATAGTTTGAAAAGGTCAAAACAAAACACAACTGTTTCTCAAACAAACAAAAAAAAACCCCTACAAAAACAAACATTATATTTTAATATCATGTCCCATTAAATGTATGCAAGATTACTAAAGAACATTTTTTCTAAAAGCATACTGAAAGTATCAAATTCCATAAAGTACTTTGCTAGGGAGCTTATTAAAAATCAAGTCCTTATTTATTTCTACAGGGGTAATTCTCAAAAGGAATCTAGAGACAGTGGTAAGAAAATCAGCTCTAAATACCTCCCTTTTTGTGGGGGTGGGAGAGTGTTCACGGGGTGGGTAAGGAATATGAATACGGAAATGCACATTTTTAATAAGCTTGCGGGGCCTTCTGCTTCACAATATTCTACTAGTGTCCCTATCAAATATTACTGACAAACAAATGAGATCATTTTTCACTTCTGAACAAAGTGTTTCGACAACAAGAGGCCTGGCATATATACACAGGAATGAGAAAGGTTATCAACTGTGGAGCAAGATTTATGAATTTGGTAAATGCTGTTTATTCTAAGATTTAAGGTAAAGAAAAAACATATTTTTCAACATATAATTATTCCCTAATCAGCAACTAGCATCAACATTTCCTCTGCAGTTGATAAGGTTTCCACATGTCTAAAAAAGTTTTTAAAAGGTGGTATCTGAGGCAATGCCCATTCTAGTGACCAATGAAGGAAAAGAAGGCTTGCAAATACTCACTTCTTTATTTGAGCCAAAGCAATGTTATTGATGAAAACCATTTTTGAAAGTCCAATGGAGTCTTCGAGTCCATTTAACATCTTCTGAACTACTTCTATGTTTTCAACATCACCCTTCATGGCCAATGCCTGGATGACACGGGTCACTGCTAACCTAGAAGGGGTCTGCTGCTGATCCAATACTGTTTTCAGTGTTGTCACAGCCTCTAAAATACAAGAGCAGGAGATGGCTTTTCTTATATGACCTGTGCTGACTTTAATGCATTTTGAAAACCAGCTTTTAAATATGAGCACCAAATGGCCATAAACAAAAAGCTATGAATAATTAATTTTAGATTACAGAAAATTATTAATACTTCATGAGATACCCCCAAAAATTATTTACTTGACTATATAAGATATTAGAGGCCCGAGGAATTTCTTCTTTAAGTCACAGAGAAAATACAAATGTTACCGACAATATGAGTTCCATTTAGGGATAACATTCAGTGACTAAAGTTGGTAAGTTCAAATGAATACAAATAAGAAAGATTTTCTAGAGTTTCCAAAAATGTGTGACTTCTATCCATGTTCATACTTGTCCAGATTTTAACTCGAAGATTAAATGATCATCAAAACTTAATATCCCAACAATTCTTTCTCAAAAACACTAAAAACATTGATCCTCTAGGATCAATGTTCCAAACTGAAACATTGAACTTTAACACCAACAAATTTATTTTATGATTAGATGCCTTGTGATTATTTTCCTGCACTAAATTAAAAAATAATGCCTACTGATTTCCACAAATACAGACAGTCCCTGACTTACGATGGGTTTATGGGGTAGTTAATGCATTTTCAACTTTATCCCGACTTAGCCCCATCGGTAAGTTGAGGAGCATCAGTATAATCAATGGAGTTTTGTTTGTATGTTTTTTTGAAGTATCACACTTTCAAGTACTTGATTATAAATAACTATGGAATAGCCTTCTAGCTAACTGACTCATAAAACTGTAGCAAAATCATGATATGAAATAAAGTGGTAGACTGAGGAGTAGCCTAACAATCACCCCTACCATTATCGAAGAAAACTTAATAGCTTTATAGCAACTAAAGCAATGTAACTTAGACAAAACTAAGACTCTCCAAACAGCTTTCCAACTAAGAACAGCTTAGTTTTACAGAAAAATGGGGAAAGTGTATTAATTGAAGTGTACTCAAAATACAGTGGAAAGACATGATGAATTTAGTGTTCATTAATGAATAAAGAATTTATGATTATTTGAAATCTACAATCTTAAACCACTCATTCTCAAATGAGAAAAAAGAAAAACAGGTTAAAAAGCATAGTCAATAAAAATTTAAAAATACACATGCACATATAGGAAACAAAAAATGTTTTTATACTATTTAAAAATATTTATAATAAGCTTGATAAAATTTTGCTAATGGGTGGTCATACACAGATAATTATAATAATAGTCTTATTAACCAAGAATATTGTCAGCTAGGGAGGCTCTTCCCACAGTACATCAAAACAATAATAACAAAAATAAGATTAATGATGGTGATGACAGTAACTCAAACTTATTGAGCATTTACTACATGCCAGGCACAGCAGTTTAAACAGCTACTGTCACAACTACCCTTCCGAGACAAGTACCAATTTTACAGATGAGACCCCTGGGCACAGAGATTAGTTTGCCCAAGGTAAAATCATATTTTTAGACAAGACTCGAAGATTCCAATGATCCCAGAGCTTCCGTCTATGAGTGCGCGTGTGCACAAGAGAGCAGAAGGGTGGGGAGAACAGACCATTTCACATCTGTCTAAAGATAGCACAGGACCTTGTGACCTAAATCCTATTCTCATATAAGGCTTGCCTTCTGTACAGTTAATGACTTCAGGGACACCAAAAATGTTACCCATCCACATCCCTCCCCCCAGGTCCTTTCCCACTGTCACCTAATTCCAACATTTACTCAATTACTCACTAGTGATACTAATTACACTGTACAAGTGCCACGTATCAGCTATTAATATTCACCAACAGTAAAATTTAATCGGCTTTATTTTTTCTTTCTGCTTTAGATGGGGTTGAGAAAAGGAAACCTAAAAGAAAGGCAGAACAACGGAAGGGAATTTTTAAAAATCAAGAGCTCTCATCAGCCATGGAGCAAAATAAGAAGATGGGAATAGTGCAAACACTACTCCTGTCCTCACTGATGATCATTTTACTCTAACAACAGGTTTGTGGTGATGTGCTCAGGGAGGGGGGTGGGGTGGGGGTGGGGGAGGTAGTGCAGGAACAGTGCGCTCGAGGCTCCTGCTCTCAGGCAACCTCCAATTGAGCTGAACAGCTCAGAAGAGTAGATGAGAAATTATACCATGTCCTTTCCTGTAGCTTACACAGGGCACCTAACATAAAAATAAAGGGTACCAATCCAGCTGAAGAAATCTGGGTCAGGTTCAGCTGAAAAATGAACCCCCTGAAATTAGAAAAGTGTTTTGTTCTTATCTCCATGTCTACAGAAACAAAAGCTATTTATGACAATGAGCTTATTTATATGGCGAGCAAGTTTAACTTTTCATTGTTTTAAAATTGTTTATCATTTTATTACATAAAATACTAATAGGACATAAAGTCTTTTTTGGGGGGGCCGGGAGAAGGGTTTTGTTCTTGCCCAGGCTGAGTGCAGTGGCACCATCATGGCTCATGGCAGCCTCAACCTCCTGGGCTTAAGCAATTCTCCCACCTCTGCCTCCTGAGTAGCTAGAACTACAGGTGCACATTACCATGCCTGGCTATTTAAAAATTTTTTGTAGAGACAAGGTCTCGCTACACTGCCCAGGCTGGTCTTGAACTCCTGGACTCAAGCAATCCTCCTGCCACAGCCTCCCAAAGTGCTGGGATTACAGGTGTGAGCCATTGCGCCTAGCCACAAAAGTCTGGGCACAAGAAGTGTTTTCTATTCACTTACATATTCAGTACTAATCAATTAGGAAGACAGCTAAAGACCAGTACATTTAGGTATTATAAGCAACATTAAAGCTGCACAATTAAACAACAACTTCCTCTCAAGGATGTGAACTTATGTTATAAACATGCAGGCCGGGCGTGGTGGCTCACGCCTGTAATCCCAGCACTTTGGGAGGCCGAGGTGGGAGAATTATTTGAGGCCAGGAGTTCGAGACCAGCCTGGCCAACATGGTGAAACCCTGTCTCTACTGAAAATACAAAAATTAGCTGGGCGTGGTGGCGGGCGCCTGTAATCCCAGCTACTCAGGAGGCTGAGGTGGGAGAATCGCTTGAACCCAGGAGGCGGAGGTTGCAGTGAGCCGCGATCCCACCACTGTACTCTAGCCTGGGCAACAGAATGAGACCCTATCTCAAAAAAAACAAAAACAAAAAAAAAAAACAAAACAAAAAAAAACCCAAAACAAAACCAGAACATGCAGTGAGGAATAATACCATTATTACAGAGATAGGAAGCAATAAGGTTACATTTCCAGAGCTTTTTCAACCTTTCTTGAAGATCTCCTAAGTGGGTTTTGTTGTACTGGCAAAACTGCAGTATCACTGTATTCACTCAAATTCAAATGTAAATCTTAAAGTGGAAAGCTACTTAGCTAAATTTAAGAGATTCGTCATAGTGCCCCTTGGGAGATCATTCATAAGACCTCCACATCCCAATTCATCCCCTTCAAAACTCATAAACAGCCTCTATCAAACCAGTGGCCCCCACCCCAATCCCAATCCTCCCCAAAGTCATGTCCACATCTTTCAGGTGTCATTCTCTTAACATTAATTTGAAAACTCCAAACTTCAAACAAACACTGTATTTTATTGCTGTTGGTATTATGAACTATTAAAAAAGTATTAGATTAAGTTTTAAAAATCAATATTATAATCATTTGGTGCACAATCCCACACATTTAACACTCAATTTAACTGATTTGGTATCTCACACACAACCAACACAATATGCAAGAAACAACTGCTGGGAATTGTTTCAGATGCTCTAAAGTATGTTAATTTCCAAAGCAAAATGACTTGTGCTGTGAATTTTAACGCACTTGAAAGCCTGTACTTTCTCTCGTTCTGGAACACAAATTTTGCATGTCTGAAGAGCTGTGATTCATCTTAAGAAAACCCATCTTGTGTTAAATGGAATGGAAACTGGACTAAGTGGTCAAATGACAAGTACATTCATATTCAAGCTGTATTATAAATGCATGTACAGTAATTTATGTCTCTCAGCTACCACAAAAGGCTCTTGATAAGCAGGTAATTTGCTAAATGGACTCCTTTATCCAAGTATTCGAAGGGCGTTACAAGAAAAATCTGCAGAGGCATTAATGTGACGTAAAGGTCAAGCATTGTGACATACCTTTCAAATAATCCCGCCTAACTTGCGTTATGATGAGGCGGCTGTTGGCAGCATCGTTCAGTGTGAAGCCCTTGATGTGGGTCTCCGCGCTAAAAGAAGCAGACATTTAGAAAGGAATTACTGACATGCTTCTGATACGATAATAAATGGTTGAGCACCAAGGTGAAATTATAAAAACTACTGTTCGTATGTTAAAAATATTGCTGCAAAATATCGACCTGGAGACAGCTTTTGTGTTATCCTGTCAATGGTTATAGAAGGATAATTTTTTTTTGCATTCTGACAGATGACAAAGTTGGAAATGAGCAACAAAAGAAACAAAGTACAAGATTTTTTTTAAACAATCGGTTCAGATTCTTGAATGCTGACATATTAGATGACTAAAATAACTGCGTGCCCCGCATTGTTCTGCCATATCCTAAGCTGGATACTTTTTTTTTTCTACATTCACAGTAATTATAAAATGTAAAAATCTTCTTCCAGAAACTAAAATGAGGATTTATTTTCAGCACTGTACATTTTAAATAAAAACTAAAGCAGATTACTAACACTCTATCATTTGGTCAATTAATTTTCAAATTTCTGCCATCTAGATTCATACAGTTTCTGAAGCTGAACATACTGCAGAACTCAAACTATTGGTACTTTAAAATTAAAAATTTCACACAACCATCTTGCCCTAGCTTAAGTTTGAAACAAAACACCAACTTTTAAAACTCAAGAGCAAAAAATCACTTGACTTTTCAATAAAACCTACAGGATTTAAAAAAAGCAAAATGAAACAACAAAAACAAACAGAAAACCCCAAAACCTAGCTGGAGATTTCTGTTTGCTACACTGTTTGCGCATCTCCTGTGATGAAATTTCTGCATCCTTAATGCTCCCAGAGTTCATCTCCGGATTAGAAAATCTAAACAGGTCAAAAGGAGCAAAAGCAATTGCTCCCATTTGCCTTATCGAGCTCAGTGATGACCCTGTTGCCAACAACAGCATGCCCTGCCAACACGGACATATAAGCTGGGCAGATTGCAACAAAAGTGGGGTCACTGCTAAATTATTTTCATCAATCCCAAGAAAATCCCCCAGAGACACTACGACATGCCCATTCTCTCAGTCACTTTCAGCCTCTAAGGTCCACCCCTGCAGTCCCTGGACACAGGATTTTCTTATTCCTCCGACCAATCCTCTTTATCCCACCAAAGTACCCATTGCTCAGTTTGACTTTTCTCCCTTTGTCCCATCTGTCAACAACTTAAGTCAACAACTCATGCATGAGACTAAGAATTGCACAAAGGATTTACTTTCTCAATCTTTCACATGATTAAATAAAAATGAGACACTATTAAAAGCTCACTTCTAATATTATTACATGTATTATACCATATTAATTTAAAAATATTCACCTACAATTCATTAAAACCACAAGGCAACAAAACTTGTCTTTGACACTAAGTATGAACTACAAACCTTTCAAAAACCTCAAAGCCTGTAACATTCTTTTTCAATAATCTCTTCCTCTCTCAAGCTGCCTGCTCATTACAAATATGAAAGTGGAGATAAATATCAGGAAGAAGAAACCCCAGATCTATTCTATAATAATATATCCTACATATGTAGAAACTGACCAATTACAACCAAAACAGATTCCAAAGTGGCAAAAGGAAAAAATTTTAAAAAGTTGCGGGTAGAGATCTTTATATTGGAATCATTTATACAATATAATAAAAGACATTAACTTTTCACACCTAATTTTGATCTTTCCTTCTGGAAAAAATCGAGTCCAGAGCTCTCAAATCAAACTTCCTGTGATGATGGGAATATCATCCAATCATCCAATAACCCTATTGGCTGTCCAATAGGGTTAGCCACTAGCCACATGGCTACTCTGATGAAGAAACAGAAATCTTAATTATATTTTATTTTAACTAATTTAAATTTAAGCAGTCACATATGACTAGTGGTTACTGAACTGGATAGCAGAGAATTCTAGACATTTTATTTTTAGAACTGTCAAAATGAAGGGAAAAAAATTATAGGGGAAAAAGAGTACCCTCTTTCAATTTACGACCAACTGCAAAAATTAAACTATCTTAACCAAAGAAGACAGTATTATAGGGAAACTTTCACATTGGACATTTCAGAGAATTTATTGCTCTGAAATGACAGCCTTTCAAATTTAGGAGAAGTTTTGTTGCCTTATGGTTTTAATGGATTAATGGATTTTAGGTAACACTTTTAAGTAAATATGGTATAATACATGTAAAAATATAGGCATGAGAAGTGAGCTTTCATGTAAGCAATGACTGTGCTTACATAATATGCAGAAAGGACATTAGTTGGTGATTATATTATTTAGGATAACAAAAACAGGCCAATTCAACAAAAATCATCAGTGACAGATATAGCATTATTTCCGAACAGAATGATACAGGAAGCCAAGAGGAACGACAGAAAATCAAGTGCTACTCTCAAAAGATAAAGTAGGGTTGTTGTTACATGATTCCTAAATTCCCTAAGAATATGGTTTAATGTTAGCAGAGATTTAAAAAAAGAGTTTATATCCCTTACTGCTCTTTGAATCAGTGGTTTCCCTCCCTTGAAAGAATTCACTACAGATAAATTATTTTGAAACATGAAGAAACTAAAAATGAAAGAAAGATGGCTTATTGAACATTTTTAAAAGTTACTATTACTTTAGAGGTTCCATGGCTTATTGGGAAGGTTAAATGACTTTGTAAATAAAATTGAAGAAATCTTATTAGAGGTCAAGTGTATCTGTAACACATTAGATGACAACAAAGGCAAAATAAAAATGATATTTTTTTTAATTCATAGGAAAACTATGGCCTTTTTTTTTTCTCACTCTGTCACTCAGGCTGGAGTGCAGTGGCGCAATCTTGGCTCACTGCAACCTCCGCCTCCCGGGTTCAAGCCGTTCTCCTGCCTTGGCCTCCTGAGTAACTGGAATTACATACAGGCACGCACCACCACGCCTGACTAATTTTTCGTATTTTTAGTAGAGACAGGGTTTCACCAAGTTGGCCAGGCTGGTCTTGAACTCCTGACTGCAAGTGATCCACCTGCCTCTGTCTCCCAAAGTGCTGGGATTACAGCCACGAACCACTGAGCCACCATGCTCGGCCAAAACTATGGCTCTCAAGGTTGACCAAGTGACCTTATATAGGAAACTGTAAAAACAGCTATTTATGGATCCAGAGTAAGACTGCCAGAATAATACTAGGGCGGTACCGCCACTTGCTACAGTAGCTCATTTGACCACCATATTATAATAAAGTTGCCTATAAAAAAGCAGCAGTTGTTTTTCACTCTGATCACTGATACAGAATGGGAAATGGGAAGAGAGGACCTAGTTGGCAATAAACAGGAACCGAACCCACAAAATATCTCTTGAAATATCTCAAGTAACATAGTTAGTTGGATAATTCGTAACTTGAACTTTCACTTCTGAATTTTCAGTCCAGCATTATTTTTAAAAGTACTCAACAATTTAACCCATGAAACAATTCTACATAGTTAGATATAACATTTTATTGGTTCAAGGGAGAGGACATGCATCCAAAGCCCAGATTGACTTCAGGCTTTGGATCTTGGGTTCTCTTGGGTAGACACAGACGCACGGAGGAAGGCAACTCCCAAATAACCCTGGTGGATAACACAGCTAAAAGAAAAGTCTCACTTGTATGTCAAACTCAGAAGCAGAGTATGATGGTAGACACCAAAGACTGGGAGGAGGGGAAATGAGGAGATAATGGTTAAAGTACAGAGTTTCAGTTATGGAACATAAGTAAGTTCTGGAGCTCTATACAGCATAGTGCTAACAGCTAACAATACTGTATTTATACTGAAAATTGCTAAGAGGATAGATCATAAGTGTTCTCTCTCACACAAAAAAACCCAATTAATAATAATAATAATAATAATAATAATAATAATAATATTGAGGGTGGGAAAAAACTCTGGAAGGGGAAGGATATGTTTGTGGCCTTGAAGTAGGCAATGGTTCCAAGGGTGTATACTTATCCCCAAACTCACTGAGATAGATACATTAAATATGTATCTTTTTACATGTCAATTTTATCTCAGGAAGGCTTCATAAAGATCTAGAGAAGAAGGGAAGAAGATAAACCTATGTTTCACAGGTTGTAAATTTAAGGCAAATAGACGGTCATGCTTACAACTATCTTCCAGGTCAGCAGTTTCAACCTTGGTAGATCAAGATCCATGGGAGGATTATAGTAAGAAATGATGTTTTACATAGACAACCCAATCCACAGATACATACACACACGCATAACTGAAAGCAACTTTTCATGAAATAATATCTTTACTACAGGAAATACTTTGAAATAGTCTATACTATTTCATTGAAACAATGTTGGTTCTGTCCCACTTAATAGATGTCATGACCCACTAATTGGCTGCAATTGCAGTTTTGAAACTACTCTAGACCAGTGGTCTTCAATGAGCAGCATGCACACTGCATGAACACTCCAGGGTAAGGCAAGGAAACCTTTACATCTCTCTCCCTTTTTTTTTTTTGAGACAGAGTCTTGCTCTGTCACACAGGCTGGAATGCAGTGGCGCGATCTTGGGCTCACTGCAACCTCTGCCACCCAGGTTCAAGCGATTCTCCTGCCTCAGCCTCCTGAGTGGCTGGGATTACAGGCGCCTGCCACCACACACGGCTAATTTTTATATTTTTAGTAGAGATGGGGTTTCACCATGTTGGCCAGGCTGGTCTCGAACTCCTGACCTCAAGGGATCCTTCCGCCTTGGCCTCCGAAAGTGTTGGGATTACAGGCATGAGCCAACGTGCCTGGGCTTAAATCTCTTTTTAAAAATTTCACCTTATGAAGATTTTCTATTTTGAGTATGTTTTATAATATAGTTACATGTGATACATCAAGTACAATTTGTTATTAATCACATGCGATCAGAATGCTTAAGACATGATTCTTCAATCACTTGGGCTATGGAGTAAAATGTACATTCTCAGGCCCCACACCAAATTGGCTGAATCAGAATCTTTGTGGTGAGCTGAGAGGAATCTTCTTATGCTACCAGAGTAAGTATCACTGTTCTAGAAGAAACCCAATGAAAATGAAAAAATAAATAAATAAATAAAATTAAAATCTGTACTTTCAGGAAGCATTTCAGAGGTCTTTGTGACCAAACTCAAAATCTAATTTTTTTTAAGTTTTCTGTCTTTGCTTCTATCTCATCACTTAATCATACTTAATTCTCAACACAAAATGCTTCTCTTTTTTCTGGCTCTCCTTCATTATCACAGAGAGGGTTGGGATGGAGAGTTTCATAATTTTCTGAGAAAAGTAATTTTAGATGATCCACACCCTTGACCTAGTGGTTACAGATGACAGGATACTGCTCACTGTCAAATTTTCCAAGTCACTAATTAAGGGTATATCGAGTGTTCTAGATATATATATATATATATATAAAATTTGATTAGGAATTGAGAAAACACACAAATGACACACAGAGTACATTAAAAACCCAACAGTCCTAGTGCGACTCTTGTATCAAGACATACAAATGATGATTCAAGACAACACACATATACACACAGACAAGTACAGTCATACAGAACATGTTTTTCAACATTAAAACACAGACACTAAATACGGCCCTATGATGCATAACTTTAGCAACACTAGGACACTGCCAGGTTTTCTTGTGATGTGAAAGGATGGCAGGCATCCATTTTCTGCTTAGGATTCTAATATTCTAAAAGTGCTGCGGACTTAAAATTTTTTTCAGATTATTCCTTTTCTTTTCTTCTTCTTCTTCTTCTTTTTTTTTTTTTTTTTTTTTGAGACAGGGTCTCGCTTTGTCACCCAGGCTGGAGTGCAGTTGCGCAATCTCAGCTCAACGCAACCTCCACCTCCTGGGTTCAAGTGATACTCCTGCCTCAGCCTTTTGAGTAGCTGGGATTACAGGCACATGCCACCACGCCCAGCTAATGTTTGTATTTTTAGTAGAGACAGGGTTTCACCATGTTGGCCAGGCTGGTCTTGAACTCCTGACCTCAGGTGATCCACCCACCTCAGCCTCCCAAACTTGTGGGATTACGGGCATGAGCCACCGCGCCCAGTCAGATTTCTTTTTTTTAATCCAAAAACAACACGAAAGGAGGGGGAAACACAAATAAGATGTGTTCAGTACCTATGTTTTCTCTACTTCACTCTACCTTCTTCAACACATAGAAGAAATCTTTAATATTAAGTAATATTATCATACACTCATCATACGGAAGAAGAACTAAGGATCAGAGATAGCAGGTAATTTTCCCAAGGTCACAGAACTTTTAAGTAAGATTCAAATCTTGGTCTAAGTTCAAAGTCCATGGTGTCTTTGTTTTCTCAGGCTGCTCCCACCACAAAAGGTACATGGATTTAGATGTTGAACAAGGAACAGAATATAATAAAATTACTTTTCTGTGCATGGATATCTTAAATGAATTGTGATGGAATATAACTTAGTAAGCAAAATGTACTGCACTGTATATGGCCAGTAAAGGTGTTTTTTTTTGAAGGTGAAAAAACCTGATAAAGTTAGTTAACCATTTCATATGATTTTTATGGGTAGCTGAGGCCAATCAAGCAATTTTACTACACAGCACATTACTATTATAATTATTGGCTAATGGCAGCCAATATTCTTTTTTAAACAAGAGGTTTAATAAATGGACTAACACTTACAATGCTTTCACTTCCATTGCTTGTGTAAAATAATCTTCTGACATCAGTAATTTAATGAGATTGCTGTAGGTTTCAGCATTAAACACAATGTTTTGCTCTTTTGCATTCAGGAAAATATCATATGCCCCTATGAGAGAAAACAGACAAAAAAAATGAGATGACATTATTCTGAAATGCCAAAAGGATGGAAAAAATCCTGAAACAAAGACCTAAACCCAAATATTTTTGCTTTTTAATACCAACCCACTGTTACCACTCTATAGAGAGACACACTGACATAATTCTTCAAATATTTTAAAGACAAAGCTACAGGTTTGGAAACTACACCTTAATCTGAATGGATGGTGCCTGAAGGGGTTTCCTCTTAAAATGATTTCTCATACCAGCTTTCTTAAGTTGATACATTATTTTCTTTGTAATAAAAATGAGAAACAGCTCTTCTGAATTTATGAAAAGACGATACTAGTTTCAAAATAAATCGCAAAATGTGTGTTAAAGTCCAAATAAACCAGAGGTATAATTTAGATTGAGGGGAGCAAAAGATTCATTTTAAAGCAATCTTTAATCTATAAGTGGGTGGTTACAATGGTTAACATTTCAGCACAATAGCACTAAAGAGAATATAGCCTATAATTCTAAAATTAGGAGATCACATTATTTGGCTACGACAGGACTTATACAAAAACATACAATTTTCAAATATACAGATATCTAACAAGTAAACTAAGCAACATTTGTTTGACTGATTAACAGTTTTATTTCACTTGTTCACAATAACTGTCAGTGAATGAAAAGATGTTACCAAAAGAGAAGTAACTACACTTTTCAGTCACTTATACTTTTCTGAAATAAAACTGCCTGGCTATAAACAGCCAACTGAAACTACAATCTACTCCCTTCTGTGGATAAACAAATCACAATAAAGATGGGGCATAAATGAACTATCACGTACGGCCTTCTACGAATATAGGGCTCAATGTAAGGAAATATAAAACTTCTAATTAAGACAGAACATGATATTATTTAATGTTCAGAAGAACATTTTAAGCTACTTTAGAAGTTTCTGAACAGGCGAAAATTGTTACGCTTCTATGTATGAGTTAGGGAATGTGTGCATTAGTCCCTTAATTAAACTTAAGTGGCACTGTCAAAGAAATATTTATCCCTTTAAGCTAAATTTGGAGAAAAAAATATACGGCAACATTTATATTTGCATCTTAAGGAGAACAGTTTGGGCAAGTGAAAGTAACAATGGCAGAGATTTATCACATTTCAAGTCAGTCTTCCATAGAACAGTCCCTGTTAGTCATTAAATTTCCAAGTGCTTTACACTAGATTTCTATGGTTGTGAACAACTGTATATTCCAGGACACTGGCAAAAAACGGAAAATAAAAACACGCTAATATGCAAGAAGAAACTCCACTATCATTTACTGATTATTCCATCAGATACCTAGTCTATTCGGTGTATTTCACTTTTCTGAAACGGGAGAAAATAAAGACATATTTTCATTTGAGTACCAGTATCAATGCATCACAAATTTAAGACTTTTATTTACTTATTAAAGTCACAGAATGGCTTGCTAAATAAAATATTTAAACCATGACACACAATAAGATGACTGCAATAAAATCTGCCATTCAATACCCAATGCTTTTTAGGGGGCTAAAAACTTAAGATGTAATGCAATTATTGTCAACTTCCTAACAATCGTATATAGTATTTCACTTGTTTGGAAACTCTTGTTGTTTTCTAAAACTGTGGCCTTCACATTAACTTGGTGTGGCTGTGTAATTAGTCCCTGTTAGTTTTTTTTTTAATTAGCATTTTAATATACCAAACCCATTCACCGCACGTTTGTTTCCAATGTGACAATCACGATATACCTTTAAGTAGACTGAACTACCAGAAAAATGTTAATGTAAGCATTCAATTTTCAAAGCATTCATATTTTACTAAACATTCGAATCCTGAGATATACAAAAAAAGAAACAGGAAACTCTGAAGAGTTATGGCCAGGCACAGTGGCTCATGCCTGTAATCCCAGCACTTTGGGAGGCCAAAGTAGGAGGATCACTTGAGGTTGGGAGTTCGACACCAGCCTAGACAACGTAGTGAAACGCGGTCTATACCAAAAATACAAAAATTAGCTAGGGGTGGTGGGGGGTGCCTGTAATCCCAGCTACTTGGGAGGCTGAGGCTGGAGAATCGCTTGAACCCAGGAGGCAGAGGCTGCAGTGAGCTAAGATTTGCGCCACCGCACTCCATCCTGGGTGATAGAGCAACATTCTGCCTCAAAAAAAAAGAAAAGAAAAGAATTAACAGGATGAAACCAATTAGATAAATGAAAATTCCAGAATAGAGGTAGCTCCACATTTATAATACACACTGCATTGTATTTAATTATTTAACTACTTAAATGTTTTCACTTAAACTGTACACTAACCATATATTCATTTTAGTCATTTAGCTAAATCAAAGCTTCACCAGAGGACGGGCGTGGTGGTGGCTCATGCCTATAATCCCAGCACTTTGGGAGGCTCAGGTGGGCGATCACTTGAGGTCAGGAGTTTGACACCAGCCTGGCCAACATGGTGAAACCCTGTCTCTACTAAAAATACAAAAAAAAAAAAAAAAAAAAAAAAAAATTAGTCAGGCATGGTGGTGGGTGCCTATAATCCCAGCTACTTGGGAGGCAGGAGAATCACTTGAGTCCAGAAGGCAGAGGTTGCGCCACTGCACTCCGGCCTGGGCAACAGAACAAGACTCTCTCTCTCTCTCTCTCTCTCTCTCTCTCTCTCACACACACACACACACACACACACACACACACACACACACACACAAGTTCATCAGAACATTTACATAGTATTAATCAAGCTTAATTTTATACTTCGCTTTCAAAGATGCATAGTGTGTACTCAAAGATATATAGACTGAATATGCAGCAAAGGAAAATGCCTCAGAATGGGCCGGGCATGGTGGCTCACGCCTGTAATCCCAGCAACTTCGGGAGGCCAAGGCGGGCAGATCACGAAGTCAGGAATTTGAGATCAGCCTGGCCAATATGGGGAAACCCTGTCTCTACTAAAAATACAAAAACTAGCCGGGCGTGGTGGTGTGCGCCTGTAGTCCCAGCTACTTGAGAGGCTGAGACAGGAGCATCACTTGAACCTGGGAAGTGGAGGTTGCAGTGAGAATGCACCACTGCTCTCCACCCTGGGTGACAGAGCAAGACTCCTTCTCAAAAGAAAATGACTCAGAATGAATAAAAAGTTATACTATAGGTAACTGAGGAGGCATAAGAACTTATTTTTACTTCATACATTTTACATCAATGCCACAAAATTTCTTTCTTTCTTTTTTTGAGATAGGGTCTCACTCAATCACCCAGGTGCGATCATGGCTCAATGCAGCTTCAACCTCCGGCTCAGCTGATCCTCTCACCTCAACCTCCTGAGTAGCTGGGACTATAGTCCTGTGCCACCAAGCCAGGCTAATTTGTGTATTTTCTGAACAGATGGGATACCACTAAGTTGCCAGGCAGGTCTCAAACTCCTGGACTCAAGTGATCTGCCCACCTTGGCCTCCCAAGTTGTTGGGATTATAGGCATGAGCCTGCAAGCCTGGCCAAACCTTCTAGTTAAGTTAGGAAATTAAGAAGTTCTATAAATTTCTAAATTGATTCCTTTCCAATAAACCTCAAAACTATCAATACTAAAATAAAAAAATTCTCTTGTGTTTATTTCCTTAATGGTAAACTATCATGAACCATCCTTGAAATCCACCCCAAAACTGAAGGAATCATTCTATGGAAAGCTAGAATGAAAAGAAATTAACAAAAGTAAAGAAAATAAGAGTAATATATGATTCTGGAACAGTATAAGAAGTCTAAGTAAAAACATAAAATTCAACTTACAAGCTCATAACAGAGGGTTAAAGACGGTCATAAAAAATTTAAAGTAGGCATAATAAAGGTGAAGATGTCTTCAGGAAAGTTTAATACTAGAGAAAGGGAAAGAGTCAAGAAACAGACCTCTAACCTTGAGATATTGCTGGATCACTTCAACACATACTAGTATAGTAATTAATGCCTTAATCATTTTTTGCTTTCAAGTAAGTTATAATATGTGCCACAAAAAGTTATTTTCAAAAAATACTTTTAATAAAAATGTATGCCAACAATAGCATTTATTACGAAAAATTTCATATGTACAGCAAAGTATGAAGAATAGTACAGGTTGGGGGTGGTGGCTCATACCAGCAATCCCAACACTTCGTGAGGCCGAGGTGGGAGGACCACTTGAGCTCAGGAGTTTAAGACCAGCCCGGGCAACATAGCGAGACCTTGTCACTACAAAAATTGGCTGAGTGTGGTGGTGTGTGCCTATGGTCCCAGCTACTTGGGAAACTGAGGTAGGATAACTGCTTAAGCCCACGAGGCGGGGGCTGCAATGAACCATGATTGCGCCACTGCACTCCAGTCTGGGTGACAGAGTGAGACCTGTCTCCGGGGGGAAAAAAAAAAAAAAAAAAAGAATAGTATAATGAACCTCACCTTCCATATACCCATCACTTATATCTAACAATTAACATCTTACTAGATTTGCTTTTTTTTTTTTTTTTTGAGACGGAGTCTTACTCTGTCGCTAGTCTGGAGTGCAGTGGTGCGATCTCGGCTCACTACAACCTCCATCTCCCCGGTTCCGGTGATTCTCCGGCCTCATCCTCCCGAGTAGCTGCGATGACAGGCATGCACCAACATGCCCGGCTAATTTTGGTATTTCTAGTAGAGATGGAGTTTCACCATGTTGGCCAGGATGGTCTCCATCTCTTGACTTCGTGATCTGCCAGCTTTGGGAGGCTGAAGCCTCCCAAAGTGCTGGGATTACAGGTGTGAGCCACAATGCCCGGCCTGCTTCGTTTTTTATAGCTTAAGCATTTTTAAATACATTATAGAAATTTTGACTTTTTTCATCCCTCAATAACTCATGTGGATCTCAAAATTTCAGAACATTTCCCTATAAGTAAATCATAATACCATTATCACATCTAATAAAAATAAGAGTAATTCCGGCCAGGCATGGTGGCTGATGCCTATAATCCCAGCACTTTGGGAGGCCGAGGTGGGCAGATCACGAGGTCAGGAGATCGAAACCATCCTGGCTAACACAGTGAAGCCCCATCTCTACTACAAATATAAAAAATTAGCCAGGCGTGGGGGCGGACACCTGTAGTCCCAGCTACTCAGGAGTCTGAGGCAGGAAAATGGCGTGAACCCAGAAGGCGGAGCTTGCAGTGAGCTGAGATCACGCTACTACACTCCAGCCTGGGCGACAGAGTGAGACTTCATCTCAAAAAAAATAATAAAAAGAGTAATTCCTTAATATTATCTACCACTCAGTCAATAGTTAAATTTTCCCAATTGCCCCAAAATGTTTTCGTTAAAGTATGGAAGGGGACAAGAAATATGTAAAATTTAAGTCCTATCTCTATCCTAGAGCACTTCTAATTGGTTGGGCTTACACCCCACACTGCTATTAGAAAGAAGACCACCCCCCCACACACACCCCCATCCCCGTATGTGCTTGCCTTTTTTTTGGTTCAATCGGCAGGCAATCAATATATCTTTCTGGAAATCAGGTTCTGTGGTTGAGGCTGACGAAGAATTCAGGGAATGTTTTTCATCTTCATACCACAACTTTAAAACAAAGTTATTCTGTTAAATAAAAACTGGTAATCTTTTCAATATAAAAGTAGGCTAATCTATAACCTAATTATACTGACAACAAAATCTGTTACGATTATGCCAAAAACAATTACCTCAGGTACGTCAAACGGAACTTCCTGGTTACCCTCTCTAAGGATTTCTGCTAATAATCTTAATGTCTTTTCACGAGGAATAACATTTTCTTCTTGGATTTTATTCCAGACTGCATCAGCTCTTTGCCAGTCACCGTTTATTTCTGTAGAATTTGATTAAGCAGAAATTAATCAATAAATATGCTAAACAGAATACACAAAAATATTTAGAACTTTTTCTTATTTGATGTTGAAGAAAGCATTATTCCAAATGCTGCCTTTAGGGAAAGGAACCAAAAGTGACCGTGACCCGAAGTCGAGAAGGGAACTTTTCTCTGTACTTCTGAATTACAAACCAAAAATACCCTACCTATTAAAAAGCAATAACAAGAAGCCCCCATCACACTTTATTACACACTTCCAATCATGTTGATAAGAAGTTTGTCTTTTTAATGTTACTGAGAAAGTGCCTACTGCCGAAATCAAAATCAGAAACAGGTGACAATTCAACTATGACCTTTAGCGTTGCAAAGATCCTGGAAATATATATATATATAGATATATATATATATATAGATATATATATATCTATATATAGATATCTCTATATATAGAGATATATATATAGATATAGATAGATAGATATATGGCATATGCCACCATATACATACATACATACGTGTACCGTATGCAATATACATATATCTGTGATTGTATGCAGTGCATACGGTATACATATATCTATGATCTTTGCAAAGGCTACAGGTACTGGTCCGTGGTCTGTTAGGAACCGGGCTGCACAGCAGAATGTGTACGGTGGGTGGGCAAGTGAGCATTACCCGCTGAGCTCCACCTCCTGTCAGATCAGCGGCAGCATTAGATTCTCATAGGAGTGCCAACTCTATTGTGAACTGCGCATGTGAGGGATCTACGTTGTGAACTCCTTATGAGAATCTAACTAATGCCTGATGATGTGAGGTGGAACAGTTTCATCCCCAAACCATCCCCATCCCCCACCACAACCTGGTCTGTGGAAAAATTGTCTTCCATGAAACCAGTCCCTGGTACCAAAAAGGTTGGGGGCTGCTGCCGTATAGTACACAGCTGTGGTGTGTACTAAAATGATTGCAAGTGTGTAATTCTCTTTACAAGTGACAAATCTACAAACCTTTTCACTTAGTTGAATAGAGAATTGTCTATGTTTCTTGTGTTGACATGAAGAGTTTCTATGACCCTGTGTGATACATGGAATCTTCTTAGATTTCTTATCTCAACTGATAATGTTATCAGACTATTACAAGGGCTGGGAAGGAAATAGGCAGATCCCTTCATATTGAAAAGCCCATTTCCTTTCATGTGGTAATCTAGTCTTTACAAATAGCAAAAACTCCAGAATCAAAACTTTGTTTTTAGAAATTCTCATGGTTGGAAGAGGAAACATCAAGTCATTTAATATAATAAATTAGTTTCTGCTTGTGAAAAACTGGGGCAAGATATGAAAAATGTCACATGACACTAAGTGTAATACAATTATTAAATGCACAGAAAAACTGCTTTAGATGTCTTTTTTTAATTTGCTAGTATGTATAAGAAATATCTGGATTGTGTGGCATCCAGCTCTAGGAAGGAGGGGTTTGTTTTACAGCACAAATGTTCCAGACAACATGAATACATTTGTTCCTCAGCATTTTAGAGGAAAAATACTAAAAACACGTAGGATTTTCCTAGATTATTCTCCCCAAAACCAAAAAGTTAAGTTTTTTGATAACTAATGACTCCTAAAAGTAAAAAATTCAAAGAACAAAAAACAAAGCATACTCATTCTTCATGGGAAATCAGCAATTTAAAAAAAAAAAAAAAAAAAAAAACTTAGAGAAATTCCCCTGGGTCACACAGATTGCAGCCTATATATTTTTTTTGAGATGGAGTCTTGCTCTGTTGCCCAGGCTGGAGTGCAGTGGCCCGATCTCAGTTCAGTGTAACCTCCGCCTCCAGGGTTCAAGCAATTCTCCTGCCTCAGACTCCCGAGTAGCTGAGATTACAGGTGCGCGCCAGCACACCCCACTAATTTTTGTATTTTTAGTAGAGACAGGGTTTCACCATGTTGGCCAGGCTGGTCTTGAACCCCTGACCTCAAGCAATTCACTGGCCTTGGCCTCCCAAAGTGCTGGGATTATAGGTGTGAGCCACCTTGCCCAGCTGCAGCCTAAACTTTCATACAGACTACATCGCAAGGAGGCCCAGATGGCAGAAATTAACCTAAAGTGCAGAGTGATTTTATACATATACTGATAAAATTAGCCCAACTAATATAAAAGCCTTACATTTACAACCAATTTTCAAAACAAGACTCTCATTAACTAATTACGCTTTTTCTTCATTAAAATGTTATTGTGTAATATAAAATTCAAGTATTTCAAGTATGTGAAAGTATAAAACTTATTTGATTTAAAAAAAAAAAAAAAATCCAAGCCTCTGAATCTTTATTCTGCAGTGGAGCACTTCTGTTGACTGCCAAAAGGTCCTTGTGGACTGTGGGAAGACAGGGAAGGTTTCCAACAGCTAGACACAATACTGCTAAGGACCTTTAAAAAGGGATTAGTTATTCTAAACAATAAAAAGGTGGGTGGATAATCTACAACTCCGTGCCTTTAGGCTGCAAGAATTCTGGGAACATAATTTTCTTTGTTTAAAAAAAGCACAAATTATACAAAAAGCTTCTACTTTGGGAAGACAAGGATATTACAGAGATGCACCTATTAAAATAAGACTTGTGGGCAGGTGCAGTGGCTCGTGTCTGTAATCCCAGCACTTTGGGAAGACGAGGTAGGCAGATTAGTTGAGGCCAGGAGTTCGAGACCAGCCTGGACAACATGGTGAAACCCCATCTCTACTAAAAATACAAAAATTAGCCAGGTGTGGTGGTGCATGCCTATAATCCCAACTACTGGGGTGGCTGAGGCAGGAGAATCGCTTGAACTTGGGAGGTGGAGGTTACAGTGAGCTGAGATCGGGCCACTGCACTCCAGCCTGGGCGAGATGTGAACACTAAAACAAATAAGGACTAAAATAAAACACAAATACATGTTAAGAACCCATAAATTCATTTTTTAAAAAAGTCATTCATCAACTTCAGAGGTTTTAAGGATACCAGCAGTTAAGATTCGTATTAAAAGGGAGAAAAAGCAAGTATTTTTCTTGTGAATTTATTTCATATTGTTAAGTAAAACAAAAAGAAGCCACAATGTAGAAATGTAGAATGTGAAACAAGTAAAGTATAAAACAATCAAAACAGGATATAAAAGAATCAAAATAATAGGTACATACATAAAAAATACATGGATATAAAGGTAGAGAGAGGGCAATGTACAGAGAAGACATGGAAAGGATGGCCAATTCACAAAGTTACGTCTGAGATAAGCGGTTAGGGGGTGGTGGTGGACACAATGACATTTTCATAGTTAGCTAGTATAGTATTACATTGTTTGAATCTTTAGTAATCAGAATATGTCCATTTCACTTGTGTAATAATGGAGGAGGAAAAAGCCATACAATATGAAAAGAAATGTAAATGGCTATACATACTTGAAGAAATAATATATGAATCATTACTGAGACGGAATAAATGCTGAGGTTATACATACTTTTTAAATAGATTCAAAGAATTGTATTGCAAAATTACAAATGTAAGGCAGTTTGACTCTTGGATAGACTACTATACAAAGAAACTAATTTCTACTTTCTATCTGTAAAGAAGTGTTCAGAACATAAGAAAATGTTTGTCATATAGAAATAATAGAAAATTCCTTAAGCAAGTGAGGAAGTCATTTCATTCATGTAATTAATGTTTGTTATAGGTTCTAGAAGCTAATTTTGCAACACTGTCACAATGAAAGGTCACAATATATTGGGAAGGATAGAAATGAAGTTTGAATTAGGACAAAATTTTGTAACAGATCATGTTATATTGAGTCCATAGAAAATGAAAGCAGTTTTATATTAATAAAAGCTAGTATTTAAATGTATGTAAGACTTACACAGTTCCATGGGTGTTGGCTGAGCTACATATCTTTGTTTTGTGCATGTTTCTGTATTATGTTATGATTTACAACAAAATTAAGTGTGTATTAAGTATGTGAAAGGAACCGTTTTAAAATAAACGAAGGAAAGTTGCTTTTCAACAAATATCCAAAAATAACTACTAATCCAATCTCTTTCAAGGGCTAAAATCACATCCTAAGAAAGAAATCCACAATGCAAAATATGGATTTTTAAAAAGCATAATGAGGCCAAGGCGGGTGGATCACAAGGTCAGGAGTTCGAGACCATCCTGGCTAACACAGTGAAAACCTGTCTCTACTAAAAATACAAAAAATTAGCCAGGTGTGGTGGCGGGCGCCTGTAGTCCCAGCTACTGGGAAGGCTGAGGCAAGAGAATGGCGTGAACCCGGGAGGCGGAGCTTGCAGTGAGCACCACTCACTCCAGCCTGGGCAACACAGCAAGACCCAATTCATATCTTATGTTCCATTTCAAAGCAACTGAGTCCATGTAACAATATTTAAATAGTGGCCCAAGTCTGAAGGCAAAATGCAGAAGGGGATAGCTTGCTTTTTCTTCAGAAAGGAAAGGATTAGGGCTATCATAACCAGATTATCCATTTATAACACGGCAGAAGGTAGGAAGTATACAAATGTGGTTAAAAAGAATATATACTTCTCTATAGGATTCCACTGGCTTCCAGCCTCCTAAGAAGCTAACCACACTCTGCCAACCTCCTCAAACTATTGACTCAAATACAACGCAAGAAGGAATTGGAGACAGGTGTCCAATAGGACACATAGAGGAAATTAAGGACAAGAAAATAGTATTAAACTCAGAGACCATATATCCCTAATGGAAATTTTAAGATGAAGCTAAATGTTGTATATTTTTTTGTTTCTTTAAAAAAAAAAAAAAAAAAAGGCCAGGCACAGTGGCTCATGCCTGTAATCCCAGCACTGTGGAAGGCTGCGGCAGGAAGACTGCTTGAGCTCAGGAGTTCAAGACCATCCTGGGCAACATAGTGGGACCCCGTCTCCACAAAAAGTTAAAAAGAAAAAAAAAATTATTAGCAAGGTGTGGTGGCACATGCCTGTACTCCCAACTACTTGAGAGGCTGAGGTGGGAGGATTTCTTGAGCCCAGGAGGTTGAGGCTGCAGTGAGCTCTGATCGCACCACTGTACTCTAGCCTGGGTGACCCTGTCTCAAAAACAAAGCAAAACTAATAGTAAAAGTTCTTCTGAATAGGAAGAGTAAGTTTGTGTGGCTGGCCACCTCTCACCTGGCCTTAGACTACCACATACTTACAGTTGTTCTTACCCGCTGCAGTGTTAAGACTTGGTGATGGGGCTGACCCTTTCAGCAGAGCACTACCTTTACATCTGCAGTGCCTACCACAATGTCTAGCACACAGTAAGGGCTTCATAGTTTTTTTTTTTTTTTTCTGAATCCAAGTTTATATAGTCTTCCATGAGGACTACTTGAAATAATAAGACATATTTAGACATATAGTCAGTGCTTCTTTTGAACTTGGCACATTAGAATTTCATCATGAAATTGTTTTTAAAAGGAAGAAAAAGTAGGTAGAGTGGAATGTTAGTGCTCAAACACAGATTATAATTTGCAATTTGAGGACCAACTGCCTAAAATACAGGTTTTTAATTCTATACATTCAATACCAAACTCAGCATTGTGTGCAAGAATTTGATCATCGTTCAAGCCAAAGTCTTAAGAATTACACTGTGAAGTATGTATTTCAATACAACCAAAAACTGGAATGTAAAATTTTAAGCAAGTTTAATTTTATTTACATCATCGAGATGTAAAATAAAGCTTTCAATGGTAATAAATACAAGTTTGAAAAGACAAATAAATCCCCTTATTCGTTTGGTGAAGGGAAATTTGCCAAGAGAAAAGAAGAACAATAAATCTAGATAAACATCCATGAAACAAATAGGGAAAGGTCACTGGCTGTTCTAAGTGTTATTCCTCTCTACCGAAATATCCTAAAAGAAACTGTAAAGCTCCAAATGTGTACACTAGTATAAAAGTACTAGAGCATTGTTTGAAAAGAGAGATCGAAAGTTTCAGAAATGTCAAATACAAATACTAAGATTTCAGCCTCAAAAAACAGTTAAGGATGTGAATGAAGATTAAGGCACAAAAATGAATAACGTAGTGTTGTTTTAGAAATGGAAAATGGAAATCTATTCACAAACCCAGTAATAGGAGATGATAGGCTGAATAAATTTTAGTATATCTATGTAGTATATAAGTTATTTGTAGGTGATTAAATATAGAAAAATGTTTGTAATATATAGCTGACTCAAAAATATATAATGACATTTAAAAAGCTGTTTAACAATGAGTTTGTATATAGATATGCAAGATAAGCATCTTTTTGCAAAAAGAAAAAAATCTCTACTTACATGAATGTGTTGGTGGTTACCTATTTATAAAAGTCACCAATAAATTTACCTGAAGGTTTAAATAAAAAGAACAGAAAGACCGTTCTTACCTCAAAAAGTCCTATTAAATTCTGTGGTTCTGATGAAGGTTTTCGTACTTTCTCATTATTGCAGTAAGAATGTCAGAAATTATGAAGACATACAGTGTCTAGTGCTACGATATAACATTCTGTGATAAAATTCAATCTAGCCTCTACCTGAGCCTCTGTTGAATGAAAACTGCCTTCTGACAATCCCTGGAGCTCCCTCAAAACCAAATACTCCTTTCCTGCCACTGCCTTCAACAGAATAAATGAAAGCGTGAAGAATAGTTAAATCACTTACTATACAGTTTTAGCAGATTGTAGTACATCTGGTCTCTATCACATTCAAATAGCTTCTGTGTCAGCTCCACTAATTTTTCCAGAGTTTCAACCTTAAAAGTAAGATTAAGAGATAGATCTACCTTGTGTAAAGGATGTATTTTACAGTTAACAAATAGCAGTGGAATAATCTTTCAAATTAGCTTTACCAAAAGGGCAGTTGAACTTCATTTCAAAAGTTAATGGGCTGAGCACAACAATATGAATGAACTTAATGCCACTGAACTGTATACTTATACAAGGTTAAATCATAAATCTTACATTATACTTATTTTACCACAATTTTAAAAAAATTTGGAGTCAAGAACACAACATGAATAACTAATTCAAAGGTATCTGGGTGGGAGAACTCAATGAGTGTATCGTACGTTAACAAAAATACTTCCCCCTCCAAACTTTACACTCTTCTTGCCCTGTGGCTTTTACTTGGCATGGTGCAAACAGGTACCTGCACCAGAGGAGGGCAAGCAGAAATTCCAGAGCTCTGGGAAGCAACTCCTTCTTCCACTAAGGACTAATGCAGGCTTGAAGTGCCAAGGACATTAGGTCAGCCTGCTCCAACCAACTAGTTAAAGATAATATCATCAGGGCCCAGGTTAACAGTTTAGGGTTTCTACTGCACCTCAGGAATAAGAAATAAGCCATTGCTTATCTGGCAAATGATCGAGATAAACACTGCTTCCACAATGCCCTGTCTCTCGAAGTCCCCAAATCTTCATGTGATACAGAGGACCCTTGCCTTCTACTCACACTTTTAGGTGATTGAGACATCTGAATCAAATACAAACCTGATTATTTGCAACACATCTGTCACAAAACCACTGAAGCCTTGCAGATCGAGCTCTAATCCCTGGAGTCTGTAAAATAAAATAATCACATAGCACCCAAGGTAAGGCTTCGGCTGAATATTATTTTTTTCCTCAAAGACAGTTTCTTTTCTTATGAATTTGCTGCCAAATATATATACTAAACTTATATACTAAACTATATATACTAGTATACAATCTATATACTAAATTTATACTATAACTAATACAAACTATAATTAACCCCATAGTTATCAAAGACCTTTAAGTAAGAGTAGAAGAGAGCATAAAACACAAACTATGCTTAACCTCTGCCTAGAAGACGCCGATAATTTCCAAATGCTGCACTGCACGTCAAAGTTCATTCCATAAATCTTTAATTAATAAAATGGTTATACTGTCTTTAGTTCAAAAATAAGCGATAAACTAGAAAACGTCAAATAAAAAGTGTGTGTCAACATTCACATGCATGTGCTCTTATTTTTAATTTATTTTTTTTTAGACAGAGTCTCAATGGCATGATCTTGGCTCACTGCAACCTCCGCCTCATGGGTTCAAGTAATTCTCCTGCCTCAGCCTCCCAAGTAGTTAGGATTACAGGTGTGTGCCACCACACCTGGCTAATTTTTGTATTTTTAGTAGAGACGGGTTGCACCATGTTGGCCAGGCTGGTCTCGAACTCCTAGCCTCAAGTGATCTGCCCACCTCAGCGTCCCAAAGTGCTGGGATTACAGGCATGGGCCACCACACCTGACTGCACGTGCTCTTTCTCATTTACACGCTCTCTCTTGAACACACACACATACACTTTATTCCAATAGACTCAGGAGACAAAAATTATCAATGTTACACAAAGTAACAGTTGTCACAATAATAAACCATTGGCTTTCGTTTTTAAAAGAAAATGCTTTGCGAACTTCACAGTGATAAAAGTACTCTAATGACTTTTGCCTAGCACCTAAAACTAAATGTTTAAAGAACAAAACAAGCTAAGTACTTTAAAATTGGTTTATAGTCTCAGTTCAATTAAACAACTGAGACATATGTTATATCCTCAATTAGAAATTACTATCGTTTGGTCAATAAGTCTGGCTTCAAAGCACTTAGTTTACAATTTTGGATACTGGAATAAAAGACAAACCATTTCAACATAATTCCAAGGATTTGTCACTCTATAGTATTTTCATCATCTGCAAGAGGGCTTCACCATTAAATACTACATTTCAATCACAGCATTATGGTAAGAAAACTACATACTCATTAGCCCTGGCTGCTCCAGTCTAGAGGAGGTATCTTTACTGCTTTCTCCGCTCACTTCTGTTGATCAAACCAGGTATCCCTTGAATCTAATCTCTTAAGTCCTCATTATTTTTAATTTTAAAAAATAACATTGTACAACGTTAAATTAAGAACTGAAGTGGAAACTAACATCTTGCAGCTTTGGTGGGATGACAGAAAAATTGGTAGACTAGAAGTTGGATAGCTTGTTCTCATTTCCTATATCATCCACTTTTTGGGATACAAGAAATCAATGATGAATAAATTAGTCATTGAAATACAGTCTCAAATACTATTAATATCTACACTCAGGCACAATTTCTTCTCAAGGATTTTTCTTACGTTATTTGTTTTGTTTCACACGCATAATACTGAAAATGAAACCAATGTCAATATATACTAAAAGCCCTTGAAAAACTATGAAATAATCCTCTTCAGAACACGGCAAAATGCAAGGGCTACGGTCACTTACAACTTTCAATATTACTGCTGATCCAAATGCCAACAATCTAAACAGCACAACTTTTATGACATACTCTTTCTGTTTGTGGCTGATTAATCTGCCTGTCTTTGGCAGGACAGCTGATTTATATGGCAGATCTTCCCATGTTTCATTTTGAAATTGAGAACTGTTTTCATATATAAATCTCAATCATCAAAAGAACATCTAGGTCAGATTAACTAAATCTCCTAGGCTGCTGTAATGTCAAGATTTCTGGCTTATCTCTTAACATCTTATTGAATTTTAAAAACTGCAAGTTGAAAGCAGAAATAGAAAATGTAATAAAAACATGGAGAAGAATAGAATTCTAATTGGGATGTTAAATATAACATGAAAAAACAGTTAATGTTAATTAAACTCATATTTAGTTCTTTCTGTGTTGCCACATACAATCTATCTAATGAACAGTGAGGATACAGTAAGTATTTTTATAGAAACAATTGCATGTTTGTTTCCACCTGAGCTACTGTGCTTCAAACCACAACTTTCTGCAGTTGCAATTCACTACTAGGTTTACTTGTATAGGGGAAAAAAAAGTAATCCAAAGTCAAAAATAACTGTCATTACTTTAATTTCATTACAACACTCTGATGTAAATTTACCATAAAAAGCTTATCATAAGCTTCTATGTATACTAGTAAAAATAGATATCCAATAATTATTACCTGTTAGGTAAAAAGAAATGAAAGTTTTTCTACTGCATTTCAAACTCTGTCTCAAGGAAGATTATCCTGAATTTAACTCAAATAGAAATTTTCACCTGTTCTGATTTTTCTTGCCACTTCTGCTGGAGATGTCAAATGAAAGCAACAACAAAAACCGCCCGCCCTAGCCTCATGTCCCCTAGTTAACATAGTAGGAGGAAAAATCATGTGCACAAGGGCTTTAAAGAAGGGACAGACAAAGACAAGAATGCTGGAGAAGGTGGTATGCACCTGTAGTCCCAGCTACTCGGGAGACTGAAATAGGAGAACTGCTTGAGGCCAGGAGTTCAAGGCTGCGGTGTGTTATGATTGCACCTGTGAACAGCCAATGCACTCCAGTCTGGGCAACACAGTGTGACCCCATCTCTTAAAAAAAAAAGAAAACAACATCCCCACCCCAACCCAAGTACCGTCCAAGTACAACTGACCCTTGAACAATACAGGGGTTAGAGTTTGACCATCTGTGCAGTCAAAAATCCACATATAACTTTTAATTTCCCAAAGACTGAACTACTAATAGCCTACTGTTGACTGGAAGTCTTAGCAATAGCAAATAGTCGATTAACACATATTCTGTATGTTACATGTATTTAATACTATATCATTATAATAAAGTAAGCTACAACAAGAAAATGTTAAGGAAATTGTAAGAAAGAGAAAATACATTTACAGTACTGCATTTTTTGATACCGTAAGTTTATGACATCTTTTTACAAGATGAATTTCTATCTGAAATGGCAGGCAACCAGAACTGCAGACCTCAATCTACAGTACATAACAAGCAATTCATCCTTTTCTTGAAATGTCACAACTTTACTTCTTAGAAGCACTTCCAGCATCACTAGTGATACTGTGTATGGATGTCATGGTGTTATTCAAAATAATTACAGTAATACAATAAGTACTGTAGGGAATTTTATGTACTTCGTTACTTCGTATGACTAGTACTTCGTTACTTCTGTTTACATTTCTCTCAGCTGTGAATGGCAGCATGTATAGTCTATGTGTGTGTAAGTTTTGATAAATGTTAACTTTTAATAATAGATTTGTATACGTTTTATGGTAGCAAATAAGATAGACTAGAATCTGCCTATATTTTAAGCATTCATGACATACCTTTTTCTTAATTTTTTTCAGTATTTCTAGGCTATGCAGTTCATCTGTGAGTTTTTTCAAATCTCCAAAAACTTTTCCAGTATATTTACTGAAGAAAAACCTACATGTAAGTGGACCTACACAATCCAAACCTATGTTGTTCAAGGATCAACTATATTTATCCCCATAGCTAGCACAGAACAAGGGAGCAAAAAAGGTCTCATGGTACTATTAAGTCTTTTAGCATTTGTCCTTTTCTCTAAAATTTTCCAAGATAGACTTGAAGACCATGTATAATAAGGAGGAAAATATGGCTGAGCAAGTCCAATTAACAAACTATCATGAACTAAAAAATTATCCACTTGACCAGGTGTTATAGGAGATACTAAACTAACTCACAAAAGGGGGTATATATTTACATGAGAACTGACATATCCTGAAATTTTGGAGGACAAAACAAAAACAAACAAACAAACAAACAAACAAACAAACAAACCCTAGCTCTAAAATCCACTGTCTGTGTATACGATCCACGCTGGCTTATTAAGGAAGGCAAATGGGATAAAAATTCCTGAATCAGATCTGGAAAAGAACAAAAGGAAGAGTAACAAAGACTGGGAGATCACTGGAATCCAAGCTTTTGGTCTTAAATCAAAAGCCATCAAAAGAGAGTTTTTCCCCCACTGAGAAGAGATCAAAATGTACTCCGGCTGCACCGTGATGGAAAGGCAAAACAGCAGATAGGGAGAGAGGGAAAAGTCAAGAAAGAGGAATTCCGGAGAAAGGGTAAGTTATTTTCGACAGTTCAGATATTGAGGGGTCATGAGATCATGGACGTAGGATGGTACAGAGGAACCAATAGAAAACAGAAACTCAGGGCCTGGTTTCAAATTCCGTAACTACTATACGTTGAGTATCCCTTATCCAAAACGCTTGGGACCAGAAGCGTTCCAGATTTCAGATTTTTCTGACTTTTGGAATATCTGTATTATTTACTGGTTGAACATCCCAAATTCGAAAATCCAAAATCTTGTAAGCATTATTTTTAATGGCCACATCATTCCATTTCATAAACAAACTGGAGTTCATTTGCGCCCTTTCTCCTTTGAGAAAAACTTTCACTGTTACAGGTAATAATCATAATTTACATCTTTACCTACTTTGGTTTTCAGATGATTTACTTAGGATCATTTCTCAAAAGTGGGTCAAATGTCATTACCATTTTGAAAGCCCCTGATACACAAAGACAGTAATGTTGTTATGTCTTTAAGGATGGGACCTCCTTTATGGTTCCTGGTAGCAGAGCCAGAACTAAAACTCAGGGTTCGTGAGTTCTAGTCCAATACTCCTATTGCTAGAAATTATGGTAAAAGAAGGTATTTCTCTGTAAACAAACAAACAGAAAAATGACTTCCTTCTTTTAGTCTATGACCTTTTCAGGTACTTCATTTACCTCCCAGGAAGACAGTGTTGCAGACCATACAAATAAAGTATCACTTTTTGGGTTACTCATTCTTTTTTTTCCAAGACCAGACATTAAATCCAGGGAAAGATTATATATACAAGCAAAAAAGTTAAATGATGTATGAAATGTTACCATATTAAAGGTTTCTATCAAGAAATATATTATTTAATTTAACTCTTAGCCCTTTGAGTAGTTCTGCAATCACTTACTAAATGCCTGTCATGTGCCAGGCACTGCTAGGTTCTCAGAACCAACACAAAGATGAGAAAAAAGTTCTGCTTTAAACTTAGCATTTCGTATTCTAACCTCTTCCCTTGGGTTTGATTCCCAAGAGTTCTTAAGACAGCCTACAGAGGATGTATCTGCAGAAGAGACAGAAGGGTTGACCTCTACACAGTAAAGAATGGCATAGAGAAGGAAGGGAATCAAACTAGCATTTATTAAATGTCTGATAATGTACCAGACAATCCAGATGTCATTTTATTAGTGTTATCTAATAAGAGTTCTGAGAGGCAGAAGAACGATAAAGGGAGGAACCTCTTTGCTGCCTCAGGGCCCTCACACAGGCAGTTCCTTCTGCCTGGAATGCTTTTGTCTCTACTCTAAGTGCAGACGCACAATTCATCTTTTAATTCTCACCCTAAACACTGCTACACTCAAAATTAAGGTAATGGTGGTGGATTTTTATGACACTTTACTCAGTCATCTCAAATGCTATGTAAATGACGGAGAGAGACCTGAGTTAACAGAAAATAGGGTGAATTAACATAGGTACAAGATAAATGAAGCTCTTAGATCTGATAGAGAATCTCCTGTCATGAACCCTTAAAGGTGGCATTGGCAGATTTCTTCATCTGAAACCTCCAGAATGAAGCTCTTTAGCAAAGGTGATTGATAGCATTTGCATGGCTTCCCAGTTGGACCAGTTTCCCCTTCCCTCCTTCCTTTCCTTCTCAGTCTTTCTCCCTTCCCTTCATTCTAGTCAAAGAGATAGACCTTTAAAAAGAGAATCTACAGAATGTAGTAATTGCTATAAGATGAAGTGTTGTAGAAAGGACTTTTTTCAGACTAGGTCTTTCTGAGGATTGCTTGTGCCCAGGAGATCAAGGCTGCAGTAAGCTAAGCCACCACTGTACTACAGCCTGGCTAACAAAGCAAGACCCTGTCTCAAAAAAAAAAAAAAAAAAAAAAAAAAAAAAGACTGGAGACTGTCAAATATACTACATATAACACATGATACATGTATGCCAATTCATCTTAAAAACAAACAAACAAAAAAACAGGTGATATTTACACATTGAACCTTGCCTATATCTTTCTTCATTTAATGAGCTTATGACTGGTTTATCTAATTATTTCCACAACGCTTCAAATACACAGCAGCTCTGTAAATTCAACCATAGTGAATCTACCCAATGATAAGACACTATTGCTTTTTTTGGGAATGATAAAAATGTTGCTCATGACTTGTAGTATTCTTTCTGTAAAGCTATTCTTCACCCTTTAAAAAATTTTGTACACACCTACTACGAAAATTCTGTCATCAGCAGACAGCCATTCCTAAATGTGGTTGTACTGTGGCAAAGCTCTAAGTAATTAAGAGGCAGTCTTCTCTTGCCTATTCATGTGGCAAACATGTACCTTATGCTGAACATCATATTTTGAATTATGTGAGGTAAAGAAGACAACACAATCCCTACCTTTAAGGGGCAAAGGGAATTAATATTATTGATCACTTACCATAATCCAGGAAACATGCAAGCTGCTTTACATACATTATGTGATTGAATCTTAAAGACAGATATTATGTTCTCTTTTATACATGAGGAAGCTTAGAAAGGTTTAATAACTTGTCCATTATCACATAAGCAGGTAGATGGCAAAACAAGAAATCACTCTTCTGCCTCTGGCTCTATTACACCTTACTACACAAAGACAGGCACATGCATTCCTCCTGCAGAACCTCTCAGAGCTGAGCTTCATTTCCGCTCTGATCAGTGACCTGCTAATACTGACACTGTACCTACAGAGGAGCAGAACTCAATAGCCAGACAGCTCTTCTCACATTTGGATTCACTGTACTTTCAGAAGCGAATGTGGAAGAAAAATTATACCATTTTCTAGAAAATGTAAATGAACCACTTAAGCTACAGAAGCACCTGTCCAAGATAGCACGATAGCATGCCCCACTGTCTGCTGACAAGTGGGCAGATTGAGTCATAAAATGGAAAGAGAAGAAAGTTCTGAATTGATTTCACAGTCCTCCTTTTCTATACTACACCGTTCTCTTCTTCAAAAAACATCAGGAGGAAAAAAATACAGTTTTCTGGGTTGTGTGCCTATATTTTCAGTTTCATGATAAGCAGTCATCAATACACAAATAAAGAGGTCAAACACCACTTTTGCATCCTGTCCCCTGTATATTTTTGGAAAACGACATTGACCAAAAGCGAAGTATAATCTGAGAAAACCCATGATTACTGATGTATTTATAAGTTAACAGTTTTAATCACATGAAATAATTTTTCTTAAGGCAATGGGTCCATCTTCTGCGGAATGTTTTGTTTTCTTAGTGGACACAGAATTGTTTAATAGTGAAATTAATCACAATTTGGACAGACTTTATAGTTGGCCCTTGACTTATCAATTCCACTAAGCAAAATTTAGTAAAGCCTAGATAAAATATACTAATCCTAAATAGGCCAGGTTTGTCACCTACCATTTCCCATAAGCTGCTTAGCATAGTGGAAAAAAAAAGAAGAAGAAAATTTAAATTAAATGCCAAACAGTTGCAGACAGCACTTGTTTGGCTGATTAACTTGTAGACAAGCATTACAAATAAATCTTGAGCATGGTCTGCAGCAAATTAAATTCCACTGCTTTTAAGAACAAAGAATTCTTTGGCAAAGAGGATTAGCAACTTTACACCCAGGAATGCCAGTTTAATTTAATTGTTCCACAATCCAAGATTTAATATGCAAATATCATTTTGATATATAATAGTGAATTTAACAAAGTGAGGAAACAAATTTAATATACAACCAGACTGCCTTTTCTGAACTGTAATTATATACAATAAAGAAGCTGGCCGAGATCCCCCTCCCCCAACATTACTGGGATTGAATTCTATTAACATGAATCAGAACAAGTGTAATTAAAGGTTAAAATTTTTAAATGTATTCTAATTAAGAGTCTAAATAGCTCTACAATTAGAACACTGTAGTTAAAATCACACCTCAATGATCTTCTTGGCCTCTTTGTAATTTCCTGTTTGTAGGAAGGCAAAGAAGAGATCATAGAGCATCACCATTTCACCTTGTTCTTGGCTCACAAAGTCCATTGCTAGGTAGGAGAGAAAAAAATATATATATTAGGAGAAAAAAAAACCCAGAAAAACAGTATCATATGAAGTTCCAGACAAATACAAGAAAAATTTATTTTAAAAACAAATATTAAGAATAACTTAAAGAATATAGCTATATCGACTAATTAAGTACCTAACAGAGTAGCTACAAAGAGAACTAGTGAGGATAAGGGTAAAAAAAATCTTCATAAAGGCAGATCACCAAGAATTAGAACACAAAAATAACAGACATTTTTTCAAAATGAACAGTTACTAAAATCAAGAACATGTATAATATTGGAAATCTACCTGATATTTTTCTTTTAGATTTCACAAGTATAAAGAAAGTTTATCTGAATGTGCTGGCCTTCTGCTGGTTTCTCTTAACAATACACTAAGATTAAATCAGCAAGAAGGGAAAAAAAAACTACATTAAGATACTAGAAAGTGACTCACCTTTCTGAATTAGATCAGTCTCGCCTTTCTCTACCAGTTTACACAAGACATCATGAATCCTTGGTAATACTTTATACTTTTCATAGCAGTCAATGGCGACCTCAAGAGCAGTAGATAGGTCGCCCCTTAGAAACAAAAAAATTAGCAATGAATAAAATAAATCGAATTCAGCTTAGTCTCTTAGTAATACTTTAGAGAGATGTTTAATGACCAGTTAATATGTAAACAACTGAGCTTTACTTAAGGTAGAAAACCACAAAGCTAAAATGGGGGAAAAAAAGAAACAATCTTTATATATAAGTAAATGTTCAGAAAACATACATCATCAGCAATCCACTATTTACCCTGCTTCATCTTTTATTATTTCGTGTGTTAAAGGGTACTTTATAAAAAAGTCCAAATAGATTAAGGCATTCTCTGATTTTACTGTAAATTCTGACTTTATGTAGAAAGTTGCTGTAAGAATGTATTACTTCTGAAAGCAAGGACTACCGTCAAATACTTTTTTCCAATCACTTACGTGCCTTTAACAATTGTATCTCAATAATTTCAGATTTGGTAAACGTTATTAAATGTCCACCAATAGCTAATAAGGAATTTTCAAGAACTTTTTCATCTTTATCATAATATTTTCTGTACTGTCACCTTACTAGCCAAGTAGGAAATAACCTCAAGTTTCATATATATGGGAACTTACTATTATGAAAACTAGGATATTCGTGTTGGTCAGTGAATTCTAGAAGAATTCTAAATACTTTTTTCATTAAAGGGTAAGCTTTTAAAAATTATTTCCAATTACAAAGTCAAGCCTTCTTTTATGTGAGAAATTAAAATAAAAAGACACTGTCATTAAATCAGTTTCTTAAACAACAGTGTGGTACTATATTCTTGTGGGTCCTTAAGAAGTATTTTCCCCCCATAAAAGGACAATTTGCTTTCAATTTACTTTAACCCTGTCTTTATTAAAAGTTTTTTTGTAATTTCTCTCTTACCATACTGAAATAAAATTCACAGGTAATATAAAAAAAATAAAATAAAAGGACAATGTTAGTATGAGAAATATTTAAGACCTTGCAAGACCAGGTGCGGTGGCTCATGCCTGTAATCCCAGCACTTTGGGAGGCCAAGGAGGGCGGATCACCTGAGGTGGAGAAACCCCATCTCTATTAAAAATATAAAATTAGCCGGGCGTGATGGCGCATGCCTGTAATCCCAGCTACTCGGGGGGCTGAGGAGGGAGAATCCCTTGAACCCGGGAGGTGGAGGTTGCAGTGAGCTGAGATCGTGCCATTGCACTCCAGCCTGGGCAACAAAAGTGAAACTCTGTTTCAAAAAAAAAAAAGAAATCCCTTGGAAGAACTATAGAGATTATATGATCCAATTCTACTTGCCACCCCCTTTTACTTTCAAAGAAATAATGAAACTGGGGCATCTAGAGACTGGCTGATTTGACTAAGGCTACCAGGTAAACAGAGGAAGGTACTAGGTAAGCAAGTCGCTGGACTTCCCATTGTCAGTTCAGTACATCTAATTACACATTATGCTTTATTAAAAGCACTGGTATTTGAATAATGTAATAAAGTGGTGCAATTTGGAATAAGAAATTAACGATTTATGAAAAGAGAGTATGAAAGGTATTTTAAAAAGAGGCATGGTTAGAGACATGGCTCCAAGTACAACTAGTGACAATTAGTGAAAATCTTTGTAGAGAATATAAATTTCTCATACACATAACAGTTTTCAAAACCAGAAAGTCCTTTTATACTTCCTGTTAAAGCCTTCACATTTTTGCCTATTATACAAATGTTACATTGCCCTAAGTTGAATTACTATTTTATCAAGATCTGATTTTAAGCTGTACTAAAAAAGTAAAAGACAACGAAGAAATGTTAGTTTTATTGCAATAATAGTGACACAGTGAAAACGAGCCTATCCTGATGGAACTCTTACCTTATCCCCTTACTAAGCCCTGTTTACAGTGCATCTTCTGGCACCCCACAGAGTCATTTGAATTTTTGTCATTTGGGGTGAAGACTAAATTACAGGTTAATTTCAAACTGCAAGTAGATGTTGCAGGCTGGATTACTGTCATAGAAGAGAAATGGTACAGTAGCTACCACATATGATATAAAGCTTTATATAATCAGTATTTTCCCTTACTTCAGACACAGGTTCGGTTATTGCCTTTCTATAACTCTGCTTAACGAAAAACTACTAAAACATTTTTTAAGAGCAAAGCTAACACACATACGATTTTTTTTTAAGTGGCATGATTTGCTTTTCCAGATCAATTCCCAAACTAGAATAGTATTGTCTCAATTGTATTTCCCCCTACATTAGGTCAAAGCTATCAATAAATGAATGAATAATTGTTCTGTCAATCAAAGCGACACGTTAATAGTCTTTGGTCTCCAAATATATGCTTCTGAAGATTATACATGTTCAGAACAACAACAGAAAAAACAAGAATGGCAAAATGGAAATAATTCATATATTTGTCAGTAATTTTAAGAACCAATGTTACTGCTCTTAGGATGCCAACAAAATGAATTAGAAATTTATAATGAAATACCTCATACAAAGTGTACTGGAGATAAAAACAAAGTAAATGACTAGTCAGTTCTTCAGTCCCTATTATCTAATTCGGACTTGTGGTTGGATCATGTCATTTTAAAAGACAAAAATTTACATTCCCCACATAATTTATGTCACTATTAATCTTTCATAATAAAGCTTGAAAACTTAGGTGATGACGGAAATGAAAAATATGTTTAAAAGCACCTAAAATTTGCATTGCTATGAAGATAGCTATGTAGTCATAGGACTTTGGATTTCCATCCCAACTGATAAGAGTACTTATGCTACTCAGCTGTAGCAACGTGATACATTTCTAGAAGTGGTGATGAAAAGCAAATTATCACAACAGCTGAACTCAAGGACATTTGGGTTCCCTCCTAGTTCTAACAGGTTCTATGACTCTGTGCTTATTAGGTTCATCTAAAGTGTTTTGCACAAGCAGAGAAAATCATCAGGTGAAAATACCACTTTTATTAGGCAGGATGAAATCAGTAAGGGAAGCACAATATCAAAAGGAGAAAGGTAAAAATTGCTTTACAACCAAAATGTGGGACAACACATTACCAATCAGTCTACTTCTAGCTTCTGTGACCCAAAGTGATCTGTGAATTTCTTTGAGCACTAGAAATGATTTAAATCCTGCTAAGAAATAACAATAATCCTCTGAAGAAATTAATGTTGACACATTAATTTTGCATTCAAAACTTTGAGCCCATGCTTGTATCAGCATATATGCATAATTCCTAAAGCTTCACATACAAATATTTAAAGGCTCACTCCTAATAAAAATTTAGTCAATGCTTTCACAAATGACACTAAAAGAAAATCAACTCTGTAGCATACTATTACCCTTTATAAAAAAAAAAATCAAGACACCCCCCTCAAAATTTCAATAGACTACATAATTTTCATGCATAAAACTACGTACACTAATAAAAAGTAAGCAATCATTTTAAAAAGCAGTATTTTGTTTGGTGCAAATTAAAAATATAAGCTTTACCAAAATTCTGTAAGTCTATGAAATAAAGGTAAAATTGAGGAAAAGATTCTGTAATTTTAAATTTTAAGAACATATATATGAGATAGGCTGGGTCCAGCAAGAAATTTGGAAACTTAAAATAGAGTTAAATTCATTAACTTGAATAGACTCACTTGGCCTGCATCAAAATTCATTCTAGAATCTAGAATTCACTTCTTAAGGGAACATGACTACAAAGAGCTACTACAAACTACAATTTTTTCATTATTACACGGAAGAACATCCCGATAAATAAGCTTGAAGCTCCGATGGCAAATCTGATAGTACCACTCATTTGAGTCCTCATTCTGAAACTGAAGTATGCTATAACGTCACTGACAGAAAAACAAACACCATGTAGCATGTAAGTTTGCTGGACAGACATTTCTATGGGACATCCACCAATCATAAAACTATCTACTTTGAGATACCAAGAAACATGTACTCCTAAAACTCATATACATTCCTCAATACATATACCTGTAAAAATCATAAATGTATTTCATACAATCTGGAATTGTTAAAACAACCACGAGTGACAACTATCTATTTATCTATTAGTAGCTTTAAACTTAAGTCTCGTAATTTATACTAAGTAACTTTCTAATCCCAGAGAGTATACTTAAACAACAAAAGAAAGATGGCCGGGCGCGGTGGCTCACGCCTGTAATCCCAGCACTTTGGGAGGCTGAGGTGGGTGGATCACGCGGTCAGGAGATCGAGACCATCCTGGCTAACATGGTGAAACCCCGTCTCCACTAAAAATACAAAAAAAAAAAAAAAAATAGCTGGCGTGGCGGTGAGCACCTGTAGTCCCAGCTACTCGGGAGGCTGAGGCAGGAGAATGGCATCAACCCAGGAGGCGGAGCTTGCAGTGAGCCAAGATCGTGCCACTGCACTCCAGCCTGGGAGACAGCAAGACTCCGTCTCAAAAAAATAAAAATAAAAATAAAAATAAAAACAACAACAACAACAAAAAACGAAAGATGACAAATATTGATTTTTTTTATTTGGAATAAAGTACTTTAAACTTATACATTGTTAGTGAAGTGGCAATTTATGTAACAGGCTTCCTTACTGAAATGCGCTCAAATCTGCAATCACTACAGAAAAGAAGGGCTGTGGGGGGAGAAAAAAGTTTAAAAAAGAAAAAACAAACAAACAAAAACCAAACTGAACTCCTTAAAAACAAACTATCTTACAAATCCTCAGCAGATGTTCAATATGGGAAGAAACCAATTCAAGAGAAACCATCATCTTCACAAAAATTATTCTGTTAAGAGAACCAGCACTTGAAAGAGCTAAATGTTTTTTTTCTGTTCATCATCTATAAATGAGGAATCTTCAAGGAGACTGGTGTTGCAATTACAACTAATCCTCCCCAAAAAATTAACTGTGTTGAAGGCTTTGTAATTTCCCTAGGTACAATTTAGCTGTCACTTACTTTAAAATTTACTCAAACATGCGTTCGGAACAGCACTAACTTCACATGTCAAGTGCTTTCCAGCCAATTGAGTCTAAACTGGAAGTCGGTGTTAAACAACTGAATGATTAGACAAGATAGCTCATTTCCCTGCTCTTTTGTTCAGAATAAAATGCCACATTTACATTATCAGGCTCAACAGGATTTTCTGACAGAGGCAGAAAAAACCCTACTGCACACTGTCCGTACTAAGCACATGAAGCCTGTCATTTACCAATCATCCTTCAAAAAGCAATAGCCATGAATGTAACTTAATTACGACCCAATGATCCTTGACGAAAAATCATCTTATCACTGTCCTGTCCCCCTAGGGCAAATGAACCACTTTTTGTCCTTTGGCACTGATGATGCTAAATTCTTAATTGCAATAATGGAGTAAAAGAGCCAAACCTCCTTAATTTCCTTTCAGCACATAAGGAGTTTTACTCTAGAAGGCAAGCATTCCCATAAATAATGAAAGTATCCAGTACAAATGAAGATGCTAAAATTGAAGGGGAGCATGTGTAACAGAATCATCAACATTTTAAAAAGCCTATTTCCCATTTATGTAACATATTAAAGTGTTACAGTGAGTTCCAAAAACATTGTTACAAGTTCATCTTAGAGAAATTGTGACCTTTATGAACTCAAGATTAATTCAGCAAGAATTCTGGGAGGATAGTATATATGAAGTTCATGACACACTTAAATGAAATGCATATGTACATATACAGATTATAACACAAACCAGCACAAAAAAAATCCTTAATGGAAAGCAGAAATTAAAGCTGCTTTGATCACTTGCACCAACATAATCCAGTTAAACAGCTTCAGTTATTTTTTAATGCATGCAATGAAACCAAAATGGATCAGGTATAAAACAAGTGAACCTGAAACTGCATCATACAAATTTTTATGCTTTAATATCTGATGGCCCAGACTTTATTAATTTCATTTCCTTGACCATAACATGAAGACTAATAAAAAACTCTTTTAACCTATTTTAAAGCATTTCTTTCTTCCTTAATGTGACGGATTGCTGTCATCTCCATGAATCAGGCATGATTTTAATAAGATAAAATACTTACAAAAGAAAATGTTTGAAATAATACTCATTTGGACTACATGTAAAATACGTGGCTTAGAGACTGTAATGTAATGTAAATGAAACATAAAAATTTTGTTCAACTGCAAATTTTTTTCCATTCAATGCAAGTATTTTCATTTTGATAATACAAAAGCAGGTTAGCTTACCAACTTCTTTATAATTTTCTAAATCTGTTATTGTTTTGGATTTCCCTTGGCAAATGAATAAAAACAGTGTATTTTTTCTATACCCATAAAGCTTTTTTACATTGTCTAAATAACACAAACTGACACAGTATTAATTTCTCCTGTGTTTTGTCCAATGCTGGAAAAGTCGGTTCAGAATTAAGATCCACTGAAACTTAAAGAGATTATCTTTCTAAGGAACTCAGTCTCATGGAACTGCTTCAGAATTACAACACGAAAGTGATATTCTCTTTAGAGCCTTTTACAGTGACATGCCAAAAAGATGCCTGCCTTTGAATGAAAGGGTGAAGATTTATGATGATGTTTCAAAATGTTTTTTATACTTTTATCACAAGTTTGAATAAATAAAGCTCATTTGCCAGATGAGCTCATACCTGCTGAGGTCAATTACATGATATTACTGAAGATTATACACATTTAATCAAATCGAATACACGTGGACTTTTTGGCAGGCTAGTGTGGTTAATCCTAGCACTTGTCATGATTCTGAATTAATTAGCTATCTTCCATCAGTTGGAGAAAACACAATTGAGAAAGAGTTTCAAAGTCAGGGTTTTACTCCAGGCATTTCCCCTGACTACGAATGTTTCTGCTGTTTTCTGTAATTTCATAAATATAAAATTTCCTTTATCTTTTTATTAGTCTCATGACTCTGAAAGAGTCAATAGCCCTTTTTATTATGATAGATGAAACTGAAAGACCTCATCATGGAGACTGCATTAGCAAAGTAGTCTAAAAAAAAAAAAAAAAAAAAACTAGGCAAATAAAAACAGAATTAAAATAAAATAAAAATAGAAGATATACATATCTGAAAGTAGTAAAACACCAATAATGAAAAGACACTAATTTAGATTTCCTTAGCTCAATTAGCAGGGAGAGCCAAATTTGACTGAGACACAGAAATATCTGACTTCAGGATATAATCAGAAGCACAGAGGATGCTCTAGGTTAACATTTGAATTCCACACCGTTTCCATTTTCCCATGGGTAAGCTCTCCTTGGTTCATGAGCCCCATCTGCAGACCTCTTTCGGAAAGCTTTCAGGTCTCCTCTGTCTTCAAAGTATTTCTATTTGTAAGATACTTTTCTACGATGGCCTCATTTTCATTGTTAATTATTTTATTTTTGCCCGGTAGTGTAGGAGGGCCTAATTTTTCTGGGCACTGGGCCCATTTCTTTCAAATCCTTCTGTAGAGTTGCACATGCAATTTGCAGAAATGGGTCTTTTAAGCAATTGAAAAAAATTCTAATAGGAAGCATATTAATTATAGGATTTCTATATAAAGTTGGCTATGAATATGATAACTCAATAACACAGTCATTATTTGAATCACTATTTCTTTAAAAGGATGTAATGCTGAGACTGTAGAGGTTAAGATTTGACCAGTCATCTAACCCGGTAATTGTTTTTGATTGGATGGCAAAGGAATTATTTCATGTGTGCATGCATGTATTCACACATTTTTTTAAGTTAGTTAAAAGAGATGGTTTTTATTATACATTTAAAATTCAACACTAAATCATTTATTATATTCAATTAATTAAACTCTCTAATAAATAAAGAAAAACTACCAGAAATTTGGGGAAAACATGAGAACCGTTAAAATACATATTTTATTTTTCTCCTGGCATCAACAGGACAACATCCACACTACATCCACAGTGAGATATTTCTGCGTTTCAGTCAAATTCAGCTCTCCCTGTTAATTGAACTAAAGAAATCTAAATTAGTATCTTTTCATTTTCGGTGTTTTACTACTTTCAGATACGTATATCTTCCATTTTATTTTATTTTAATTATTATCTTCTATTTTTGTTTGCCTAGGGTTGTTTAAACTAATTTGCCAGTGCAGTCTCCATGTAATGCAGATTACAAACTATGTTAAGCTATGAAAAAGCTGACAAAGAAGATCTAGGAAATTTAAAAAGCAAAACAGAAAACAAAAACAAGTACAAAAGAAAAAGATGATAAATTACGCTTAGTCATCTTACTAAAATGTTTTATTCATTATAAAATAGACTGACTTTATGATTTACATTGCAAATAATGCCTTAAATTGAGCACCAACAAGAGCATTTCAAATGGAAAAATTAACAAACTCAGTAAATCTTGCCCTATCAGTAAAATTCATCTCCTACAACATTTATCAAAGCTAGAATAACTGTAATGGTATATGTATTTAAAATACCCTGTGAAGAAAAGGAGCACTGAAGATGCTTCAACACTTATTACCTGAATAACTGTCAAGACACATACTCAAAAGCCCCAGAAGATCCTTTTTTCTTATATTTATTAATAACACTTATCAGGCTCAAAACTAGGAAAAACTAGATTCAAATTCAAGTGATCACATGCTCCTACAAAAAAAGCACCAGGGACTATTCCATTGATATGTAAAGCCACAGGACCACAGGGCTGCTAGTGATTTTAAAGGTCACCTAGTTCATATTAGCCCTCTTACTCTGTGGTAAATGACCTCCAAGGCTTCCCCATCATGAGGGTATTTATAAAGTATAATCCGAAAATTATTAGACTCATTCTTTTAATGCCAACATTTAAAATTCAAAATTCAATTAACTTACTTTTCCAAGTGTACAGTGACCAATGGGAAACTTATGTTGGTGGATGGTTCTGCTAACCCTAGAGTCACGATGGCTTCATGCAACTGTTTTACTGTTTCAATTTCACCTCTTAAAGCTGCGCCATTTAGCATGTGGAAAAAGGACAAGGCTGTTGTATCTTTGATAAGAACATCCTTCTCTTTCATCTCCTTCAGAATGTTAATAGCATCTACAATGAAGTAACACAAAAGACCCTTAGGTAATTTCATGTAGGGAAAACAAACTGCTATTAAAACAGCATTTCAAGCCCAGCAGGAATGTAAATTCTAGTGTATAATGCCGATTTCAAGTTAATTACTACTTGCATTTCTAAACGAGACTACAATTATAAATCCACAATAGCATGGTTTTATCATTTCCCTGCAACTTTGACTACAAATTATAGATAGGGACTATGTGCCCACTCTGTACCACATAACCCTGTATGGTCTGCCCTATAGCTGTAAGATCCTCCTAAATGGATGCTTTTATCGTTCAGAGCTAACATCTGCTAAATCACACCATTGTTTCTTCAGCAGATGGCTTGTCAGGAGGCCAGATAATAAAGATGTGTTTACACTGTATATACAGCCAGACTAATGGTCTGATACCGATAGGGCCTGTTTGCTATGTCGATACTAATTAGCCAAGCAGAGCCAATGAAAGCTTTCCAAAAGACTGCATGTTAATACATTAGATTCATTAAGCTTCATTAGGAAGGCAGAAACAAACATTTTAGGATATGGAATAAGTGCATTTTTATAATGTTGTTCTTAATTATTACACAGACAAAATGTTTTGACCACTTTACAAAAAGTGATTTTAAAAAAATAGGCTAATCCTTAGAAAGAGTTAGAAAGGCGTCCTAGGAAAACATTCAATGTTCTAATAAATGATTTTCTCCATACATTTTTCCCTATAATAAAATTAAAACAATCTTTTCTGAAAATCAAAGGAAAAGAGGAAGGCTAAAAAGGAAATTTCAAAATAAAGCCAAATCAGAAAGTTAAGAAACAAGAAAATAGTATGAATGTATTATCAAGTGTAATTAATTTTATTAGGCTTAGCATTATCTCAACGAGAAAATTTGAGTATGCAAATCAGCTGTGTAATCAGCTATGCTTTTTCCATGAACCATTAAATAAAAACCTTAATTAAAATAAAAACTTTAAAGTATATATTTTGTTAATGTTATTAAAAAGTAAGGCAAAGACTACTGCAAAATTCAGGCGCATATATTAGGTTATGTTTATAGGTTTTACGTTTATAGGTTTTACGTTCAGCCTTCAGACCTTCTTAAGCAAAAACAAAGCCATTAGTGCAGGCACATAAGCAAATTGTGCCATAAGTCATGATCTTCAAACTCAATCCAAACAGCAATGCTAATAAAAACTAGCTGCAGAAATGCAAAAAGCACTGAGCTGTGCAAATGTAAATGACAAGCTTGCCAATCCATTAAAACTAATGGCCTACACTGTCCATGTAGCTCTGGTTGGATTCACATGCAAATTTCTATGCAAAGTGTTCAAGCACTTTGCAGGACATGATATCCATTAATATCAATTCACATGTTATTCCAGTGGCAAGATACTTGCATCACATATTTCCTTTATGTGCTGAGGCTTACCTTGGAGCTTGCCATGCTTTGCCAATACTCTTACAAGGCCTACATACTTGCCGGTGTCAAGGACAGCAGATGAATCTAAGCGGTCACTAAAAATTAAAGCCACATTTATATTGTTTTAAAAGTCAATTAACTGCTAAAAGAACAGCAACATCCATTTAATCACTTTTCAAAAGCTCATCAGAAGACCTGAACTAATGTTGGCCTCTACGCTTCAGTTAGGATTTCTTTTTGAAGCCATATACAAGTTCACACGAAATTATATTCAAAGTGACTAGTGAAGTAAAAGCCCAACACTACATATATATTGCATCACTCCATCTGCAAAGGATACTTATGAAGAAACTCTTTGGCTTTAAGTGATTCTAACCTTCATCACGAATACTTGACATTTTTACTTGAAAAATCTAACAGGATAGGAAGCCAAAGGTACCTGAGAAATGGATAGAATTTTATTTACACTACAATATTGAAAGGGAAATGTTATCAAGCCTCTTAAAACAGTTACCACCATCACCACTGTTGTGATGATATATAATCAATGGAAAAAAACCTTTGGTTCTAAGGACTAGAATGTCTTATCATACTTAAACAAAGACACCTTGCTGAACATAAGCCACAATTAATTAAAGAGCCGTATAATACGAAATTTCAAAAACACTGACAACAAAAGAATTTTTAAAAATGACATTATATAAGAGAGTAATATTCCATCTAGATAATCTATCAAGGTCTGTAGAGCAGAATAAATGTTGACAACTTGTTTCAGTGCCAGGGTACTCACAATTCTTCTTTCAAGTTCAAGGCATCTTCTACTTTATCATGTCGACAGCATAAATTTATTAAAGCTGCATAGCCACCAGTAACCATGTCGGATTCATATTTTGCTTTCAATTCAAGGGCTTTTTGCATATTCTAAAATACAGCATAGATGTGAAAAAGAAGAAATCAGTGTGAAGGTAAAAATGTCACATTTTTAGCTTTACTGTTCAGAGTTTAGAAAAAGTTAATAGTACTTTAAAAATAAATGGTTTCATGTTAACAACCTGACTCTGCCCCTTGATATTTTTATTCACCTCTAAGAAGTGGGCAAGTCTTACACGTGTAGGGGTTAAAAGATGTGTTATCTGTAATATAAAATAGGCCATTATTTATGCCAAATTTGATGTTTTAGGCTTTGTGTATGGTATTATTTAAAAAAGACTTCCAGATTAAGTAATTCCCAAATCAAATCCTAATCACAGTCTAATTTCAGGATGCAGAAATATGTATCATTGAAAAGTTTCTCAGTCTAGTTTAGTATCCAAGTAATATGAAGAAATATTTTAGAATTTAACAGTAGCAGATTATAATCATAAAGTTAGTCATGATATTTTTTCCCTAAAACTACAAGTTTATGGCTCAATTATATTGAACTAGAAAGTGAAAAATAGTCTAGTGATATCCCACAAATTGCAGACATACACTAAAATGAACACAAAGTACAGCTGGATGCCCGCTGAAAAAAGGCAAGGGACCCTTTATCTCAGAAAGAGCTTTTTTCCAGCAGGAAAATGGAATTTCAATCCCTGCATTAACAACCTAGTAATATTTGACTTGCAAATGACTACTGCGTGTATCAGTTGCTTGACAATCTAGATATAAGAGACCGGAGCCATGGCTTGAAAGGACATTTGGCATGTATGATAAACCTATCACAGCTGTTACTATCATTCACTTTGCAGATTATCGTAAACAAACTACAGCAACCAGAAAACATGCCATTCAAGGTGTAGCTGAAATTAGTTAACCTTTCATTTAATTGCATTCTTTACAAGCCTGACATATAACGATCAATTGTAAAAATCATAAATATTATATTTGGTTTTTCTTATTGTTACCAAGAATTTTTTGCCTTAATAATATTTAAATATTAAAACAAATGTTACCTCTTCTGAACAAAGCACTAATATGAGTTGCTTTAGGACATCTCTTATAGGTTGATTTTCAGCTTTTAGTGTTTCAAGTGTGGACTCCAATTCAGATGATGTAAGTTGCACAGTCTACAGAAAAGAAAAAAGAAAAGAAAAATTTCCTGAAAAAGGAAATATAGTATGCCTTTTGTCACTCTTCCCTTTAAACTGACTTTCCTTTCTACCTTCCTAAATGTCATAAATGCTATCAGGGATATTAATTGGGGAATCCATGGATGGACTCCAGGGATTTACAAACCTTCTGAGATTATATGCAAATTTCTTAGATATGTTGATTTTTCTGAGGTGGGGAACAGGTTTTACCAACTTCTTAGAGGTATACAAGATGATAAAAATGTGAGGAATCACTGGTTTTATAAGTACACAATCCAGAATACTCATTAAATATGGGTATTATAGCATGTAGAATCTAGTCAAAATCCTACTTACTTTTTGAAAGTCTAAATTCTTACTCTCAACCAACAAGTGAGCATCCTAAAATTGAAATTTAAATTAGCCCAGAATTAGAAAACACACGTAAAAATACATCAGCAAACATCAAAAGCAAATTTGTAAGTCTCACCTCATATTACTACTTTTCATCTTTCCAAAATTTTAGACATTCTCTTCATACTTTATTAATCAATGTAATTAACGTTATAAATATATTTATGAATATATAAATAGTATTTATGAACAATCAATGAAAAGCTTCGTTTTAATGGCTGTCATTGAAACAAATTTTTTTTCTGACCAAAAGCATCATATTTAAATAAAATTTTAACATGCTGTTATATGTAAGTTAAGCATTTTATCCAGTTGATTGCTATTTCACACACACCTTAATCAATTCAGGAACATGGTAGCTTTCCAGGAGATTACGAATGCCTCTGTAGATATTTTCAGGAATTTTTACATTCTGTGAGAAGGGAAGGGAGGGGGGAAAAAACCTGAGTTTTAGACAACCAAACTGAAATTTGTCTAACAGAAATTATCTCAGACATAATTTAAGTCTCCAACTCTTGCATGTCATTGAGAAGTGGTCTGGTTGTACTTAAAAGCAGCAATTTCAAATCTAATAGATACATGTCAGGCAGGACAGGCATTATATAGCAAAAAACGAAATGGTACCATCTTCTCCAGCTGATGGAAGTATTGTCTCAAATGCTCCTCCTTGGCCTGTACCTCTGAGTCACTCATGCTGTCAATCAAGTTATAAAGAAAATAGCCAACAGCTTCTGTGGAAAAAAACAAGAGAAAGCATTCCACTAAAATTACCGAGACTGTCATGTTATCAAGATTAATTTATAAGAAATCATTTTGGTGTGAGATGTCACCCTGATGAGAGGCTCTGAAATGGCAACAATGATCACTGAGGCATAGAGATTATGTGGTTTGGGAGCACATATCTAACTGGTGAGTGAAAGGAATATTAATTATTTTCAGACCGAGTGACAGCTTTTCAGTACTGAATCTTACTTCAATCTATTTTTTTTCCACCACTCTGTGACAGAAGTGGTCCTGCCCAAGGCCTTACCCCTTTCCTGTCCAAATCACACGTAATAAGAATAAATAAATGTCTTGTACACATTTCTATACTGTTTTTTTTTTGTGGACAATATTTAGGGAAGCACATAAAATTAGAAAGGATTGTTAAATGTTGAGTAAAGAAAGTTAAACAATTTTAATAAGCAGATACAGTAATCCTGTGGAGAGCTGCCTATTAGCCAATGAAAAACCAAGATTAACAAAGATGTTTTGTAACAACAGTAATTTTCCTTTGCATTCAAGCATAAAATGTATAGGGCCATGTTACAGTAATACCTAGGATAGAAATGTAAACTTTCAAGAGGGGTACCATCTTACAGAAAACTATATAGTCTAGCTTCATTATATGAAAAATGAAAATCATTAAATGTCAAAACAATGTATTTGGGGCAATAAATTACATTTAAGCGGAAATCCACAAGAACCTTCGCTACATTTTATGTTTAAAATTAACTACACCTGCAAAACATTAAAAGCACATAAATACTAAGAATCACTGATTTTTAAGCCTATTTCCATAGATGTTAGAAGAAACATTTCCCCAATATCTGAAAAGAAAAAGCCTCCCAACCCTGTCTTTAGAAAAAATAATTGTAACAAAATCAAACACTTTAGATCTCAAAATGTTGTAATCAATATAAAGATTTATAACCAAATGTTTTCAAATTCCACTTTAAAAAATAAAGTATTTACTGCTGTAATCCTCCTAACCCATCATTACACAGAAAAATGGATTTGTGGATAAGTTACAATCATCGAAATTGAAACGCTACCCGTCGGTCCTCGAGGCTCCTGGCAATAACGTCCATCCTTGTACAACAATTCTGTTATCTGGTAAGACAGAAAATTCGTGCATTGCAGCAAGAGAAGCAAACAAGAACAAACACAATCTGAAATTGAATTCTTGAAATAATAAAACCTCTCCCCAGTAAGGTACTATTCTATTTCACAGTAATTCAAAACCACCCCCACCCGCCAAGGAGATTGTTTTGTTTTTAAATAATAGGTTTGTCTTTTAAAAACAAAAACAAATCCATGTTGAAGGAAAACTGCAATGTTTTGTGAAATGTCACACAGAAAGACTCTAAACTGATTTATAAATTGATATATAAACATCACTCTGAATGAACTGTTATAAATAGAAAAGAGCTTATAGGAATTATTGACCAATATTATTCCTCATTATATTGCTTTTGGTCTTGTTGACACTGAACTGGTTTCCTCATTTTATATTAAGTTTTACTGAAATATAAAGTAAAATATCCTGAACTGCTAAATAACTTACATTTTTTAGATATTTAATAACAACTTCCATTCATCTTAATGAGACTAAAACAAAAGGGGTCTAAAGATTAAAGTGTCTATTCTCATGGATTCTTTTTTTTTTAATTTCCAACTTTTATTTTAAGTTCAGGGGTACATGTGCAGGATGTGCAGGTTTGTTACATCGGTAAACGTGTGCCATGGTGGTCGGCTGCACAGATCATCCCATCACCCAGGTATTAAGCCCAGCATCCATTAGCTATTCTTCCTGATCCTCTCCCTCCTCCCATTGGATTCTTATCAATTGGATTCACAAACACTAAAAGACACACATAACTATTATTTTTCAACATTAACTCTGCCAGCAAAATTTTAGTAGAAAACCAAATATAGGTTTCATGATAAAAATTATTACATAACCTATGGTATTGGCTTGTAACGTTAAAAGCACCTTATGATTTGCAATATTAGAGGGACTTACCTCGCTCCAAAGATTTATATTCATAGACCTGCAGAGGGCAGCAAAGGATCGAAAATAAACCCAGGTTTATTTTCAAGTATATGCATACTTGTAATATGTACAGATCAAAGTATTAAAATTAATAAGTAAATAAATGTTTGCTGTATCAGGATGAATTTTCAGGACAAAGGTAATTTAGAAAGGCTGACACTCACCCACCTCAAATATTCAAAATAGGCCAGGCCTGGTGGCTCACATCTGCAATCCCAGCACTTTGGGAGGCCAAGGCAGGTGGATCACCTGAGGTCAGGAGTTTGAGACCAGCCTGGCCAACATGGTGAAATCCCGTCTCCACTAGAAGTAGAAAAATTAGCCGGGAGTGTTGGTGTATGCCTGTAATCCAGGCTACTCGGGAGGCTGAGGCAGGAGAATTGCCTGAACCCGGGAAGCGGAGGTTGCAGTGAGCCGAGATCGTGCCACTGCACTCCAGCCTGGGAGACACAGTGAGTCTCAAAGTGACTGCCCACAGATTGCTTGTTACTTGTAATGGGAAAAACAGTTACTACATAATGGAGAAATCCCAACACCTGGACCGGGTGATCAAAACTAATGTGCCTTTAAATATAATTCCCTGAGAAGACAGAGTATCACTCATGTGGTCTTCCAGCAGGGGATAACTTGAAGCTGTAACAGTGAAGAATAAAATACAGTAAAATAAGATAAAAATTAGGTATCTTTTTTTGGTTAGGCTACAAAGAGCTTTAATTCCAAGGAATCTTAACTTGCCAGTAGCCTACCACATTTGAAAAACAGGACAAGGAAAGTAGAGAACAATCAGAGTTTGCAAGAAAGTGAGGGGCTAATGTGCCAAAGTGCATAATATTAAGTGGTAAAACTTGCCATGGTTCCTTTGCTGTATCCCGGACCCATCTGGGCATTTGATGAATTCTGATTATCAACTAGGATTAATTTTGTCAGGTATGATATTACGGTGGTTATGTTGTTTTATTTAAAGTAAGTTCTGAGATATATACTGAAGTATTTATGGGTAGATGACAAAGATCCATAGTTATTTTTAATAGTCCAGCAAAGAAAGAGAAGGGGAATGGTAAAACAGGACTGCCAAAATCTTGGCTGTTAAAGCTGGGGGATGGGTACATGGCAGCTCTACTTTCGTGAAGGTTTAAAAATTCCAAAATAAAAAAATAAACACATACCATGTCCAGTCTAAATTTTGTACTTCTATTTTAACTCTCAACATTAGTAAGCTGGGCTTCCTTTATTTATTTATTTTTAAAATTTACTTTAACCATATATTTTTATCAAAGTATCAACTTACTGTCAAATAAAAAATAGTTAAGGCTGGGTGTGGTGGCTCACGCCTGTAATCACAGCGCTTTGGGAGGCTGAGGTGGGTAGATCACCTGAGGTCGGGAGTTCAAGACCAGCCTGACTAACATGGAGAAACCCCATCTCTACTAAAAATACAAAATTAGCCAGGCGTGGTGGCGCATGCCAGTAATCCCAGCTACTCAGGAGGCTGAGGCAGGAGAATCGCTTGAACCCGGGAGGCGGAGGTTGCGGTGAGCCAAGATCGCGCCACTGCACTCCAGCCTGGGCAACAAGAGCGAAATTCCGTCTCAAAAGAAAAAAAAAAAACAACTGGATATTAAGCTGCCCTCAAACGTGGCATGAAGTACCTAAGGAAGGCATGGAGATAAACTTTCAAAATTTCACATATACCTAAAACAACTGAAAATGACTAAAAGCACTACCTTGAATGTGAAGCTTCATGGTGAATGCCACAGGTTTGAAACCAAAACAAAAATAAACGGTATCCTTCAAAACCAAGCTGTTGTAAGGAACAGTTACCAGTGCCCAAACCAGTGCAATCTGACTTCTGGCCCCAAACTCCACTGAAACTACTTATGCTAAAATTACCAGTGATTTTTAATTCAAAATTCAACTAACATTTTTTTGGTCCTCTTTCACTAAGTTTTGGAATTTCTGTTGTTGTTAGCCATTATCTGCTAGATGCTACTCAACCTCTTTCAGGAACTGTCCTTCCCTACATGCCCCTTAAAAGTGACCCAGACTTTGTACTAGGTTCTAAGTGCATTATATTTTTTATCTTAAAGACAATCCTGCATGTACGTATTTAAGTTCTTTGTTTCCCAGAAGAGGAAACAAATTTGGTAAGGCGATGTAAAATACCTTCAACTGGAAATTCCACAGTCCCCTAAAAGAATCCCATAAATTGTGAATGATCTCCTAATGTTTCCTGTCCCCCTATCTGCCTTTACCTGTACTCTCCCCTTTGAATATCTGTCAATCTTAACTTCATCATGTAAACCTTTCAATGGCTCGAAGCCATGTGACTCAAGGTCCAAATATCCTAACTTAGAATGAGACTACTCATAAAGACCCCTGGGCTACCATTTTGGCTTTATTTCTTGTAATTATTTCATAGTTTCTTAAGCTACTACCAATCTACTTACACTTCCCCAGAACCACTGTTCTCTCAGCCTCAATGCCTCGGCCTGAAAAACCCTTCCCTTCCCCTCTACAAACTCAATATGCCTCTCAGCAATTTCTCTGCAGCCCCTGCCCTGATTCATCCCTTCCCCAACCTTGGCAGAAGACTGAGTACCTTCTATAAACATTCATAGTTACGAAGACTAGTTTTTGGAGTAGAAGAAAGAAATCACCTGTAGTTACACAAGTGCTCTGAATTAGGCACATATTCTTATGAAAAATGCCAAGTTACCACAACCTACGATTTTTCTTTATCTACAATAAGAAAAATTAACCAATGGTATACAGTTTTAGGACTTACATGTTGAAATATGTTCCTGGAAGGAATCCGCTTAAACTTATTTTTACTATGTCAAGAATAAAGACAGATTTGCAACTGTGCAAACACTGGAGGCTCCTGGGTAGTGTCCCCTTTGTTAAACATATTTAAACATTTTATCTAACTTTAAAGTGGAAAGTTAAAAAAATGACCAATCTGTGGCTAGTTTTAAACCCAGGAATCAATTAAAAATTTTAGATGCTAACAAACAGGGAAAGCACCAAAAAAGGATTTAAGTCAGGGGAGACGCAGAGCACCTAGCTTGGTGTGGTTTAAAGATAAGGTAATCCATTTTCGAATATTTTCAATGTTATCTATTCAAATAAAAATATAAATAATCTGAAAGCACACATAAATTCAGTTATAGTATACATAATCCAATCACTAAAAACAAAACAAAGACACCAAGATTCTCAGAGCTTCTAGCTGGGCTTCTTCCACTACAATAGTATCAAAACTCTTCTCTTAAAGATACTCAATAATGGCCAGGCCGGTGGTTCATGCCTGTAATCCCAGCACTTTGGGAGGCCAAGGCTGGGGGTTCACTTGAGCCCAGGAATTTAACACCACCCTGGGCAATACAGCGAGACCTCATCTCCATTTTGAAAAGAAAAAAACTCAGTAACTTTTCCAAATACCAAACTGAACACCCTCTTTTTATAGGGCTATCTCCCCTACATCTCTGTAACTTGCGACACTGACTACAAACTCCTTTGACTCCTTCCAGTAACTATCCAAGATCTTATCCTTACATTTCTCTCTCATCTCTGCAACAAGGTTTAAAAAAAAACATATTTCACATGTGACAGTGTATAGATAAATATCCCTCAAATGCAATACCTTACAAATTGACAACAAAAATTGTATGACCTAGTAGAAAACTGGCAAAGAATTTAAATAGGTTATTTCATAGAAGAAATCCAAATGGCCAATAAGTATGCTCTAACCCTGCTTAATAGTTAGGAAGATGCAAATTGAAAATTATACATTAAGATGTCATTTGTCATCCATCAGCTTGGCCAAAATTAAAAAGCATTGTAATGTCTAATACTTGTAAGTTTGCAGGAAGTGGGTACTCTCATACATTGCTGGTAGAAGTGTGAATTGCTAATCTAAGTATGAGCTAATACAACTTTTTCTGGAAAAGTAGTATGGTAGTAGCTATTAAAGAATACATACACTCTTGAAAACAGACGTCTCTTTTTTACATTCTAGCCACTGAGGGGGGATAAACTAATGTATATATAATATATATGTACACACATGTGCATGCATGTGCACAAACACATATACATATGGACATAATATGTAATGTACCACTTTGTTTTGGTAGTGGCAAAAATTAGAAGGAATCTGAGTCCATTAATAAAGGAGTGATTGAAAATTTATGGTATAGCCCTACCATGGAATCCCCTCCAGATATAAATGCTTAGATTTATATCAGTAGACCAAGAGATGTTCATGTAGTGTTGTTAAGTGAAAAAGAAAGATGAGTAGTATGTAAAGTATGATATATTACTTTTGTTTAAACAAAACAAAGCAAAACTTCAAACACCTCTTACAGGTCTCTGCTTCTATACAGAGAAAAGCATGGAAGGATACACTCCAGGCTCTTAATTTTGGCTTCCACGATACGGGTTTTTATAGGGAGAGGGAAAGTACTTCATGAACTCCATTAAATTATAGTCATAATTTTATAATATGCATCTTTTGCAGGGAAAGATGAGCCATAGCTTCCAACAAATTCTCAAAGAGATCAATGAATCAAAAAAGGTTAGGGCAGCAGGTGCAGAGGCTCACACCTGCAATACCAGCACCTTGGGAGGCAGAGGTGGCAGGATCACCTGAGGCCAGGAGTTCAAGACCAGCCTGGGCAACACGGTGAGACTCCATCTCCACAAAAAAATTTTAAAATTAGCTGGGCGTGGTAGTGCACACCTGTAGTCTTGGCTAAATGGGAGCCTGAAGCAGGAGGATTACTTGAGCTCAGAATTTGGAGGCTGCAATGAGCCATGTTCGTACCACTGCACTGCAGCCTGGGTGACAGAGCAAGACTCTGTCTCAAAAAGAAAAAAAAAAAAAAAAAAGAAAAGAAAATTATGAATCACTGTGCTACACTGCTTCTCTCAACAGAATAACCTGGGCAACATAGTGAGATCCCGTCTCTACAAAAAAATTTTAAAAATCAGCCAGCCATGGTGGCATGCGCCCATAGTCCCAGCTGCTCGGGAGGCTACGATGGGAGGATCGCTTGAGCCCGGGAGGTAAAGGCTGCAGTAGGCTGATTAACCCACTGCACTCTGGCCTTGGGGACAGAGCGAGACCCTATCTCAAAAAAAGAAACTCATTCTTGTGTGAACTACCAATAACTGATTCAACAAGGATTACCAATGGCTGCTAAAACCAAGGAGGGAAAAGTAATGGAAAAACAGGGTAGACACAGTCTCAAATTACCACCCCATAGTCTTCTTAGTAATTACAAAGTGGACAAGGGGCCTCTGCAAGAGAGATGTGCGAATCACCATCTTAACCAAGTGATCAAACTTTGGTGGTGGCATCATTATTGCACACCTGCCTTTATATCTGTTGATGTGATACAATGTAAGACGTGCCCATCACCCATGAAGTACTATTGCTAAAAATGCTTAATCTGAGTCTCATCATGGGAAAAAAAAAAAAACAGAAAAATACAAAATGTAGAAGAGACATTCCAGCCTGGGCTCTTAAAAAACAAAACAAAACAAAAACCAGTGTTATTAAAAAACAAACAAAAAAGCTAAGGAAATTGTTCTGCATTAAGATAATAAAGAGATGTAGCAATCAAATCCAATGCATCAATTTAATTGACTCCTCAGTCAAAAAGTGAAACATCTATAAAGGAAACTTGTTAAAGTGGGAAAATCTGAACATGGACTACATATATCAGATGGTGGTACAGTATTGTTAATTTTTTCAGAGTGATACTGATGTTGTGATTTTAGAGATGATGACTTTATTCTTAAGAGAAATATGCTGAAAGATCCAGTGTCATTATGCATACAACTTCAAGTGGTTCAGCCAAAAAGAAAAAAACGTGTGTGTGTGTGTGTGTGTGTGTGTGTGTGTGTGTAGGTACTTTCTTGTGTAGAGAAAGAGGGTATGAGAGAAAGTAGACACGGCAAAATATTAACAACTGGCAAATCTACACAAAGGGTATTACAGAGGATGGGCACAGTGGCTCATGCCTGTAAACCCAGCACTTTGGGAGGCCGAGGCAGGTGAATCACCTGAGGTCAGGAGTTCGAGACCAACCTGGCCAACATGGTGAAACCCCATCTCTACTAAAAATACAAAACTTAGCCAGGCGTGGTGGTGGGCACCGGTAGTCCCAGCTACTCAGCAGGCTGAGGCAGGAAAATCACCTGAACCCAGGAGGCGGACGTCGCAGTGAGCCAGGATCACACCACTGCATTGCAGCCTGGGCGACAGAGCAAGACTCCGTCTCAAAAAAATAAATCAAATAAAAAAGGGTGGTATGGGAGTATTCCCTTTTACTATTCTTTCAGCTTTTATGTTTATCTATTTTCAAAATAACAAAATTGGAAGGGCAAGGTCATTAACATTCTCTGAGCACACAGAAGGGGAGAATGATACTTTACTGAATAAAAGTCACCTTGCAATTAAATGCTCAAAGAATAAGCTGAACATACATATGCAAATTGGTCTGTAACTCCAACTTGCCATTTTGAAACAGGACTTTCTTCCTGGAAACAGGATCTTTACCAAACCTGTGTGCATTTCTCAGAAAAGATGACACAAAGCTGCCTAAATTTAATTCAATGACTTAAAAGAAAAAATTAAACAAGCAAAGGTTATTTCAGGTAAACTGAATGTACACTGAAAGATAAGAATATTTGTATTTTTCCTCATGCAATAAGTCAAAAGGACAGGAGAAATCAGTCCATGTTCAGGCAAGGAACATTTAAGTTGATCATCTTACCTCCTGAAGCCTAGCAGTAGGCTACTTCTTATAGACTGCAGCGAGATGGGCAATGTATTTGATTTCACTGCAAAAGAAAATGACCATCATTAAATCTCAGACCAAACAAATTTAAAAACCCTGTATTATCAAATTGAAAACATATTTATACCAATACCTTTTAGTTTTCATTTTGGAAATTGTATTTAAAAAATAAAAATGTTTTCATACAAAATTAGACAATGCAGTAATATATATCTGCAATATAAGCTACCCTTTTAACGTATTTTTAATTTTCATGAATATATACAACTAATTAATTTATAAATATCCTTTCCTATAAATGGCAATTACTAACATACCAGCAGAATCAGAGTCAGCCTGGTACACACACTGAGGCTGTATGTTGTTGGACATGGTGGCACCATGAAGAGAGAGACTGTAATACCCTACAAGACTTTTGTTCTTTAAAGACAGCACATGAGAGGAAAAATTCTTTTCTCGGAGAGGTGTTGGGTTCTGTTGAACCATTCATACTTTCTCATTTCATTTTCCACTATGATCAATGACCTGCACTCACACAAGAGTAACCACCTAAAGTAATAATAAAATAGGTCATACGTCCGTTATGTAATTGACTTATATTGATCTTTCACTTTTCTGAGTATTTGTTTGCTCTACTACTCATTTTGACATTTAACAGTCTACAACCTTGTATGTTTCAATGCTGACATTATAAGCCTGATTTGCCATTGTGTAAGAATCACACCTTACACTGACTCTTCACATAACCCTTGCCAAACTAGCAAGGGATGAGATCACAGTAGGCATTCCCTGAATTTGTTTTTCCCTGTAATTGTACTAAAATGGGACCATGTTATAAGTAATAGAGTTAATCTTTTCACTATAAATGTAATGTGGCTACTGAATAATACAAAAAGGATGGGATTAGAGAGGAATTCATAGTAGAAGCAAATTCTGAAGACAATAAATACAGTTTAAGTGAAGGTTAAGGTACCTGGTTTCATTAAAGAAAAATCCCATGGGAAAAGTCATGGCCCATTTTAAGTGTTCATCTCCCCAAAAATAACAAATTAACCCACACACATAAGGAGAATTGTTTTAGATCAGCTGCTATATTCCTTGAACAAGGAGCCTAAGTTTCTCAGTGCTTTTATAGTGTTTGAAAATCTAAAAGTCACTTTTAAAATGACCTGCACTGAGTCACTCAAGGAATTTTAAAGGGAACACCACCACATGCCTCTCAGCAGCTTTTAATTTCATGTGATCAAATTAGTTTTCCATGCCTACAAACACAAGTGGGAAAATGTTCTCTACTACTCCAAAACTTAATCAAGATAATCCATTTACTGTTCTCTACTACCTGACATTTCCTGTGATGTAGTAACCAGTAGTGCATTCCTAAGAGCTGCCTGAAGCACGTACCAGCAATCATAGAACGAACCGCTCTTCAAAGACTTGTAAATCAAAGCTGGAGGGGAAGGCACTGACAGGAAAAGCTCAAATACTTGGCAAACTTCTTGGCATTTTTCTTTTTTAAATCTAATAAACAACCTCTTGAAAATTCATTTTTATACTATTCAAAATAGTATTCTACAGAATATTGTCAAGTTTTTATTCATTAAAAAGATGACCAGAAACATCTCAGCTATGAAGGCTGCTGACAAAAAGCATCTAGTTTCCTTAGCAACAAACAAGCCTGAAAAATCAAGAGGTTGACAACGAAGTGGAATGGATGATATGATAAAAGGAAAAGGCAGCTCTCATGGATCCACCTCGTGAGCCCAGATTCCTCTGCTAATGCTTCTCTGTTTTCTTCTTGTCAGATTGGAAAATCTATATAGTATACAGAGTGGAAGGCAAAATCAATACACTCAGATAGCAGCCAGCAATAATACTCAATATTTGACTCAAATAACTACAACAGTCACCATTTTTCATACTGGACACTTTGCCTTTCCCTTACAATATTACAACAAATATTTTAAGCGACATGCACAAGTAATACATACCAATAACCTGGTTGGTATAAAGGTTCCACCCATACAGTTTGAATATAACATTAATGAGAGCTTAACTGTTAACATTTTAGGGAGCTAAAAATTAATTATGTCTGTGTTTTGTTTGTAAATGACATATTTTTCAGAAGATCTGAAAAACTGTCAAGCAACACCATGGACGTGTTAAAAAATAAGGTCTCTTAAGAACGTCTTATTTATTAATTAAAAATAAAATACAGGCCAGGCGCAGTGGCTCACACCTGTAATCCCAGCACTTTGGGAGGCTGAGGCAGGCGGATCACTTGTGGTCAGGAGTGGTGAAACTCTGTCTCTACTAAAAATACAAAAAATTAGCTGGGCATAGTGGCATGTGCCTATAATCCCAGCTACTCGGGAGGCTGAGGCAGGAGAATCGCTTCAACTCAGGAGGCAGAGGATGCAGTGAGTCAAGTTCGCACCACTGCATTCCAGCCTAGGTGACAGAGTGAGACTGTGTCTCAAAAATAAATAAAATAAAATAAAATAAAGTGCAGTATGGTGAAAAGAACAAAGCTAAAGTCTGAACATCTTACTTCTGGTTCAAATCACTAACCTTGGGCAAATCATTTAACTTCTCTATGCCTTTAGTCATCTATCAATGGAGATAATTGTATTAACATGTGATGAGCATTATAAAGCACACTAGTGTTTAAAAATGTTTAGTAAACATTTGCTGTGTTTTTGTTAATGAAGACTAGAAGTCTTTATAATAGATGTTAGTTTAAAAAACACTTCAGAAACAATACCGCATTTGATTTTCACAACTCCCCCAAGTTAGGTAGTACTATCCCTGTTTAGTAAAAGTGAAGCAGAGAGGTTAGAAGACTTCTTCTAAATCACATAATCGGTGGCCAAATTATAAAGAATATCCACGTCTTCAGGGTCTCCAGGTCCAGCCTTCAGTCTAACACCATATTACATATAATATTCAATGTCCTTATAACATTAAAATTACTTCCAAATTATCCACAAGTTCAACTCATAAACCGTTTTATCAGTCTGGCTTTAACAAAACATATAAACCTTCCTTGCTTTCATTGCGTGAACCACCCTGCATGCCCTCAATAGTAACTGAAATAAACATCTATCAAGTTTACCGCTAATGTTGTATACTTACAAAATGATAATACAAAGTCTAAGTTCCCATTTGCTGCTTCACTTCTCAATCCAGCTTGAGAAAACATATCACTATCAGACAGACATCCATTTTCCTGGAGATAAAGCATATATCAATGAGAATACATCTCAGCTAACAATATTTTGATAAGCCAAAGATCCTGTTTTCCTGATTATTTGAATCACCATATTCTCTGATTTTCTAGAAAAATAGATAAGCTCAGTAATTGAATTTTAGCAAAAATTTAAAGATGACATTTCAGCATTCTAAGTTAAATGCTTATCTTCAAATACAGATGGTCTGATGCCTTTAGAGGGCCTTACTTCCAGGATGAGTTTACTACTGAGGACACTAGAATAATTCTCCCATTCAAGACAAAACAAAGATTCAATGCATTAATCTAAAATATTTTGGGGCATACAGTTTGGCCAGGATCTAATTTAATGTAATTTAACTCATAGAGGCTCATCACTTGTCCCAACATCATTTGTTTAACAATTTAAATATATGAGTCAAAATTTAGCTCAAATACATTTATTGAATCATTTTATTATAGTATATTAAAAAACCACTTAATCAGCAATAAGCAAGGATAAAAAATAAATTATGGCATACCCATACAATGAAACAGCATACAAGCATAAAATATATTTTGTGGAATTAAATACTGTTATGAAAAGGTGTCAAATGAAAAAAAGTTCATCATGAAACAAATATGAGAGAAGTGTAATTTTTCTTCAGGTCTCTAGTAAGCCAGAAACAGAGACTTTTAGGGGGAGTTTGAAAGTAATGAAGGCAAAAAGAAGTAAGTTTTTAAAAGGAAAATAAGAATGTTCTTTCTTTTTATTAAACTATAGCCTCTGTCAAGTTAGGTGGATAATAGGAACAGTATAATAAGAGTTGCTCGATAATATGAACAGTATACTTTCTTGCTAAAAGAGATTTCTCCAGCCTAGTATACATCTGAAAGAACATACATGCTAAGCAATGACTATCTCAAGGAACTATGGACAGATTGTACAGCCCTACCACTTACTTGTGTTCTCTAATTTATCAACAAACATTTATTATGTAATTTCTGAAAACTAATTTAAAAATGTACTTTTTAATGCCCAGCTGAAGACAAAAGGCATTATCAGGTAGGGCGCAGTGGCTCACACCTGCAATGCCAGCATTTTGCGAAGCCTAGGCAGGCTGATCACCTAAGATTAGGAGTTTGAGACCAGCCTGGCCAACATGGTGAAATCCCATCTCTACTAAAAATACAAAAATCAGCTGGGTGTGGTGGTGGGCACCTGTAATCCCAGCTACTTGGGAGGCTGAGGCAGAAGAATCGCTTGAACCGGTAGGCAGAGGAGGTTGCAATGAGACCAGATCGCACCACTGCACTCTAGCCTGGGCGACAGAGCAAGACTCTGCCTCAAAAAACAAAGAAAAAAAGCAGATCAATACTGTGAGTTCTATTAAGCACTTAACAGAGTAGTTGTTTTCAATCCCAAAACACTCAATACTACTGAAATTCCAGCAATGAAGGCAACATAGTTGAGATGAGAATGAATGTAACCAAATTTGGGATAAGTTTCCAAATTAGATCTGCTGTTCCCTAAGATAAGTCACTAGTGAGAAAGCCAAAGCAGTAACCACAAAGACACTGATCTGGGGGCTGTATTTCTGCAAAGAAAGAAAACATCTGAAAAAGTAAGAATATGTGGGAAAGTTACTTAAAAAATTTTTTTTAACAGTAAAATATGTATAGTACAGGCTCAACATACTCCACTAAGAACTTAGGGAAAGAGGTGAAGACACTGAAGATATAAACCCTAACACTTCAGAAGACTGTAATTATGTAATTATTTTAATGAAAGAAACACTCTAACATTATTAGAAAAATCAAGGTATTACATGAATGACTGTGTAGGAAACATCTCTTAAACAACATGTTCCTTATTAGGTATTAGGTGCTCTGCCAACTTGTTCCTAACTGCACAGCACTTTTTGTTTTGTTTTTGTAATTCATATATTCAGCGCTAAGCATGCTGTTTTGAAAGTGGAAAACGCAACCTTTGCTAATCCAATGCACTGTCCCAATCAACATCTTCATGTGCCTCTTCATCAACAGCTTGCCTACTCTGCTAAGGACCAGAAGTAGAAAACTTCTGGTAGAAAAACAAAGGTTTGAAGTTTAAAAAAAGAGAGAGAGACAGAAAGACTAGTATATATACTATTAGTGCATTTATGAAAATTTATGGGAAGTGAAAAATAATATTCAAAAAGTGAAAACTGAAGCAGGGCACAGTGACATGTGCCTATAATCCCAGCTACTCAGGAGGCTAAGACAGGAGGATTGCTTAAGCCCAGAGTTCAAGACCAGCCTGGATAACATACTGAAACTCCTGTTTCTTTAATAAAATAAAATAAAACCTAATTTATAAATGAAAATTGCAGGGGCATTTCAGGATGGGATTAGGAGTTAATATTGTTTTAATTTTTCCCGATATTGGCATATTGTCTTTTTAATACACAAGAAAAAAGCTGCTTTGTCTTTTTGAGTTTTGAAAGTTTAACCACTATAAATGTTATACCAACTAATATTTTTACAAAGCTTTAGAAAATTGTATACAGGGCCAGGCGCGGTGGCTGATGCCTGTAATCCCAACACTATGAGAGGCTGAGGCAGGTGGATCACCTGAGGTCGGGAGTTTGAGTCCAGCCCGACCAACATGGAGAAACCCTGTCTCTACTAAAAATACAAAATTAGCTAGCCATGGTGGCGCATGCCTGTAATCCCAGCTACTCGGGAGGCTGAGGCAGAAGAATTGCTTGAACCCAGGAGGCAAAGGTTGCAGTGAGCCAAGATTGTGCCATTGCACTCCTGCCTGGGCAATGAGAGAGAAACTCCATCTCAAAAAAAAGAAAAAAAGAAAATTGTATACAGATTTGACCATTTTGAGTCCTCAGTTCAATGACTTTTTTGTGTGTCAACACTAAACATTAAGGAGGAAAGATATCCTCTTCAATTATTAAATTAAAACCACACTTGTACTCACCTGCAAAATGGCTCGTGCTGAGTTTACACTATCAAAGCATGGAATCACATAATCTGTATATGTTTCCTGATCAGGATGTACTCCCAATTCTTGCATTCCTTTGAGGATTTCAATTATACCTACCAAATAAAATGTAGAAGCACAGAGATAGAGAACTTAGAATAAAGTAAGAAAAGATCGGTAAGTTCAGTTCAATTATTTTCTGAATCACAGTATAAGAAAATTACTCAGCAATTCGTTTGTCTAAAAGGCAGAAAAGAAACACTGTGAGATACAATGATAAAAAAATTAACTCCTCCTTTCTTCATCCCCCTCTGTGAAACAGTAAATTTCAAGAAACTATCCTTGAAATTATAAGTATAAAGAAACTTGAAACAATTAAGCAATGTGCCCAACATTTCTGGCACCCCAAACAGTGATTATAATACAACACTGCTATTATAGAGCAATGATGGACTTGTACACAAAAAATTTGACCAGAATAAATGCTGCAAAGAGAAGTGACTGATTTCAAAACATGTTTTCAATTAAGCACTTATGTAAAAAGTTCCCTAATTGTTACTAATTTCTGATTTCATATTTTACAATGTAAGAAGGAAAAATTAATAGAGAACAATTTAATGAATTATTGTCTAATTGTATTTAAAACTAACTTAAAAATCAAATAAGTTGTTTCCTCTATCTCATTTCCCACTCACAAAAATCTCTTTTAATAACTTCTTAAAAATTAAGTCATTTCATGTTTTCAGAGCTACAGTGAGTTTCAAATAGATCCAGTTAATTCTAGACAACTGTCAGATTACTCAAGTATCACCTAATTTGACAGAGGCTACAGTTTAATAAAAAGAAAGAACATTCTTATTTCTCCTTCTAAAAACTTACTTATCTTCAGCTTCATTACTTTCACATTATTAAAACTCCCCCTAAAAGTCCCTGTTTCTGGCCTACTAGAGACCTAAAGATAAATTACATTTCTTTCGAATTTGTTACATGATGAACTCCAGTACAAATAATTGACAGTAAATTCCTACTGAGTACAGAAAAACACAAGCAAGTCTAACTACATTATAAATACCTGCACATTTCTTTTAGATAAAATTTAATTATGTAAAAAAAAAACTATAATTTTTTTTAAAATTTAGGTTATGAATCAGAATATTTTAACTTTAAACAGTTCACCATATACAAAATTACCTAATACTGGCCTAAAAACAGACAAATAGACCAATGCAACGGAACAAAGAATCTAAAAATAAACCCACACACATATAATCAACTAATTTTGACAAAGGTACCAATAAATGGTGCTGGAGCTGCAGGCAGTGGTTCACACCTATAGTTTCAGCTATTCACGAGGCTGATGCAGGAGGACTGCTTGAGCCCAGGAGGTCAAGTCCAGCCTGGGCAACATAGCAAGACCTTGTCTTTTTTTGAGACTGAATATTGCTCGGTCGCCCAAGCTGGAGTGCAGTGGTGTGATCTTGGCTCACTACAACCTCCACCTCCCGGGTTCAAGCAATTCTCCTGCCTCAGCCTCCTGGGTAGCTGGGATTAAAGGCGCACGTCACCACGACCAGCTAGTTTTTGTATTTTTAGTAGAGATGGGGTTTCACCATGTTGGTCAGGCTGGTCTTGGACTCCTGACCTCGTGATCCTAGAGATGGGGTTTCACCATGTTGGTCAAGCTGGTCTTGAACCCCTGACCTCGTGATCTGCCCGCCTCAGCCTCCCAAAGTGTTGGGATTACAGGCATGAGCCACCACGCCCAGCCTGGACCCTTATCTTATACAATACACAAAAATCAACTCAAAATAGATTAAAGACTTAAACTTGAAACCATAAAACTCCTAGAAGAAAACACTGGCCTTGACAACGACTTTTTGGACTTGAGACCAAAGCACAGACAATAAAAACAAACAGTGAAGTGGAACCACATCTAACTAAAAAGCTTCTGCACGGTAAAGGAAACAATAAAATGAAAAGGCGACCTATGGAATGCGAGAAAATATTTGCAAACCACGTATCTGATAAGGGGCTAATACCTAAAATATATAATAAGGAACTCACAAATTTCAATAGCAAAAAAACCCCAAATAATTCAATTAACAAATGGGCAAAGGATCTGAATACACATTTTTCCAAAGACATAAAAATGGCCAACAGGTTTATGAAAAGATGCTCAACATTACTAATCATCAGGGAAATGCAAATTTAAGCCACAATGAGATATCACCTTACACCTGTCAGAATGGCTACTATCAAAAGTCAAAAGCGATTAGACAGTGGTGAGGATGGAGAGAAAGGGAACCCTGGTCTACTGTTGGTGGGAGAGTATGGAGATTCCTGAAAAACTTAGAAGTAGAATTACCAACAATCCCACTTCTGAGCATATGTCCAAAGGAAATAAAATCACTATCTTGAAGAAACATTTGTTCATCCCAGCATTATTCACAGTACCCAAGATGTAGAAACATGCTGTCAACAGATAAAGAAAATGTGGCATATATACACATATAGAATGGAATATTATTCAGCCTTAAAAACAAAGAAAATCCTGTCATTTACAACAACATGAATGAACTTGAAGCACATGCTAAGTGAAATAAGCCAGATACAGAAAGATAAATACTACATCATCTCACTTATATATGGAATCTACTAAAAAAAAAAAAAGTTGAACTCTGTTATGGGACTGGGGTGTGAGTGAAAAGGGATGATGGTCCATAGGTATAAATTTTCAGTTATACGGTAAATAAGTTCTGGACACAATGTACAGAATACTTGATATTTGCTGAGAGAGTTGATCTCAAGTGTTCTGGCCACAATATTTTTTTTTTTTTGAGACGGAGTTTCGCTCTTGTTGTGCAAGCTGGAGTGCAATGGTGCGATCTCAACTCACAGCAACCTCCACCTCCTGGGTTCAAGCGATTCTTCTGCCTCAGGCTCCTGAGTAGCTGGGACTACAGGCGCACGCCACCACGCCGAGTAATTTTTGTATTTTTACCAGAGACGGGGTTTCATCATGTTGGCCAGGCTGGTCTCAAACTCCTGACCTTGTGATCTGCCTGCATCTGCCTCCCAAAGTGCTGGGATTACAGGCATGAGCCACCACGCCCGGCCAATACAAAATTTTTAAAAAGGTAACTAGCTAAAAAAAAATAAAAATAAAAAAATAAATAAAAGCCCAGCACGGTGGCTCACACCTGTAATCCCAGCACTTTGGGAGGCCAAGGCTGGTGGATCACCTGAAGTCAGGAGTTTGAGACCAGCCTGGCCAACATGGCACAATCCCATCTCTACTAAAAATATAAAAATTTGCTGGGTGTGGTGGCACACACCTGTAATCCCAGCTACTAGAGAGGCTGAAGAAGGAGAACTGCTTGAACCCAGAGGGCAGAAGTTGCAGTGAGCTGAGATCACCCCACTGCACTCCAGCCTGGGTGACAGAGCCTCCATAACTAGCTGAGGTGATGGATATGTTAGCTTGACTGTGGTAATGACTTCACAATGTGTACACATATCAAAATGTAGCCAGGTGAGATGGCTCATGCTTGTAATCCCAGCACTTTGGGAAGCCAAGGTGGGAGGATTGCTTGAACCCAGGAATTTGAGACCAGCCTAGGCAACACAAGGAGACCCCTGTTTCTACCAAAAAAAATTATTTGAACTAGCCAGCCATGGTAATATGAGCCTGTGGTCCCACTGAGGCTGAGGTGGGAAAATCTCAAGCCTGGGAGGTCAAGGCTGACAGAGTGAGACACTGTCTCCAAAACATCATGTTGTTTATCATATAGATAGATGATCGATTGATAGAAAGACAGATATAGATTTAGCTACACAATTATTAATCCTTCATACCTCAGTAAAGTTGGCTGGGAAGAATAAATAAATAACCTAATATCTTCAAATCTAAGAGGTTTAAATGTATTTTTCAAGATGTAAAAATAATGTTTTTAATTAGCCAGGCATGGTGGCAGGCGCCTATAATCCCAGCTACTGGGGAGGCTGAGGCAGGGGTATTGCTTGAACCCAGGAGGCAAAGGTTACAGTGAGCCAGTATCACGCCACTACACTCCAGCCTGGACAACAGAGCGAGACTCGGTCTCAAATAATAATAATAATGTTTTTTAAAATCCCTAAACAAAGCATGTGCTTACTGAAATTTAAGAGAACATGCATGTAGAGTTGGTCCACACTGCACACAGAAGCCTAACAATACTTGTAAGCGAAATTTAAACTATTCCTCTAATAATTCACTGGGTATCACTACTAACAACCTTGATAACTACCATAAAAGATGGCAAATCCCACTGTGCTCTTCTTTATATGAAAAGATTACTAAGCACCTGACATGATGACATAGCTAAGTTGCTTCTGAATTCCTAGTAATAGATTTGTGTTAATCTTATGTCCTCAGTGTCCTTTCTGACCAGTAATAATTGTTTCCAGGACAATTATTATTTAGTTAAAGTAAACGGCTAAGTTGCTGGTGAGATACTCTGGTGAAATGACAAAAAAAAAAAGGCTTTGGACTTTAAAGACCCAGCTCTCCCCCTTAGTTCTGGTACTTAATAGCAATGTAAATCTAAGCAAGTTGTCGCATGTTTCTGAGCCATAATTTGGTGGCTTACACACTAGAAATGGAAATATGCCAGGAACTGTGCTTCCAGACGCTTTTACACATATTCCTTTGCTAAATCTTTCTAACTACCATCCATGGACTATGCAAGGCAATATGTGTCGAAGCACTTAATGAATAATTTTCTGACCTATAAGAGTCTATGCCTATTGAATAGATGGAAGTTCCAAGAACTGAAATATTATACATAGGCATGGAAGAAATTCTTGTGGTCTAAATTCTTAGGGCAAGATTGCAGACAACAGAACTATAACATTCTGGAAAAAAAGAATTTTCAATATTACCACTTGGCTTAGATCAGTATGTCAAACTCCAAGGTTTCAATCAGGGTTTGGGTGTGCTTCTCTACATAAAGAAAGCTGAAATGCCTTTAGAAGTCAACTAATCAAGTGAAATAAGCTAGACACAGAAAGACAATACTGTCTCACTTACATTAGAATAAAAAACAGTCGAAAACTCACAGAAGCAGAAAGTAGGACAGCAGTTGCCAGGGACTAGGGTGAGGGAGATATTGGTCAAAGGGCACGAACTTTCTGTTAATAAGATGAGTAAGTTCTAGGGTTCTAATGTACAGCATGGTGGCTACTATTAGTAATACTGTATTGTTGACTTGAAATTGGTAAAAGAACAGATTCTAAGTGTCCTCACCACACTCATGCACACAGGCATACACACAAATGGTTAACTATGGGTGTTGAAGGTTTATGGTTGTTAATTAACTTGACTATGGTAATCAGGACACAATGTACCTGTATATAAAATCATTATATTGTACACCTTGAATATATATAGTTTGTGTCAATTTTTAAAAGTGGGGTAAAGAAAGTCAATGAATCTTCTAACAAAAGTATAAAGTAATTTCTCCAAGATCACAAGCATAACTTGAGTAAGAAACCAAGTCTCAGTCCGGGCGCAGAGGCTCACGCCTGTAATCCCAGCACTTTGGGAGGCCGAGGCGGGTGGATCACAAGGTCAGGAGATCGAGACCATTCTGGCTAACACGGTGAAACCCCGTCTCTACTAAAAATACAAAAGATTAGCCGGGCGTGGTGGCGGGCGCCTGTAGTCCCAGCTACTTGGGAGGCTGAGGCAGGAGAATGGCGTGAACCCAGGAGGCAGAGCTTGCAGTGAGCCGACATCACCACTGCACTCCAGCCTGGGCGACAGAGCGAGACTCCATCTCAAAAAAAAAAAAAAAGAAACCAAGTCTCTTAATTCCTGGCAGGTGCTTGTTACACTACAAAAAATGCTAAAGCCTACATGTTTTTCCTGCAATCAGAAAGAACTGGGATTAAGTCCTTGTTCTGCCACCAAAAAGGATGATTTTCAGTGGCTCCTTGTTGCCAATATAGGAATGATGATAATAAAGCTCCCCACTTAACTCTCAGGGTAGTCACTAAATTTAAAGGAAAAAATATGTGCAGAATCCTAAAACTACTAAATAACTGGGTGTGTGGTGTTTTGTTTTTGATTTTTTTGTTTTTTGAAACAGCATCTCACTTTGTCACGCAGGCTAGACTGCAGTGGCTACGATCAAGGCTCAATTGCTAAGCTCTAGCAATCCTCCCACCCCAGCCTCCCAAGCAGCTAGGAGTATGCCACCTCGCTCGGCTAATTTTTCTATTTTTTTGTAGAGACAGGATTTTGCCAACTTCCCAAGGCTAGTCTCAAAATCCTGGGCTCAACTAATGCCCCTACTTCAGCCTCCCAAAGTGTTGGGATTACAGGTGTAAGCCACCACACCCAGCCTAAATAAATGTTAATAGGAGCAATAATAACTTAATTTTTTTCAGCTGTATCAAAATACTGTAATAATACATAATCCTGAAAAGTTTCTCAGATGATAGATTTTTCAGTGTTTGAAAACTGGCCACCAAATTGACTGCAGCTACAAGATTCTTATTCTTACAGGAAACCCTTCACCCCATCTTCTAAGCCTCAAATATGTTTCATTCTCTTAGTTCTTCATTTTTCCAGTAACATTTATCAGAAGGAGGAGTATGTTCTGCTCATTTACATTATCTATTTTGCTGGCATTTTTAACTTACATTATCTTTCTAACTGAAACTAAAGCAGGCTCAAGAAAACCTGGGATCCCACCTTCTGCTCAATCACTCGCTCAGGCAGCCTGAGAGAGCAGACAAAGAAAGATATTCTGTTCAGTAACTATAGTCAGATGGGGGGATAGAAGCACTTACCAATAAGAAGGAAAGACTGATCTATCTGAACAAATTCTAATAAAAAATACAATTCACATTTCTTTTCACAAGAAAAAGATTAAAATAATCTTACATTAACTTAGATATAAATAGATTCCAAACCTCTGTGAACACAGAAAGTCTAAACTAAGACTAAATAATCTAATAAAAATATTTCAATATAGCCATGAGAAAGTTGATCAATCTAGAGGAAAGTCTCCATTTAAAAAGTTTAATGAGAATTATAACAGCTCACCAACTATCAGGAATGATATATGATTTGCCTGAACAACTTTCACCAACTATGACTGTTTCATTCCACAGGATTTTACACTCTAGCCACGGCACTCACTTTATTAGGAGGCAACTGCTTCCTCTTTGAAAAGTAAGTTCCGCCAAGAGTGGTGGCTCACGCCTATAATCCCAGCATTTTGGGAGGCTGTGGCGGGTGATCACGTGAGGTCAGGAGTTTGAGACCAGCCTGGCCAACATGGTGAAACCCCGTCTCTACTAAAAATACCAAAAATTAGCTGGGTGCAGTGACGCATGCCTGTAATCCCAGCTACTCAGGAAGCTGAGGCAAGAGAATTGCTTGAACCTGGGAGGCAGAGGTTGCAGGGAGCCGAGATAGTGCCATTGCACTCCAGCCTAGACAACAAGAGCGAAACTGTGTCAAAAAAAAAAAAAAAGCAAGTTCCTTCTATTCAACCACTTCACTCAACTGGCATTTGGGCTTTCTGATCAGCCCTTCTTTATGTATTTTATCCCTTTCACATTCTCATTTCTATGTTTTCTAAATATGCCCAGGGATATAGATCCATATTCATTACAGGTTATTTCCTGAAAGTCAGGCCAACTGGCTAGAGATGCATTATTCTAAGTGATAACTTTTCACTTGTGCCACAGAGATAAATACTAGTAAGATGAGCCATGAGGAAGTAATTATAAATATCTTTCTTGGAGGTTGGTGATGGCTAAATTTGCAGCCAGAAAAATTCAACAGAAACTTGATTATTATACAGGGCACATGCCCTCAGGACCTCCTGAGGCTGTGTCACAGTAAAAAAAAAAAAAAAAAAAGAAAAAAATATATATATATGTTTTTTAAAAGAAAAAAAAAAGACACTTGATTATCCTATTGTTGAAAACTCTTGGTTCCACTTTGTCTGATCCCCAAATATCTTTGATTTTCTGAAGAGATGTATTTATTCCTCATGAAACACAGCACATCCTCCATCACTGCAGTCACTTTCTTCTGTGATTTCTACCATTTTATACGTGACTTTCACTGGACAAAGAACAAGTTCATTGCACTAATAAGAATGTTACTTTCTTACCTTACACTAAAGAAACTATAAAGAATACATACAGCCATTTCTCTGTTATATAAAAGAAGACTGTAGAATATATACTTTACTATCTTTCAGGACCTACTGCAAAGAAGAATATATTGTTTTTAAAAATTGTAAAACTGACAATCTTTTGCACTCTCAGAACACACAATATAAAAGCATAAACTTTTATATTTTTTCAGACAAAACCTTCATCGATTAAAAAATTCACTCTCTTTTAGCAATGTTATTCGTGTAAAAACTGGCAACTAATTTTTAAACAGCAGCTAAGAATTTTTAGAAAATAAACACAGTATAGTACTTACAAAAGCTGAATATGGAAGGGTTATAGTATAAAAAAGGATATTTTAAAAGGAGGACAGAAACCCTCTATTCTAATCCCAGCCTAATCACACCTAGACGTGGAAGCTAAGGTCAGTCACTGAATGTCTGTGTGGCCCTCAGTTCCTTCATTCACGTAATGTGAGCTTTCAGTACAGCACTTTTAAAATCTAAATTCTGAGATTCTAAGACAAGATGGATTTGAGATAAAGCCCATTTTCTACTATTTCAACTGCTACAACCATAGAAAGAAATTACCTAACTCTTTTATGTTTACTAAGTAGTAAAAATGTAGTAATCAATTCAACTGTGACATGGTTGTGGAAAGCAGATTAACCTGATGAACAAACATTTCAACTGGTACCAAAAAAATTTTCATACTTGTGTAAAGGTGGACAATACTAACATGCCTGAAGAGTTTGATGGAATGATGTAAACTTTCTGTGGTTCCAAAACACTGGGTTATAGGTTACCTTTTGGAGCTTTCAGACTGGAGGATATACAAAGAGTTAATCAAACTAGCATATTGTTTTCACAAAGATTTTTCTAAAAAGGATTTAGAGACTTTTATAGCCAGAAACAATTAGGGAATACTTGTTTCACTATTTCCTTTAAACCAGAAGACGGCTGTACATTTAAAATAAAATTGCAATATGAAAGTCTGCTAAAAGCACTTTTTTTGTTGTTTGTGCATTCTGTTTGTCACCCAATGTCACACTAACAATTCTGCATCTCATTCCAAAGCACATTATACTTCGAGATAAAATGAAAAAGACCATTTTTTGTTTCCCCAAGGGGAAAGTACTTCTGTTAAAAGCATCTTTTTATGAGACTACTCTTTCTGAATTACCAATAATGCAAACCGAAGAATTAGATACTGTACTCTAAAATTTAATATTTGTTCAATTCTTATTCATATCCTATAGACATCCCATGTGTACAAGGGAAAAGTATGATAAATGCTTAAACGTACTTAAGAACCTGAAAGATTGAACATTTTTGTCCTTCAATCAGCAGGCTGTCAGGTCATGAGTACTCATTTCACAATAAAAGTTTTCCTGCCTTTCCTATTATTCTAACTAAGCTCAGTTAAAAAGAAATAGATTGGCCCACAAAGAAAATGACCATACTTTTTGTTTTCATGAACCTAATTGTATATACAACTTTATCTTTATTAAAGGTAGACAATCTGATTTCAAACACTATATATAAAATCAAGAACTAAAGAGTTTTTTTAAGAACTTAAAAAAACTACGTTCATTAAGTTTGAATATCAAGATCAGAGATGAAATAAGAAATGAAATTAATGAAATTCAGATGAAAGAAATCCATCATGTTTTGTTTTTTAAAATGCTTACACATAATACTTCATGATGACTTAAAACAATTCCATTATCTCATAATACTCAGGAATAAGTATGCTTTTCCAAAGAATCCAATTAGATGTGCGTGCAAACTGTCATACTGGCTCTGGGAACCATTACAAATCGGTAAAAGGCAAAATCTAACCTTGAACATTTTTTTCCTTCCGACGTCCAACTAGCAATGGCCAGAAATAGTGAGGTCTGATAGGAAAACCTTCCTCCTTCACAGCCTTCATTAAGGCTTTTGCCAAATCTGAAAGAGATATCATAAAAGATCACAAAGCTACCTCAGCAAAACTTCCTTACTTGGCTTTAACTTTAAGAATGTAGTACCAGTTTTATTGGCGAGTAAAGCACAATGGAGGGTGAACTGCAGAGGAAAGGAGTGCATCTGGACTTCCTTTAACTTCTTACAGTAGTCTGTTAGCTTCTCCACAGGCTGTGGGAAAAAAGTCACCACATTAGCTGGATTGGCAAACACCCCACCGTTTGACCTGCTGCAAATATTCTACCACTTCTGAGATGAGCATTTTAAACCCCGCATCCTCTTTCTACCCAAAAATCTTGCAACACAAGAACATTGTTATGATGTTTACAACTGGTCTAATCTTATAAATGTTCCTATACTTTAAAGAATCTTATTTCACTGCCAATTACATTGTCTACAAAGTAAAAGTGGACAGAATACCGTATTCATAGTCACACAGTGTTGTAAAAAGAAACTGCCAAAGACACTTGGGCCATCTTCCTTTGATACGGGGCATGCTAGTAAAATTTGCAACGCTACATCTTCCAATTTTTCAGTGACTAAAAGTAAAATGAGGTTCATTGCATCTGGGAAGAAAACAAAGACATCTTTTGTTAATAAACTGAACAATATTTTTACACTGCAACCAATGTTCCAATACTGAAGACAAAATAAGAATTGCAAACATCAAAAGCATATAACTGCCTAAATAACAATAAAACACCTGCAAATCAAATCATCCCCATGTGTTCATTAACTCATGTTTTTGGGCTTATTTAACTGACTTTAAGAGTTCTATGTTCAACTCCCACAATGCCCATTGTTAGAAAATGTCCTTTCCATCATGTAAGAATAGCAATTCAGATTTTTATAAAAATCATGTAAATAGATTTTTTTAAAACTACCTGGAATATATCTTCTTTCACATGTAACTTTTTCCAAAATTTCTGAGACATACTGAGGATACCCAGCTTTACTGAAGCTAAAAATAATTTGCAGTAAATCACGGTCCATAAGGTGAAGCTCGGACTTCTCCACCTTCTCCAGAGTCTATAGAGAGTTCCAGAAATTAGAAGACAAAGTTAGAGTGTTTTTATTTAAGTATTAAAGCTAAATAAAATATCCAGATTCAAAAAACTAGGGAAAAATACCACCTAAAGGTTTACGACTTCTTTTAAAAAACAGGAAATACTCTACTTCAACAGTAACTGTTACATACCAGCACCGAGATACTAAACTATAATAATTCTCCATAAATACTACTTTCTGCAAGGAAACATCTTTGAAAACAGGTATAAACTTCACTTTCCTGCCTCATGTAAAACATAACACAAATTTTTACAAATGATTTTAAAGTATGTTTATTTAGACATAAGTCATACCTGCTTAACATGGTCAATGTCGCCCTTCTCAGCATATGCATTCAATAATGCGAGGTATGTGTCTGGACCAGGCTCAATTCCGGCATCTCTCATCACTGTGAGAATGTTTTCTGCATTCTCCATATCACTACAAGTTAATTCAAAAAACAGATTATTATGCTTTTGCCAAATTTAATATAGTTATTCAAACTAAAACATATGCTTATTAAAATAAAAAATGCTAAGTACCATTTGGAATTATGATGTCAGAAAAGAACTAATGTATATTAAACTGGATATATGTTTCTGAAATAATAAAGATCATAAACATCTGATCCCCCATTAAAAAATAATAATAATTACATAGACATTAAATAACATACCCTCTTAATATTATGTAGGTTATGACTCAGACTTAACTTTCGAGGTAAGAATAACATTTAGTAAATTACTCTTCAAAAATAAAAATATTTTCCAGAGCAGTTACTTCAGATCAGATCAAGCCCAGTTTCTTTTTTCTTTTTTTTTTTTGAGATGGAGTCTTGCTCTGTCTCCCAGGCTGGAGTGCAATGGTGTAATCTCGGCTCACTGCAACCTCTGCCTCCCGGGTTCAAGCAACGCTCCTGCCTCAGACTCCCAAGTAGCTGGGATTACAGGCACCTGCCATCATGCCCGGCTAAATTTTTATATTTTTGTAGAGACCGGGTTTCACCATGTTGGCCAAGCTGGTCTTGAACTCCTGACCTCAGGTGATCTGCCCACCTCAGCCTCCCAAAGTGCTGGGATTACAGGCATGAGCCACCACGCCCGGCTTCAAGCCCAATTTCTAAAAATTCAAATAAAAGAAAGATTTGTGGAACAAATGTAAAAGCTCATTATAAAAATATTAGTATGCTCTACCTCATATACTACAGATTTTTTTTTGAAGGGATAGACAAATGTATTTTAAGAACTGTCTACAATAATTTTCTCTAATTTAAACCCCACTTAACAAACAAAAAAGGAGTAAAATGACCACTTTAGCATCTCAGCCATCTATCACTTAAGAACCAAAACCTTAGGTTGAACATTACCCAGCTCTGGCATGCCCTGTCACAAGGGCACTGAATACTGCCTCTGTAACTGGGAGATCCTTAGTTTTCATAAATCCAAGAATCTTGCTGCAAAGGAAAAACGAAGATACTCATTGAAAGTATTTATAAGAACACTCTTTACAACATGTACAGAATTAGGCCTTGAGTTACTTTTGTTTTTAAAATATAATAGTAATATACATTTGTTTTAGAAACCACAAAGAAAGAACTAATCCCTTTGATCCCCTTCCCACAAAACCCCACTCTCTAATGTATCAACAGTCTTGAAGTACTATCGATACAAATACTAGATTTTTAAAAATCTGATTATCTGATTTGTCTTACACTACTAATTACCCTTTTAAAAGCATAGTTTCATAAGATTCTTTTAGATAAAAATGAAATTATGTATTCCAATTTATCCCTTATTTTCCAAACCTTCCATTCATAAGTAGTAATAAATTTTACATAAGCAGAGAAATGGTGCAACTGATTTTCTACACTACTTCCAGTTTTATAAATGAATACAGCTTAAATGGTTAAGAACATTTCCCTTAGGAAATATTTAAAAAAAAAAAAAAAAAAGCAAAGTCAGCTTTATAGCTCAACAACTTTATACCTCTCTCCAGTAAATCAAATTTTTAATTAAAATAGCAACTTTTACTTATCTTTTCTCTCTTACACGATAATTTTATATTTTATGTAAGTCAGATTACCAGATTTTCTAGATTAAAACAGTTCTGAAACAATTTCCTCCATTAGGAAGAAGCTTTAAAACAAAGAGTGAACAGACATTAGATTTACAAAATGTACAAATTTGTTCGCTTAAACATGTTCATACAGATCCATACCTGGCACCTTCAATATCTCCTACATTACAATAAGAAGCAATCAATCTCTGGTATGTCACCTGTCAATGAAATGGGCCAGTTAATTTTAAATATACTTTTTTTTCTGAGTAAAGAAAAAAAATGGTGGATGTGAAAATATATTCACAATAGCAACTACTTACTCGATTTGGTTGAATGTTTGCTTCCTCCATTTTTGCCAGGAAATCAGTTGGTGAGAATTTATATTCATTTTGAAGATAGACTTTAAGTAAAGCATTATAGTGACTCACATCATACACAGCACCTACAAATGAAATTTAAAATGAATTTTTAGAAAAGCATTGAAAATCCTATGCTTTAAAGTGGACCTAAATTTAACAAACAAAAAGAGTAAAACTATCACTTTAGCATTTCACCCATCCATCTTGGCGCTCAGACCTATCTACACAGATACTCTGTCACACAGAGCAAGCTAAGCATGTAAGACAGTAATTACTGAGTTACTGTATAGTTACAAGTAACTGCCTATTCGGATATTAAAAGGCCTCTTACTTATGAAGCACAAAATTATCTTCCTGTTAGAAAACGCTGACAATATCCCTATATTTAAAAGTGACTGTAAGATTTTTCTATATAAAGCAGTCCTCACATTACAGACACACTGTGAAGAATGGATTGTAACTTCAGTTCTTTCACACAGTAGGACTGTGCTGGCAATTCTGTCACTCAAAGCCTTCATTTTAAGGATGCATTCCATTTTCAGCTGATGAACATGATCTATGGTATGCTCTTGTTAATTATCTGTATTCTAATGACCTTTGTTTTCTTTGTATCCCTACTGTTTAGGGCCACATCAAATAAGGTTACCACACAGCCTTACTCTACTGAGTCATGACATCATGGTCTTTATATCAATTTTGTGGTAACATGTCTCACTACATTTTCATGCATTAAATTTCACATCTTTATTCAACTGCCTGTGACCATACAGGCCTATGGTTAGTATCTGGGGGTGAGAGTATGTGATTTTAGGCAGCAGAGAGCTGTTCCATTAAATTAATACACATTTTTATCTTAACAGATATGTTTCTTTCATACTATGTTTCAGGCACTATGCTAAGTGTTCCACATATAGTGGCTCACTCAAACTTCACAACAACTTTGAGACACTATTATCAGCCCCATCTTACAGATAGCTCAGATCTGTCAACAGCTCATTCTGTAATTTTGGACAAGTTACTTAAGCTAAAAGATCTCTTGTATCTTTATAAATCTGTAAACAAGAGTCAAACTGGCAAACTACAAGGTTTCTGGCAATATTAATTCAACAAGTATGTATCAAATGCCATTATACACAAAGCATCATGCTACTGTCAAACAGGAAAATAAAGAAGCCATGGATTCCATCCTTATAAAGCAGACACTTATACAGGAGAGACCTATCTGTAAAGAATGTTAATATAATAACACATTGTTAATCTTTATATGGAGGAATTAATGTTATTACTGCTGTGTAATGCTTTTTTCTATTTTAGAATGTAACCTTTTCTGCATATATTTCTCCCAGTTCAATGACTTACTGACATACAGAAATTTCTAATTTTTAGAGATTCAATATTTTAGCTTTACTTTTCTGCTCCTTTTATACTTATAAAATCCTTTTCCATTCTGAAAGTCAACATTTATCTATATAGTTTTTAACTTAAAAAAAAATCAACTTATCAAAATGTATTCTAGATGTATTCAAAACTGTGAAGGAAGAATCTGTCTTTATCCTGTAGTTTTTTTCACATAGGTCCTACTCACTTTTTGAAGGATAGTCCTAAATATTTTATTTATCTGTAGCTATACTTTCTTGGATTCTTTTCTCTATTTTCTTTTATAACTAGAAGAGGTATGGATTCTTAAACATTTAGTGAGTCCAGCTAATTACTGTGAGCTGATTTTCTGGGATTTTGCAGATTAAACAATCACATCATCTAAAAATAATAACTTCTTGTATTGTTTCACATCTTATTTCATTGCATTATACATGATTGTTGTCGGTTTTAGATTTTTAACACATTAAAGAAGCATCTTTCTATACTTTAAGATTTTTTTAAATCAGGAATGAACATTAAATTGTATTAAACCATCTTTTTTCAAATTATTTTTTGAATACGTACTATGTTACATGACATAAAACTGAAAAGGTATAAAAAGGTCAAGTAAAACCTGTATCCAGTGTTCATCATCCTTCTAGAAATATTTTAATATTGTATACACATGCACGTGTAAAAACACTTTTCTTCAAAATGGTATCATTCTATACATACTGGTCTACACCTTAATTTTTATTTATACTCTGGAGAACACCCCCATTGGCATATAAAGAGCTTCTTCATTTCTTAAAACAGTTACACAGTAATCTATTTTACGGGTACTCCATAATTTATTTACCTAATCCCCTAGAGAAGAATATTTGAATTGGTTCCAATTTCTTACTATTACAAACAAGCTACAATGAAGAATATCCTTTTGCATATGTGAGTATATCTGTACCTAAATTCGAACAAATGGAACTGCTCGGTCAAATGGTATGTGCATTTATAACTTTGACAGACAAACCGGCTATTTTCTTCTTTTTCTTTTTTAACTTACCGTACTTGTAAGTAATACTTGTTATGAAAAATTATTTATTGTTAATGACCCTAGATGTCACTATACCTCACCAAATAAATATTATCAAAAAATTATGAATCAAGTAGCCCTTCCATAAAACTGAATTACAGCATTTATGTAAACAAACACTTTTTTGCAAAAAGAAAAAACATCTACACCTTTTATACACATCATATATTTAAACAATCATACCTAATTTCTGAAGTGTGTCCCATATCCTATGAGCAAATTCTGTTCTCTCTTCAAGCTTTAGTTCAGGCAAGAGAGAACCACAACTACGTAGTAGAAGCAAGGCATGACTACCACCTAGGCCACCTGTGGAAAAAAGGTTAATGGATAACATTTAACATAGCAGCAATATCACATAGATAAATATCAAAATTTAAACAGAAATCTATAAGCATTCAAAAATCTTCTGGCTCAAACTGAGAGTAACCATAAATTAGAAAAATCCTATCCTAATGTACAGTGTTACTAAGTTACAAGTCAAACTTTAAATATTAGTCTGCTTTCTTAAGAAATCTAAGGTTATAAAATCTATGTAATCTGCAAAACTCTATCAAATACAAAAATACAAAGAACCTACTTTATAGGCAGTGCTTGCTACAATTCAAAGGCTAAACTTCCCAGTATCTTATGAAAACAGTATAAAGGGCCAGGCGCGAATCCCAGTACTTTGGGAGGTTGAGGCAGGCAGATCACCTGAGGTCGGGAGTTTGAGACCAGCCTGACCAACATGGAGAAACCCTGTCTCTACTAAAAATATAAAATTAGCTGGGCGAGATGGCGCATGCCTGTAATTCTAGCTACTCGGGAGGCTGAGGCAGGAGAACTGCTTGAACCCAGGAGGTGGAGGCTGCGGTGAGCCGACATTGCACCACTGCACTCCAGCCTAGACAACAAGATCAAGACTCTGTTTCAAAAAAAAAAAAAAAAAGAAGAAAGAAAGAAAGAGAGAGAGAGAGAGAAAGAAAGAATACTGTAAAGCAGTGTAATTAACATCTATGAATAGAAAAGTTAGGTTCATAATCAGCTACAATATAAGCTTCCCTCTCCCTATATCTGTAAGCTTTATCTACATATCCCTGAAAGCTGACTTTAAAACAAAGCAAAAATAAACCACTTAGTATGATTCCATTTATATGAAATATCTAGAGTAGGGCAAACCTACAGGGACAGAAAATACGCTAGTTGTTGCCTACGGCTGGAAGGGATGAGGAGTTGGGTAATTTCTTTTTGGGGTGATGAAAATGTTCCAAAACTGATTGTAGTGATGGTTGAATAAATAAGTCAGAGAGAGAATGTGACACAGGTCTTTAAATGTACATAACTATAGTAATAATTAATACTTCTTTGGTATCTCTCACCATCAGATTTTATATCTACACTTCTGAGTGTGTCTGAAACCCACGAATAGGCTTTAGGAAGCTACAGAATCCTCTTAAACTGCATGCAAAATTATGCATATGTTTGCATGAGGCTTTTGGGGGTCGGGGGCAGGGAGTGAAAGACCTATAGCTTGCATCAGGCATTAGTGACTCAAACAGATTTTTAGTAGCTAATTGAAAATGAAAGGAAAATAATGGAAAGCTGTCTTATATGATCATCTTACAGAAACCTGACACTCTACAATGGAAGGTAAGAAAAACTAGTTATCTTCCAAGAAACTTACTACTAAAAGTGACTCCATAAACTAGGAAAAGCAAAAAGACAATTTTTATTTTCTGATATGGAATAAACATCTAGACCAGGTATGGTGGCCCACGTCTGTAATCCCAGCACTTTGGGAGGCCAAGGCGGGTGGATCACGAGGTCAGGAGTTCGAGACCAGCCTGGCCAACATGGTGAAACCCCGTCCCTACTAAAAATACAAAAATTAGCTGGGCAGTGGCATGCATCGGTAGTCCCAGCTACTTGGGAGGCTGAGGCAGGAGAGTTGCTTGAACCCGGGAGGCAGAGGTTGCAGTGAGCCGAGATCGTACCACTGCACTCCAGCCTGCTGGGCGACAGAGCGATACTCCATCCCAAAAAAAAAAAATCTAAAAATGTTTTAGTTACTCCAAACTTTGCCCAGATGAGTTGACAAGATAGAAATCACAATCATAACATAAATGACAATCAACAGAATATAACAAAGAAAATTAAAGTATCAAATAATCTACTGTGTAATGAGCTTACCCTCAAGTATTTATTTAGGTTGATGCAAAAGTAATTGCAGCCATTATGTTTAATGGCAAAAACTGCAATTACTTTTGCACCAACCTAAATTTAAGACTTTTTTTTTTGTTTTAAAGACAGATGTCTCTCTCTGTCGCCCAGGCTGGAGTGCAGTTGTGCGATCTTAGCTCACTACAACCTCTGCCTCCTGGGTTCAAGCGATTCTCATGCCTCAGCCTCCCAAGTAGTTGGGACTACAGGCACGCGCCACCATGCCTGGCTAATTTTTGTATTTTTAGTAGAAATGGGGTTTTGCCATGTTGGCCAGGCTGGTCTCGAACACTTGGCCTCAAGCGATCTACCTGCCTCCCAAAGTGCTGGGATTACAGGCCTGAGCCACTGTGACCAGCCAAAAGTCAACTTTATGAACAGGAAATTTTGAAATACCTGAGCGGCAGGTATCATTAAAAACTTTTTGTAGAAGCTTCTTTGGAATGCGGCCAGTTCTTCGAACAGAAAGATCTAGTCTCATTAGAGCCCAATCAAACTGATTGGAAATCTTCCTAGAAGAAAAAGTGGACTCCTCTTGAATATCTTTTTCTTTGGCAGCAATGGCATACAGCCTGGCTGGGCTCAGTAGTCCTCTAAAAAATGAAACATAATTAATAATAATCAGTTGCTATCTATTTAGGTCATTTTTTGAACAAAACTTAAACAAATTTTAAAATTAGTTATTAAACACCTAAAATCACAGTACAATACCAAAAATAGAGGTATGAACTAATGGGAAAGAAAGTTTTAGCTTTTACTTTAGATAAAATCATATACACACATACATAAACTATATGCACAGTAAATCTCCTGAATAATTGACAACATCTTGGTAACTTTGAACATGGAATGATTTCAAAATCAGATGGAAATACAGTGTGTTTTAAGTGTTTTTTAAATCTCTCCTTAACCAAAACAAGGTAATGACAGAAGATGAAGCAGTTTATGCTGCAAAGCTCTTCTCATCTCTGTAAATAAGACAAGAGATCTAAAATATATCCAAAATTTTTATAACTACCTTTAAGTTTTCTAGGTATAAGCTTACTATGAATTTAAAAGAAGACCAATGTCCAGGCTAAAACGATGCAGGGTTTTTTTTTTTAAGGATCATTTAGGCCCAAATAATTTCTAATCTGTCTAAATAAAGTTGAAACACTTAATAGTGATAAGGCTCTTAATTCTTATCTGCTGTGCAACTGTCAAAATGTTAGCTGTATTCTTTCCTAATTATTTAAAACAACTGCCACCAAAAATAAATAAAGTGTTAAACATCATTAATTTTAAGGAAGCCAGAATGGAAAGAAAAATGATTACAAATTAGGTATGGTCAGAATAGTACATTATGTGTTTACAAAGAGCAAGCAATCTTTAAACCATTCACTATTTTAGTAATGGAGTCTAATATGCAAGTCGAATGCTCTCTAACATGAAATCTGAGGGCTTCTAGGCTGTACCTTTTTTTAAAATAAACACAATTTTTTACAGAGACTAGGAAAAAAAACACCACAATTTTTAGAATATTTTTAGGTTTATAGAAAAATCGTGCATTAAGTAGAGTTCCCATATACTTTCTTCTCTAGGCTATTCTAGGTAAAAATATAAGCTGTACCTGATTTAAAAATATCAGATAAAAAATAATTCTTATGTGTGAAGGAAACCTGTTATCAATCTGAGTTGAATTTAAAAATGCTTTCTCTGCATTTAAACATCACTTTTAACAAATGATTTCTAATTATCAGTGGTTTACACATTTATTGCAAATATCTTAGTTACAGCAGCCACTAAATATATTATACACTATATAACAACTAAGTATAATATAATCACATTTTTCAGACGTACACATTTTCATCACAATGGTGACTTTAAAAATAAAACTTACATTTCTATCCTATGTTATTAATCTGAAAAAACCAGTCACAAATTGAATGATCAAGTATGTGTTGTTTTACTAAAGGAAACTATACTAGAGGTTTCACCTCAAGTTTATATAAAACGAGGCTGTAATTGATAATAGACTAGAAATTCTACCACTGTGATCTGGGAGAAATCATGACTCTAACCATTAGTGATTCCACCATCTAGGTATAAAATAATGGAAAAAATCAAGATACTGACTAAATAAGACAATGTCTTATTTTTGTAAGACCAATGATCAGCACATTGTAGATGGCTAATTGACTCGAGTTTGTCAAACGAGCTGAATTAAGCTACAAACCACAGAAGATATACCCTTAAAATAATATTTATCCCTTACTTCCAAAAGGCATTTATCTAGTTGCTCTATCAGTTGTTACTAAACTATCCCCTTCTTAATGTCCCGCAAGCACAAAGTGACATTATTTTTAAACTGTCCAGGACAACATGTCAAGTTTGGAGGAGTATGCAATAATATTAGTCAACAACAAAAGCTGATTAATACAGAAATTTCAAAATTGTGAAGTCTATTTGCCAAAGTTTTTTACACAATGCAAATCTGATAAACTGTTAAAGAGCAAAAATAAAACTTCCGCTACAGGATATTTTTTAAATGTAAGAGAAGACCAACTCAAATTTCAGGCAGAAAACATGTTTATAAACTAGCACATTGTTCTGAATATTCTAGGCAAATTTTTCTCATATACATGTCTTTACTGCAGCCGAGTCTCCTTCTCATAAGTGTGCTTGGATTTAATTAAGTAGAAACATGAATCTATTATAAAATAAATTGGGATAGAGGAAGGATTACATATTTAACCAAAGAAGTCTTCACTCTTCAGTTATATGGTCCAGAACTTATTTTTAAATTCACTCTAATACATTCTGGAAACAAGAGTTTCACAGCCTGGAGTAATGGGTATGTCGTCACAGAAAAGAAAGAACAGAACAAGTCCAGGGGTGACGGTGGGGCCCCACAAGAAGATCACACCCACCAGGCTTGCACAAGCTGGAGCTCACTGCCTCCAAATGCTAAGGACCAAAATTGATATAACCACATAAGGGGAAATTATTGTATCATCTCATCCAAGTATCATACTGGCTCCTTTACATTTCCTAGTTAAATGTCTCAGGTTCCTTCCAGACTCCAGCTCCTACCACTAATACTCAAATTACCCATAAATGTTTTCTTGTAAAATCTACCATTTAAAGTTATTATCTCTCAGTTTTTTTAAAAAAATTAAGGTGGGTTTTTTTTTAACTCTTCAATAGAAAACGATCTTATAGTTGAATGTCCATTAAAAAAAAAAAAGATATAAGGGATCAGATTATCCTACTAAGCAGGCTTCCATGGGACCCTCCCCACTACTTTTAAGCATGTACCATTTTTTTAAAAAATAAACACAATTTTTTGATAAGCAGAGACTGACTAGAAAAAAACCCACAATTTTTTAGTGTTTTTAGGTTTATAGAAAAATTGTACTGAAAGAACAGTTCCCACTTTCTTCTCCCTCCCATTTCCCCTAGTAACATTTTGCTGTAGTGTAGTATCTTTGTTACAAATGATGAACCAATGCTGATACATTATCCATCAACCAAAGTCCATAATTTACATTAGAGTTCACTGTGTGTATACATGTTTTGACAAACATATGACATGTATCCACCTTTACAGTATCATACAAAATAATTTCACCACCCTAAAAATGCCCCATGCTCTATCTCCTCATTCCTTCCACCCTCCTTCCGAACCCCTGGCAACCACTGATTTTTACCTGTCTCTAGTTTTGCCTTTCCCAGAATGTCATATAGTTGCATCATACAGCATGCTGCCCTTTCAGATTGGCTTCTTTCACCTAGCAATACACATTTAAGGTTCCTCCATGTCTTTTCACAGCATGACGGCGCACTTCTTTTCATTGTTGAATAATGTTCTTTTGTAGATATACATGATTTGTTTACCCATTTGCCTACTGAAGGACATCCAGGTTGCTTCCAATTTTTGACAATTATGAATAAAGCTGCTATAAGCATTTGTGTGAAGGTTTTGGTATGGACATGCATTTTGAACTCATTTGGGTAAATACCTAATGGTAAATCTATGTTTAGCTTTCTAAGAAAACTATCAAACTATCTTCCAAAATAGCTATACCATTTTGCTTTCCTACTAGCAATAAATGAGAGTTCCTGTTGTCCTACATGCTTGCCAGTATTTGGGGTTTTCGACGTTTTGCTGGATTGTTGCCATTCCGATAGTGGTATCTCATTGTTGTTTTAATTTATATTTCTCTAATGACATAAGCTGTTGAACATCTTTTCGTATGCTTATTTGCCATCTATATGTCTTTTCTGGTGAAGTATTTTCTGCCCATTTTTATTTATTTTATTTTGAGATGGAGTCTTGCTCTGTCACCCAGACTGGAGTACAATGGCGCGACCTCAGGTCACTGCAACCTCTGCCTCAGGATTCAAGCGATTCTCATGCCTCAGCCTCCTGAGTAGCTGGGATTACAGGCACACACCACCATGCCCGACTAATTTTTATATTTTTAGTACAGACGGAGTTTTACCATGTTGGCCAGGCTGGTCTCAAACTCCTGACCTCAAGCGATCCGCCCACCTTGGCCTCCCAAAGTGCTAGGATTACAGGCATGAGCCACCATGCCCAGGCCATACACGTTCTTAAAACTCTTCTCTCCACTTTTTTTCTTCTTCACTGATATTATGAATCAGTTTAGTGTCACTTTAGAGCTATCAAGAGTTTAAAGGTAGATACAGGTAGAAGACAGAAGAGGCATTATTAATAGCTAATGTTTATCAGGTGTTTAATTTGTGCTGGGTATGAGAAAATTATAACTTACAAATGAAAAAACTGAAGCAACTTGCCCAAAGTCATCACAGTTAAGGCTAATGATAGGGCCAGGGTTAGCACTCAGACGGTCTCATTCTGAGACGGTCTCATTCTGAAACGAACTCAACGTGGCAAAAGGGCATTGAAGAAACTAATCTGGCTGCAATTGGGTGTTCACACTGGAAAGTGGTAAAAAATTAAACCTAGACAGTGAGAGTGAGACTAGACAGTGCAAAGTCTCTAATGGCAGATAAATAAGGGATTTGGATTTTATGACACACTTGTAAAGTACAAAACTAGTTTTCATAGAGCCGCTCTCTCAACTTATTTTGTTGCACTGTAATGTAGAAAATGGGGAACTCAAATTTATCTCCTACGTTTTCACCAATCCCTAATTTAACTATTCCACTTGAATTTTCTTTAGCCTGTTGATACGCTGGATCACGTGGATTGATTTTCAAATGCCGAACCAGCCTTGCACAGTTGGAATAAATCCCACTTGATCACGGTAAATCATTCTTTTTATATACTGCTGGAGCCTCCCGAGTTTTAAATGTATCCAAAATGCAAAAAGATAATGCCTTTTAAAAATGTTTGGTAATGAGCCGGACGCGGTGGCTCATGCCTGTAATCCCAGCACTTAGGGGAGGCCGAGGCGGGCAGATCACGAGGTCAGGAGATTGAGACCATCCTGGCTAACAAGGCGAAACCCCGTCTCTAATAAGAATACAAAAAATTAGCCAGGGGCCGTGGCGGGCGCCTATAGTCCCAGCTACTCAGGAAGCTGAGGCAGGAGAATGGCGTTAACCCAGGAGGCGGAGCTTGCAGTGAGCCGAGATAGCGTCACTGCACTCCAGGCCGGGCGACAGAGCCAGACTCCTCAAAAAAAAAAAAAAAAAAAAGGTTGGTATTCCCTTCAAATTTCTCCACTGCAACCAACCATTCCACTAATACCCTGTTCCCACAAACTCAAACTCAAAATCTTAGACTAATTATTTTATTGGGCAAAGTCTCTCAGCCTTTACATCCCATCTAGTGAGTGCTTAGATGTCTGAGGCTCTTGATGAACTCATGGATTTCTGCAACAAATCTTTAGTTTCTCAGGCTTCAGCCTCTCTTCATACAACTGCCAGATCAACCATCCTCAAAACCATCTTTTTTCAAAAATCCTATCATTGTTCTTTACTTATCACATCAATTCTGTTCTTCCATTTATTAATTCAAAATATATTTACTGAGTGCTTTCTATGTATAAGGCACTGGCTAGAATATTCTTATCTAGTAATAAATCTAATAAATTAGACCTTTAAAAATATTAATTATGGTAAATGTAATTAAGAAAAGAAACAACGGGCCAGGCACGGTAGCTCAAGCCTGTAATCCTAGCACTTTTGGAGGCCGAGGTAGGCAGATCACTTGAAGTCCGTTCGAGACCAGCCCGGCCAACATGTGAAACCCCATCTCTACTAAAAATACAAAAATAAGCCGGGCATGGTGGCAGGTGCCTGTAATCCCAGCAACTCAGAAGGCTGAGGCAGGAGAACTGCTTGAACCCAGGAGGCAGAGGGTGCAAGTGAGCCAAGATCGCCCCACTGCACTCCAGCCTGGGAGACAGAGACTCTGTCTCAAAAAAAAAAAAAAAAAAAGCTGGACACAGTGGCTCATGCCTGTAATCCCAACACTTTGGGAGGCCAAGGCGGGCGGATCACCTGAGGTCGGGAGTTCTAGACCAGCCTAACCAACATGAAGAAACCCCATCTCTACTAAAAATACAAACTTAGCCAGGCATGGTGGCGCATGCCTATAATCCCAGCTAGTTGGGAGGCTGAGGCAGGAGAATCGCTTGAACCTGGGAGGCAGAGGTTGCAGTGAGCCGAGATCACGCCACTGCACTTCAATCTGGGCAGTAAGAGCGAAACTCCGTCTAACAAGAAAGAAAAGAGACGCCACTGCTCAATAAACAATAGCTGTCTTATTATAGAAGGTGCTCAATAAATGCCTCTGAGTTTTTGTTTGTTTGTTTTTTGAGATGGAGTCTCGCTCTGTCACCTCCGGAGTAGCTGGGACTACAGGCACCCGCCACCACGCCCAGCTAATTTTTTTGTTATTTTTTTCAGTAGAAACGGCGTTTCACCATGTTAGCCAGGATGGTCTCGATCTCCTGACCTCGTGATCCGCCCGCCTGAGCCTCCCAAAGTGTTGGGATTACAGGCATGAGCCACCACGCCTGACCAAATGCCTCTGAGTTTTTACAATATCTTTCCTTTATCTTTTTTTTGAGACAGGGTCTCATTCTGTTGTCCAGGCTGGAGTGCAGTGGTGCAATTATGGCTCACTGCAGCTTTGAACTCCTGGCCTCAAGCAATCCTCCCACCTCAGCCTCAGCTCCCAAGTAGCTAGGACTACAGGTGCATGCCACCACAGCTGGCTAATTTCTTTTTTTCTAGAGACAGGAGTCTCACTATGTTGCCCAGGCTGGTCTTGAACTCCTGGCTTCAAGTGATCTTCCTGCCTCAGACTCTCAAAGTGCGGAGATTACTGGGCCTGGCCTAAAAAATCTTTTATAAAACTAAGTCACAATGAACTTTCTCCCTCTAAGAACTGAATTCTCCAAAAACTTTTGACAAATTTAGCTGCCCCAGTTTTATGCTTTATGGTAAATCACAGAATTTTAGACTAAAAAAGCTACTAGCCACCCTTCTACACTTTATAACAACCTTCTGGCCTGAAATACCAATCCACTCCTTTCCACCTATCGAGATTTCCCTTCCATCTCCCAGGATCCTCCAGTCAAATGGGATGTCTCCTGTGTCTCACCTATGGAGGAAGTAATGCAAAGTCAGTTAACCAGATTGGGACCGATAATGTGACATGGACACTCTTCAGAATCTATGAAGATCCCTTCCAGATACATTCTGAGATCTTCTATGTTTACTTACCTGTGAAAGTCTTTAAATCCCAAGTTTATATCATATATTGCCTTTTAAAAAATGTTTTTGTCCATAAGTAATCCCTTCACCATCTAAAACACAACAGTCTGGACCTCATTCTGCACCCAATGATAACTACCATGGCAGTTAACTGTAAACAGGAAAATGACAAGATCAAATGTGTAACATATGTAAAACACTTGTAACATATGTTGCAACATATGTAAAACATTTCAGAAACGGGAATCACGGTATCTGGAGTTGAATCTCAACTTGAGGTCTTGAATAAATTATACTTCTAACCCTGTTTCCTAATTTGTAATAACCCACGGAAGTTGAAATGTTTGTATGATGTTATGTTTACAAACACACTTTGAAAATAATAAACATCAGGCCAGGTGCGGTGGCTCATGCCTTTAATCCCAGCACTTTGGGAGGCTGAGGTGGTGGATCACCTGAGGTCAGGATTTCGAGACCAGCCTGGCCAACATGGCAATGGCAAAACCCCATCTCTACTAAAAATACAAAAATTAGCCAGGCATGGTGGCATGCGCCTGTCGTCCCAGCTACTTGGGAGGCTGAGGTGGGAGAATCGCTTGAACCTGGGAGGCAGAGGTTGCAGTGAGCCGAGATGGCCCCGTTACACTCCAGCCTGGGTGGCAGAGCGAGACTCCATCTCAAAAAAAAAAGAAAGTAATCAGCATCTATTCTAAAGGTACCATTGTTTACCCTAATCCCCAAATCTACTTTTCTTAATTCTGCTAACACTCTCACCAATCTTCTGTTCTCTTTCTCTCAAGAAACGGATCTTTTCGTCAGTTCTTTACTACCTCGTTGAAGGCCTATTACTGCTAATTTGCAATACCAGTGTTGTTCCATCCCCACGTTCCTATAATCTACATAAACTTTGTCAAAATCTGTACTTAAAATCCTCCAACGGCTTCCAATCATCAACTAACCTACCTTCTAAGCAATCTTGGTAGCCTCAAGAAATCAACTTCCACCACATCCCACACAGCTACACGGGATAAACGGCCTCCAAGTCTCTTCACGCTCTTCTCTATTTTTGGAACATTCTGAATATCCACTACCATGTGTCCTCTAAAACTCAATGTCCCCCTGCCATAAAACAAATGGCACTGCTCCTCTCTCTGAAATACCACAATATTATATTCTTCTCTTATGGACAGCACGTCTAATAGTTGTACATGTGCCTGTCTAGCCCTGTGATTGATAAATCTACACTCACAGAGCAGAGGCCGAATGTTACAGATTTCAGAACCCCAAAGGACCCATCAGGTTCTTTTTTTTTTTTTTTTTAATTGAGATGGAGTCTCGCTTCGTAGCCCAGGCTGGAGTGCAATGGCGTGATCTCGGCTCACTGCAACCTCCACCTCCCGGGTTCAAGCAATTCTCCTGCCTCAGCCTCCCAAGTAGCTGGGATTACAGGCATGGGCCACCACGCCTGGCTAACTTATGTATAGATACTTTTATTTTTTTTTTTTTTTGAGATGGGGTCTCACTCTGTCACTGAGGCTGGAGTGCAGTGGCCTGATCTCTGCTCACTACAAGCTCCGCCTCCCAGGTTCATGCCATTCTCCCACCTCAGCCTCCCGAGTAGCTGGGACTACAGGCGCCCGCCACCATTGCTAATTTTGTTTTTGTATTTTTAGTAAGAGACAGAATTTCACCATGTTGGCCAGGCTGGTCTCAAACTCCTGACCTCAAGTGATCTGCCCGCCTCGGCCTCCCAAAGTGCTGGGATTATGGGTGTGAACAATAGTACCCAGCCGGACCCATCAGATTCTTAATATTTGCAGAAGATTTTTCTAAAATGAGAGTTTTCTAAAAGTTTTCTTCCAACTTTAGAAATAAAAATCACACCATCCCATCAAAGAACAATATGTAATTTTCACCTTTAGGCCAATCATTAGTCTAGATCTACTTCCAAACAGATTGAGCTCAAAGCTTATCTTTCCTCTGAAGTATACAAGTATTATGCTAAAAACCATCACACAAAGAATACACACACAAAGCAGCTCTGATCCAGAAATGCAAGGAAAATGTATGTGACAAAGCAAGAGTATTTATCACCTCAAAGAGAACAGAGTAAAAGCTGGTTTTCCAGAAAGCATCTATTTGAAAAATAGATGTACTGAGATGGGAAAATGAAGAGCAAGACCACATATTACAAAGTAAAAGGATATACTTCTTGGTGCTACAATTTTGAAAACAGATTACTAATGTCTAATAATTTCACTCACTAATACTCATTTGTCCTCAAATAGGACATTCCTGGAAATCAAGCTCAGGGTGAATTTGTGTAGACACACTGCACTGCATGGGTGGGTTAAGCATCCCTTCAATCTCCTCCAGTTTACCATATTCCTTCTTCAATGTCTTAAGATTTTCATTGATTCACTCAACAAACATTTGACACCTACTATATGCCACAAAGTTAAACACCAGGGAAAGCAAAAGGAGTAAGACACAGTATCTGCCTTCAAGCAACTTACAGCCAGCTCCAGAGTGTTGGTGAGTGCACGTCATAGTGTTAATGGGTGCTTTAGTGATACACGGTCTAAGAGGAGGCACAAGAAAGGAGCCAGTCAAATGGGAGAGGCAGTCAAGTTAAGGTTCAACAGAGATGGGGGACACCTGACTAAGGGGGAAGGGGAGACACATTCCAAGAGTCAACATTACACTCAAAGGCAAGGAAATATACAACATGGCCCATCAAAGCCTTACAGATCCACAGACAAGCACTAGACCTACAAAATCAGAATCTGCAGTTTAACGAGAGCCCCAGGCAATCATGCTCACTAGAGTTTGAGAAGCCCTGCTGTAGAGCACTTCAAAGTAGTAGTCTGGTACGGCTAGAACGCAGGATGCCATGGGAGGGAACTCAGAAGAGTTGACGCTCCAGAGGCAACTCCAGCTCATAAAGCACCTGTGCTAAAGAGTCTGGATCTCCTTCTGGACCCAATGGGAGCCACCACAATGCTTAAGTGTAAGCAGGAAAATGACATGATCAAATTATCAGGGAGACTAGGGAATGATGAAGGGGCTGGAGGAAAAGGGATGCATTCCAAATGAAGCAGATCTAACAGGGCTTAATCATTTGTGCAATCAATAAATGGGGGGTGAAGGGAGTGAGAGATGAATGGGAAAACAAATATGTAGATATCCAGGATCTTTCTGGAAGGCAGGTAGAAACAGCAACATTCACGAAAATAGGGAACACAAGAGGAACAGATGAAAGAAGAAGGAGGGGTCCAATTTGAGCTGTGTTGGCTCTGAAGTACCTATAGTTCAAGCAGGTGGATGTGTAGTAGATGGTCCATATCTGGGAGAAACATCATCAGATAGGTAAGTAATGCCCTGAAAAATGGAAAAGGTCACAAAAGAGAATGAAAATGTTGAGAAAACACAGAAGGACCACGAGTAAAACTACCAAGAACATCAGCATTTAATAGGTGAACAGAAGCAAGAGGAATCAAGCAAATGAGACAAATCCTAAAGAGAAGAGAACCTAGAAAAATGGTGTCATCAATACCAAGAAAAGTGTCTCATGAAGGGGAAAATGGAAGACAGAGTAATATGCCAGGTCAAGGCCTAAAAAGTGGATTTGGTAATTAAAAGAGGTCCTTTCAAAAAGTTAAATAAACATACATCTTACACATACATAAGTCATTAGAAGGACAGCTATCAATGAATGGCTCTCTGGTTGACATAATTAAGGGTGATTTTTAGTTTATTGTTCCCACCACCCAGGTTTTGCAACTGTCCCTCGAGGCACCTTAAGGAATAATTTTTGCAACTGTTCTTCAAGGCACTTTTGAAATAATTTTTCAAAAATACAATAAAAAAATCAATAAGATAATAATGGCCTTTGACAGCGGTGTGACTGCAGTGGATAGGAAAGTGAATGAAAAGTGATGAAATTAAAGGGACAGAGAAGTATGGACAGGGAAGAGACTGAGAAACTTCTAGAGTAAACAGAGTTCCAGGAAAGGTTCTGTGTTTCACGTGGGCAAGATCTGGGCATGCTTACAGGATGTCGGGTAGGAGACTATATACAGTGCTCAGAGTCCAGGAAAAAGAGGGAACAATCACTTCTTTATTGCCTGCTGTCACCTGAACACACAGTGGTGAACAAGACAAAGTCCTGCTCTCATATAGCTTACCTTCTACTAAAGAAAAAAAAAAAAACCAGAGAAATAAGTAATGATATCAGACAAGTGAGGTGTGCCACGAATAAATCTACAGTGGGACCGGCATGTTTTGGATTGAGTGTTGAGGTAAGGCTTCCCTGAAGAGACATTTGAGATCTGAATGATAAGAAAGCAACTTTACAAAGATAAGGGGGAAAGGCCTTTACAGATAATGAAACTGAGGAACAGACAGGTTAGTAAGATGGCTGAGATTACGCAGTAAGTAAACAGAACCCAGGTCTGATGAACACCGAGACCACCCTTTCTACTAAACTATGTTCTCTCTTTATTCAGTTCTCCTCAAATGCAACAGTGAAGATAAAAGAAAATGTGGACCTTCCCCTGGCCTCACAGAAATGCTGAGGATTAGAAAAATAAGAGTAATGGGCACAACTTTCTCAAAAGAAACTCTGAAAGCCAAGAGATGTATATAGTTCTGTGCTCAGAGGCATGATTTCGGAAAGTTAACTGTTCAAGCCCAATAAGAAAATATAGGCAGACTCCAAATTACAAGTACGCTCCATTCCAAAGATTATAACTAAGTTGTTAAGAAATCATAAATTATTTCCTCCACGTAATTTTATGGCGAGATTAGGTGTTCAGGCTGGTCCATGAAGGTCCGCATAACCGTAGATATTATGACTCCTGTAGTAACCAACAAAGCACTTACTAGGCATCAGGCCCTATACTAAGTGCTTAATACAGATAATTCTGCAATATTCCTAACACTACTACTACTCCCACCTTATAGCTAAGGAAGCTGAGGCCTGGAGATGTTAAGTAACTTCTCTAATGGCATAATGCAGATAATTTGAGGATAAAATGCAGATAAATCTGGAGTAGGCTGCAGTCTGGGCCCAGCCTACTGCAGATCCCTGGCTCTCAGTCCTTACGCGAGCTCTCAAAGTACCTTAATTTACAAGCATCAGTCTTTCAAAATCATTTTTTCTCCAATGCTAAAAGCTCAGCACCTATCTCCCCTTCTCTGGTGGTCAGAATACTATTAATAACCAAATGAACACTTTCACCAACTTTTCTTTTCCCCTCCACTACAAAAGTCTATACCAAACCTATCTCTGATAAACCTCAAACCATGAGAGCATTTATTCGCCTATCTGACACCCACTTAGAGTTTAACTTGCCTTTGCATCCCCAGATTCCAACAGAGTGCCTTGCATGTGCTCATTCATTCAAAGACACTTACAGGACGGGAGCGGTGGCTCACACCTGTAATCCCAGCACTTTGGGAGGCCGAGGCAGGAGGATCGCTTGAAGTCAGGAGTTCGAGACTAGCGTGGCCAACATGGTGAAACCCAGTCTCTACTAAAAGTACAAAAGTTAGCCTGGCATGGTGGCGCACACCTGTAATCCCAGCTACTCGGGAGGCTGAGGCAGGAGAATCGCTTGAACCCGGGAAGCGGAAGTTGCAGTGAGCTGAGATCGCGCCACTGCACTCCAGCCCAACTCGCGCAACACCTTCTTAAATGCTGAAGGAAAACTCCATTCAAGAGAACGCAGGCAAAAGCCCAAAGTGATCATAATCCAGCGTCCAGCTTTAAGTCATCCGTGGCTCACCCAAACTCCCAACCCACTCCTCGCCGCCCCATCCCTCGCAAAAAGCTAAATTTCCAATATCTAAATGCTAGGTGGTTACTGATCACCAACGGTGACCGCACGTGGGACACCACCCAAGCTGGCCAAGTGTAAGGAAAAGACCACCACCCGACTTCCCAAAGCAGTCTTCAAAGCCCCCCTCATCTTCGTTGACCATGGGTACCCCGAGGGCAGTAAGGTCCAGGCTGAAGTGGCGGGGGCAGGATTCAAGCCGGAGGCAGGCCATGCCCACAGCCGTGACCTTCTGAAGGCGCTTAACCCTGTCACCCGAAAACCCCTGGTAGGGAGCGTGGTGCGGAGCCCGGGGAGGCTAGGTCCTGGGGCGGGGAGAAGGGTGGCGAGCACAGGCAGGACCCGGTCCCTGCCGGCACCCACGACCCCGGGGGACCCTGGCGCCGCAGCTTGCCTGGAGAAAGGGCCTGGGCACTCACCCGGCCACGGGCCCGGCGCGAGCGGCGGGCAGATAGGAGGCGGCATGCAGCCGGCCCGGGCCGCCAGGGAGGAGGCGCAGGGAGAGCGGGAGGCGCGGGGCCGCCCCGGCACGCAGCAACCAACGCGCGGATCTCAGCAGGGCTGCCATTGCTCGAACGTCCCCGCAGCGGGAAGCACGCTCCGCCAGAAGGACAGGAGGAGCATGTGACCGCAGGGTAGCCTGGCGCGGCAGAGACCAACTGCCGGGCGTGCCAAATGTGGGGGGAGCGACGGATTGTTTTAGGTTGGAAGATGGAAAACCGCACTTCTCCGAGGACAGAAGACCCAATGTAATATTTACATAAACGATGTTGCTTGATTCATTATCGAAGCTTTTCTTTTCCGTCTTCCGTCTCCGATCTGGGCATCGTGTTCATTCGCTGCACCCCTGCACTCCTCTGTTGGTAGAGCCGCAAGAGGTCAACTCCTCCCAGGTTGGCGCAGAGGCTTGTGGGAGGCCAACTAGTAAAAATACCGAGAACTCTCGAGGAGAGCCGACTATGAAGATCCCAGGACGTGGGAAGGTTTCCCCCGCCCCCGAGTGCAGATGTTGCTGCTAACGTTCAGCCCTGACGCCATGTCCAATAGGAACGGCCCTTCACTCTCAGAAACGCGGGCCGGAGAAACCGTGGAGGTCTTTTGCACCTTGCCGTTTGCCTCCCAGGTTCAACATGATAGGATGTGGATTATCAGGGCCTGGGAACAGTGTAAAGGAACGCGCAGGTCCCCACCCTAAGCGCGTACGCGGGGCCTCGCTTTAGAAAATAAATGAATTCTACCAAAAATCCTATAGTTTTAAAGCTGGAATTGAACTGACTCTCTTCCCCAACCCTCCACCCCTACCGCGCCTCTCCCTTCAGTAAATGCACATATACATGTGAGAAGTAAAAGAACAATGTAATTAAGAGTCTCCAGCCAAATATGGGGAGAAAACTGGCAAGTTAAACCCATCGCTGGCGAAGTGGCTCACGCCTGTAATCCCATCACTTTGGAAGGCCGAGGCGGGTGGATCACCTGAGGTCAGGAGTTGGAGACCAGCCTGGCCAACATGGTGAAACCCCATCTGTACTAAAAATACAAAAAATTAGCCGGGCGTGGTGGCGGGCGCCTGTAATCTCAGCTACTCGGGAGGCTGAGGCAGGAGAATTGCTTGAACCCGAGAGGTGGAGGTTGCAGTGAGCCAAGATGGCGCCATTGCACTCCAGCCTGGGTGACACAGCGAGACTCTGTCTAAAACAAAACAAAAAAACCACGTCGCTGCCTTCACAGGGCTTACAGACTGGATCGGTTCCCTGTGCACACGTGGGAAGCTGAGAACAGCCTTCCACTCCCTCTACACCTGCCTGTCCCCTACCTATCACGAGGCAAACGCGGCGGGTATTTCCTCTGGAAGCCCTCCCACGGTCATTTCCGAAGTGACTGTTTATCCCACTGGACTCCTTATCAGTTAATCCCACGAACTCCTTATCAGTAGGGACTGTGATCTCTTATTGTAGGCCATACACCTACCCAGTGCCAGACACACAGTAGGTCTCATTAAATATGTGTTAAATTAATGTCTATTTTGAGATGACCTAGCTCACCTCTCCTTTGAGAGATGAGGGAACGAAGACACCCGCTCCAAGCCCCCAAAAGAAACAAGGTGAATTGATTGACTCTGGGTTATATTACTGAGCACTGGGAATACAAGTTATTCACCTATTCAACACGTATTTATTGAATACATATCCAGTGCCATACACTATTTGAAATCCTAGGAATACAGCAGAGAACAAAACAAACCAACCCTAGATTCTAATTAAGCTCTTTAAAGTTTAATTTGGGAAGACAAAAAGAACTGTGATGCAAAATACGCCAGGGTAAAGGGATTGAGGGTGTCATGGGGGGAGTTGCTTTTTTTTTTTTTTTCTCAAGACAGGGTCTTGCTCTGTCACCCAGGCTGGAGAGCAATGGCACGATCTTGGCTCACTGCAGCCTCGACGTCTGGGCTCAAGCGATCCTCCCACCTCAGCCTCCTGAGTAGCCGGGATTACAGGCCCAAGCCCTGGCTAATTTTTGTATTTTTAGTAGATACGGGTTTTTGCCGTGTTGCCCAGGCTGGTCTCAAACTCATGGCCTCAAGCAATCTGCCTGCCTCGTCTCCCAAAGTGCTGGGATTACAGACATGAGCCACGACGCCCGGAGAGTTGATATTTTAAATAGGAAAAACGTTGAACAGAAACCTGAAGGAAGGAAAGGAGGAAGCCAGGAGAATTTTCTGGAAGGAGAAAAAAAAAAAGAGTGGTTAAGGCTTAGAGAACAGCAAACACCAAAACCCAGAGGCAATAATAGGTGTAGCCTATTCAGAGAACTTTAAGGAGGAGGACTGTGTGGATGAGAGAAAAGAGCAGGGGGTAGAGAGCAGGGGGTAGGAGTAGAGGAAGGAGCAGGGGGTGGAGAGGGGCCTGGAGGTCAGAGAGGTAGTTGGAGGCCATATCAAACAGGGTGTTGTAGGTGGCCGTGAAGACTGACTTTTATTTAGACTGAAGACTTTTACTTAGAATGAGATGAGAAACCATTGGATAGTTTGGTGTGTTGCTTTTAAAGAGATGGAGTCTTGCTGTGTTGCCCAGGCTAGAGTGCAGTGTCTATTCACAGGTGCAATTATGACACACTACAGCCTTGAACTCCTGGGCTCAAGCAATCCTCCTACCCTGGCCTCCCAAGGAAGTGGGACTACAGGTGCATGCCACCACACCCTTTTGCTTTTTTTTTTTTTTTTTAAGTGCAGTGGCACAATCTAGGCTCACAGCAACCTCTGCCTCCCCGGGTCCACGCGATTCTCATGCCTTAGCCTCCCAAGTAGCTAAGATTACACGCATGAACCACCACACCCAGTTAATTTTGTATTTTTAGTAGAGATGGGGTTTCACCATTTTGGCTAAGCTGGTCTCTAACTCCTGGCCTCAAGTGATTTACCCACCTCAGCCTCCCTAAGTGCCGGGATTATAGGCGTGAGCCACGGCACCCAGCCACCCATTTGCATTTTGAAAGGGTCACTCTATCTGCTGTTTGGAAAGGAGATTTTAGGGGAATGGGGATAAATAAAAATAGACCAAAGAGAAGGCTAATCCAGAATAGAGATGCTAGTGGCTTGGATTAGAGGGCAGCAGGTGAAATGATGAGAAAGGGTCAGGTTCTTACTCTATTTAAATAGTAGAACCAAGGGGATTTACTGATGGATTGGCTGTGGATTGTAAGTCAAGAACGGCTCCAAAGGTTTTGGCCTAAACAACTAGAAAGATGGAGATGACTCTGATTTAAAAGGAGAAAACAAAGAGAAGCAGATTTAAAAAGTGAAATCAAAAATGATCTTCTAGAATATTAAGCTTGTGCCTGCTAGACATCCAAGCGTCAAATTTGAATAGGGGTTGGCTATATGACATACAAGTCAGTTCAGGGGAAAAGTCAGAGCTAAAGATACATTTGGGAATCTGCAGCTTGTACCTAATATTTGAAGCCACAGAAATAGATGAAAGCATCTAGGAAGAAAATGCAGATAGACAAGAGAGGGAGTCCAAGGACTGAGGCTTGTGTCATTTCAATCTTTAGAGGATGTATAGATGAAAATCTAGCAAAGGAAACTGAGAAAGAAGAGCCAGAGAGGCAGGAGAACTGAGCCCAGTGAGGTCACAAATACCTGAATGAAAGAAGTCCTTCCAGGAAGGAATTATCAATCACATACAATGCTACTGTTAGTTCCAATACAATGAGCATGCAACATTGACCATAGAATTTGTTGTTTGTTTGTTTGTTGAGAATGAGTCTTACTCTGTCGACCAGGCTGGAGTGCAGTGGCGTGATCTCAGCTCACTGCAACTTACGCCTCCTAGGTTCAAGCAATTCTCCTGCCTCAGCCTCCCAAGTAGCCGGAACTACAAACACGCACCACTATGCCTGGCTAATTTTTGTATTTTTAGCAGAGACAGGGTTTCACCATGTTGGCCAGTCTGGTCTCGAACTCCCGACCTCAGGTGATCTGCCCGCCTTGGCCTCCCAAATTGCTGGGATTACAGGCATGAGCCACCGCGCCCAGCCAATTATTGCTAATTTTCTAAGGCATGATAATGGCTTTGTGGTTACGTAAGAAAAAATATGTTTAGAGATGCATGTTGGCACTGGAATATGTAGAAGTAAATTAACATGATGTCTGGAATTGTCTTTTTTCTTTTTTTTTTTTTTTTTAATGAGGCGAAGTCTTGCTCTGTTGCCCAAGCTGGAGTGCAGTGGCGCCATCTCTGCTCACCGCAACCTCCGCCTCCCGGGTCCAAGCAATTCCCTGCCTCAGCCTCCCGAGTAGCTGGGATTATACGCACCCGCCACCATTCCTTCCAATTTTTGTATTTTAGTAGAGACGAGGTTTCACCATTTTGGCCAGGTCGGTTTTGAGCTCCTGACCTCGTGATCCACCCGCCTCGGCCTCCCAAAGTGCTGGGATTACAGGCGTTGAGTCACTGTGCCCAGCCTGGAATTGTCTTTAATATACTTCCCCAAAGAATAAAAGGCCGGGCACAGTGGCTCACACCTATAATCCCAGCACTCTGGGAGGTCGAGGCGGAAGGATCACTTGAGCTCGGGAGTTTGAGACCAGCTTGGTCAACATGGTGAAAACCTGTCTCTACAAAAAAAAAAAAAAAAAAAAAAAAAGCAAAAATTAGCCGGGCATGGTGGTGCACACCTGTATTCCCAGCTACTTAAGGGGCTGAGGCAGAAGGATTGTTTCAACCCGGGAGGTGGAGGCAGCGGTAAGCTTTGTTCATGCCACTGCACCCCAGCCTGGGTGACAAAGTGAGACCCTGTCTCAAAAAAATAAAATAACAAAAATATAGAAAAAGGAAATGTGACAATATGTTGATAATCAATGAAGCTAGGTGATGGGTATATGGGAGCTCATTTTACTATTCTATTTTTTTTTTTTTTTGAGATGGAATCTGGCTGTGTTGCCCAGGCTGGAGTGCAGTGGTGTGATCTCAGCTCACTGCAACCTCTGCCTCCCGGGTTCAAGCGATTCTCCTGCCTCAGCTTCCTGAGTAGCTGGGATTACAGGTGCATGCCACCACACCTGGCTAATTTTTGTATTTTTAGTAGAGACAGGGTTTCACTATGTTGGTCAGGCTGGTCTCGAACTCCTGACCTCAAGTGATCCGCCTGCCACAGCCTCCCAAAGTGCTGGGATTACAGGGTGAGCCACTGCGCCCAGCCTATTCTATTTTGTGTATGTTTAAATATGTTCACAAAGAAAAAGAATTTAAATGCTGGTTATATTTTGATTTCGCTTCTCACTAATACGGCATGACTTGGAGTTTGAAAAACATTGTATTCAAATAGTCAATATAAATGCAAAGTAGACAAAAGCACCAGCTAAACAAATGTACCAGACTATACCCTGAGAACTGGAGACCCGTTCATAGGAACATGATTAATTGACTTCTCCAACAAATAGTAGCTCAAACATCAAAACTTGCAGTTGTTGCTAAACCATTTTACATAAAATATTAAATCTCCAAGATTGTAGCTATTATAATCTAAGAAAAAGATTTGCATGTAACACTAAAGTTTAAAAAGAAAAAAAAATTTAACTTTGAAATTCTGAGCCCAAGGTATAGTACTCAGCACCCTAAATCAGAAGCTTACAAAGCAGGTGGCATTACCCTTGTTTCTCTTAGATCAATTAATTTATTTCTTGCCTCCTAATAATTTTTTATGAATCACAGTGATCAGAAAATATAACTGATTCTTCATAACTGTTTGTCAGCCTTTTTGGAATCTATTCCAATTTTGACACAAGCACATTCAAAATAGTGTGAGCAAAGAACCAAGTGATTGCCTTAAGTTTAAAAGCCTGTTTTACTCAAAAGACTTAACATATTTTAAGCAGCAGATTTAATGTTTAGCTGTGATTATGTTTTCTCTTAAGGCAACTTGTCTGATGAATCAAGGGCTTCTCCCATCTGTGACTGCATTTTTTATATCCAAATGTATTCATGTATGTAATTCCCAATTATTCAAAAATTATTCTGCTCAGATCTTTGTTTGCACACAGCTTCAAGATTCTCACTACAAGTGGAGGTCCAATTTGCCATTGTTACACCCTTCAGCAACACTTCTGTCAAACAATGATTCTTTCAGAAGCTTACAAACCAGCAAGACAGATGCAGGGTCATGTACTGTAAGAAAGTAACCAACGCTGGCAACAAGGAGTTGTTGCTGATATTTTCCCAGTGTTACCATGTGTGAAGGCTGAAAAGTTTATGTGTTTCCCACAGGGCAGATAGTGTCTGGATAAATCAATATAGAATAGTAGTCAAACATAATTGGCATTTCAATGTACTATACAACTGAATCCCTTTAAAACATAAAATGGATATAATTCTTATATTACTGAAAATAAACTTTAGGACGTCTTTATTGAACAATCATTGTTAATGCCTAAAATGTAACATGAATCTCTTAAATTTCCTGGATAATGGATGGTTTCTGTATGTCTTGTTTTGTTTTTAAGGAACTAGAAAATGTATTTAATTTTCTTTGAGCAATGGATAATGTGGAATTTCTATTTTAGCTTGTGTATCTCTGAGGGTTGAAAAATAATTTACATTGAACACTTTTATGCAACTTGCCTTCTGATCATTTCAGTTTAATTGGGAGAGGGAGGACTAATAGAGTTTACTTGGGCTAGTACATTATGGATTTTCCGGCCGGGTGCAGTGACTCATGCCTGTAATCTCTGCACTTTGGGAGGCTGTGGCAGGTGGATCACCTGAGGTCAGGAGTTCAAGACCAGCCTGCCCAATATGGTGAAACCCCATCTCTACTAAAAATACAAAAATTAGCCAGGCGTGGTGGTGGGCACCTGTAATCCCAGCTACTCGGGTGGCTGAGGCATGAGAATCACTTGAACCTGGGAGGCAGAGGTTGAGTGAGCCAAGATCAAGATCATGCCATTGCACTCCAGCGTGGGCGACAAGAGCAAAACTCTGTCTTAAAAAAAAGAAAAAGAAAAAAAGAAGTATGGATTTTCCATTTCATTAAGTTGCAAGACACTGATGTGGCTCTTGTTCTTGGCTTCCCATCTTACTTTTCTTTCTCTTTTTAATAGATCCTACCTCTGAGCCCAGAGATGGACACATGACCAGGCCTGACTAATATATCACCCTGGTCACAATGATGATTCTGTAACAATCCTAGAGATGAGACCCAATCTACCCTAAACAACGTTTTTCCCTTGAACTAAAGGAGCTAGTAGGGAGTGTGTTTTGGTTTTTTAGGTCATGGAGCTTGAAGGAAGGGAAGACCTGCCTGCAGACAGCCTCTTCACCATGTGAAGAGAGCCCATTTTCTGTTTTTTGTTTTGTTTTTTGAGATAGGATCTCACTCTGTTGCCCAGGCTGAGTGCAGTGGCACCATCATGGCTCAACGCAGCCTTAACCTCCCAGGTTCAAGCAACCCTCCTACCTCAGCCTCCCAAGTACCTAATTTTTTTTTTTTTTTTAAATGGAGTTTCACTCTTGTCGCCCAGACTGGAGTGTAATGGTGCGATCTCGGCTCATTGCAACCTCTGCCTCAGCCTCCGGAGTAGCTGGAATTACAGGCATGCACCATCACGCTTGGCTAATGTTTGTATTTTTAGTAGAGATGAGGTTTCACCATGTTGGCCAGGCTGGTCTCAAACTCCTGACCTCAGGTGATCCACCCACTTCGGCCTCCCAAAGTGCCGGGATTACAGGCATGAGCCACTGCACCCAGCCTATTTTTTGTATTTTTTTGTAGAAACGGGGTCTTGCCATGCTGCCCAAGCTGGTCTTGAACTCCTGGGATCAAGTGATATGCCCAAGTTGGCTTCCCTTCCCAAAGTGCTGAGATTACAGGTGTGAGCCTTCACACCCAGCCAAGAGCCCATTTTCAATGGAAGATAAAAAGGTCAACATACAGAAGGATACAGATGAGAGAGGGAGAGAGAAAAAAAGAGAGGACATTCTGATGACCTATTTTGTTCCCTTAGATATAGCAGGAACTGAATTCCATTCTCGGATTCCCCAGTAAAATGAGTTAATAATTTTCTGTTGATTTCACCTAACTTGAGTAGGGTTTCTGCTATTTGCACCTGAAAGAGCCCTGACTAACGTAAAAACTGGTAGGAAGAAATAGAGTGGCACAATGTGCTTACTAAAGCTAGAGTTTCAGGAAATTTTTTTGGAGAAAAATATCAGGATAGTAGAGTTTGTTTGTTTGTTTTTGGCCTTCATTAACATTCTGGACGAAGGGAACAAACTTCACTCCACGCTAAATCATTTGAAAGCAGGAGAATGGCAACAGCTTTGTTGAGCAGTCCTCTCTCCAGTTGCCTCAATCTCAGACCACTGACAGTCACATAAGCTAGGTCTTAGAGAATTACCAAGGCTGAATTCTGTGCCTGAGCTTGCATTTAGTGTGACCGAAGTCAAGGAAGTGGACATCACAAGAGGAGATTACTGGGTTCCAAGAGGGGTCAGAAAAACTGGGCGAAGCCTTAAAATTCAGATTGCTCCCAAACCCTCCTTTTCTGTACCCCTTACCTGATGAAAGCAACAATTTCTCCATTTGTAAAGCACCATCCTCTAAGGTTCATCTTGGAATCAAGTGACATGTCCATTATTATATTACCAGTTTACAGGTTGGGTTCCCAGGGAAACAGATTCTAAGACTCAGATTTGAGCCCAGGAGGTCTATTGGAGAGTGCTGTAGGGAATCATATTTGAGGGATGAGGGAAACCGGATTGGGCAGAAGGAGAGATCAAATTACGATGCAGTTGCAACTGAGGCCTCCCTCAGATCCTACAGAGAACTTTGGATCTCAGAAGACCCTTCAAAGTTATTCTGCTTTCAGCCAAGGCAACTGGGCCTTTATACTCCATTACTGAACAGTCATTGGCTGTAGACTCTCTTCAGGGAAGAAGCATGGCCTTGAGTTAAATGAAGGCAGGGGGGTTCCCAAAGAAACTCAAGCTGAGAGCCATCAGCTGCCAACATGTGCAGCAGCTGAGGAAGAGTACCTCAGCCCTAAAGGAGGAAACCCAGGTGGTGAGCCACATCATCTGCTATGCCGCTCTATTGTGTCATATCACTCAGAGGAAAAGGTTGTATTAAAGTTGTTAAGATACAACCAAGAGCCAGAAATTACAAGGACAGGGTCCAGATACAGGGACTATGACTTGATAAAATTTTGGCATTGGTTACTACCTAATGTAAACCGTAGGAATTAGATAGTCAGTTGACTAGTGTTTTAAGGGAAATGTATTAGCAGAGAAACTATGACTCTTGTAAATAAGGACTTGTAGTTGGCTCAAAGCCTTAGGCCATCTCTTATGCAATCCCTATGCCCTCTGAACACACCAATAAGAATTCTCTTCAATATTGATTTAAGATATGGCCATGGTGGTAATGGACATGAACATTATTCCATCAAGTAGAATTGTTACAGTCAGATTGCAGACCAAGAAAAATCACCTCTGCTGCCAGGGAAAGAAGTCTTTATAAGCCCTGCCCAACAGGAAATGGTATTTGCTGTGCACTGACTGTGACTTCTGTTGGTTATTTCCTCCTTTTCTCATTTTTAAATGTGAATTTTTATTGCAATCCGCCTGGTTTTCTTCCCACCACTATGTGTTGAGCCTGTTGGGTTAGATAAATTTATAATTTATCCATAGACTATTAGATCACAATGAGCCACATTCAGGAAATGTGGTACACAAAGCAGGATGTATAAACGATGTCTGTCTTGGGGTTGTCTCCCACTAAAGAGTGAGTGGCATGTTTTCACTTGAGTGTGGTTCAGTTGAGTTGTTAGATTAAATCGCTTTTTGAATTAATTATAGAAAGAAAGGTATGTGTTTGTGTCTGCATCTTAGAGGTCAAGGAAAAGATCGTGTCATGTAGCTGTCATTCCACACTGTTTCCCCTGCATGCATACTTCTTCTGATTTCCAGTATCAGCCTCCACCTCTGGCCACAGGGATCAGCACGTGATGCTGGACCAGCATATGACAGAATCACATCTTTTTGGCTAAAGTCATTCTTTTTGGGGACCCAAACTAGGCAATCTGAATAATTCATTTGATTTTACTGACTGCAGCTAGTAGGAAAGATGTCTGATCTTTGAGTCATAAGCCATGAAAATGTGAATCAGTAAATGCTGGTGGCCACTCTCCCTGCCTCCTCCCTACCCTCTGAAGAAACCTGTGTGTAGTAAGAGAATGAGGGCTACAAAAGAGAAACGGAGCCAAGGACTAGAAAGAGGCCTGATGATGACTTTACCGGGGTTTCTACATTCAACTGTGTCCAAAGCCAAAGTTACCCCTGGACTTTCCAGTTACATGAGCCTATACATCACCTTTGTACTTAAGCTAGTTTGAGAGAGGTTTTTACTGCTTGCACTAGGAAAAAGCCTGGCTTAGGTTTTGGATAGGACCACCATTCTCCCTGGTGTTAGGTTTAATTTTTTTTTTTCTTAGATCCCAGGATGGACTGAATAGGTTTAATTCTTTAACAGCATGTTTCCTCTAAACATGAGTAAATGTGTATTCTTTATTCTTATTATTATTTAAATGTTTTAATTAATTCTCTGTGTTATCATTTCTTTTTATCATTTTGTTGATTATAACTTCATTACCCTTTTTTTTTTTTTTTTTGTGAGATGGAGTTTCACTCTCGTTGCCCAGGCTGGAGTACAATGGCACTATCCCAGCTCACTGCAACCTCTGCCTCCCGGGTTCAAGCGATTCTCCTGCTTCAGCCTCCCAAGTAGCTAGGATTACAGGCATGCACCACCACGCCCGGCTAATCTTGTATTTTTAGTAGAGACAGGGTTTCTCCATATTGGTCAGGCTGGTCTCGAACTCGTGACCTCAGGTGATCCGCCCGCCTCGGCCTCCCAAAGTGCTGGGATTTCAGGCATGAGCCACCGCGCCTGGCCAACTTCATTACTTTTTTTAAAATGAAGCATTAAAAATGCTGAAAGATTAAAACAACTAATTAGTATTCCAGAGTTTCAACAAAAGGGCCGGGTGCAGTGGCCCATGTCTGTAATCCTAGCACTTTGGGAGGCTGAGTTGGGCAGATCATTTGAGGTCAGGAGTTCGAGACTAGCCTGACCAACATGGTGAAACCCCAACTCTACTAAAAATACAAAAACTAGTTGGGCGTGGTGACGTCCGCCTATAATCCCATCTACTCAGTAGGCTGAAGCAGGAGAATCGCTTGAACCCAGGAGGCAGAGGTTGCAGTGAGGAGAGATCATGCCACTGCACTCCAGCCTGGGCAACAGAGCAAGACTCCATCTAAAAAAAAAAAAAAAAAGAGGGAGCAAGTCAAGGATAAGTGAACTTTAAAAAAAATCAGATTTTTTTTTGTTTTTTCATTTTAAATTCAAATGACAAAATCAGATATATTCTAAATTGAAACTAACATATCAAAGATATTCCACAGCAAAATAGTGCAAAGGTTAAGGAAGGACACCACAGGGCAAAGTTGAAACGGCCTGCCGACCAAGGGGCTTGGAAATAAGACTTTCAAAAATAAAAGTCTATAAGCCGGGCACAGTGGCTCACACCTGTAATCTCAGCACTTTGGGAGGCCGAGGCCGGGAGATCACTTGAGGCAGATCACAGGAGTTCGAGACCAGCCTGGCCAACATGGTGAGACCCCTTGTCTACTAAAAATACAAAAATTAGCCAGGTGTGGTGGTACATGCTTGTAATTCCAGCCACTTGGGAGGCTGAGGTGAGAGGATTCCTCGAACTCAGGAGGCAAAGGTTGCAGTTGGGCCGAGACTGCAACACTGAACTCTAGCCTGGGCGACGGAGCAAGACTCTATCTCAATAAATAAATAAATAAATAAATAAATCTCAATTAAATTCTACACTGCACACTACCACTGTCTCCCCAGATATAATTAGATGCTCTAGAGGCCTTAGTTTCTTCAATTTCCACAGATCCCATAACATATGTAACATATGTATTATATGAACTCCCCAGGTGATTCTGTTGCACACTGAATTACAAATTGATTGAGCATATTATGTAAATTAACTCATAAGAGTTAATTTACATAATACCTGAATTCTATTACTAACCACTTTTTACAAATGAGGAAACTTAGGTACAGAAAGGATAGGTTGCTCAAGATCACACAGCTTAAGTGGCTGAGCCAAGTTTGAAACCTTGGCAGGCTGGTTCCAAAGCCAATGAGTTTAACCACTACAAAGTACCGTTTGGAAATAATGGCCTTAATGCAAAGGCACAGCATTAATGATGACAACTGCAGGTAGGCCAGTAGAAGACATATTTGGGTTCGTTTGGGGTCATTCATTTAACATTTTATTAGTCCCCCTTTTATTCAGTTAGTCCTGCCTTCTCAACTATATCAGAGTTCCTGAGAACACAGGTCCAGTTTTACTTCTCTCCTTGCTTATAACACCCAGTGCAGTACACTGTTAGGTGTTGGCCAGATTTGGAAGTGCTAAATTGGCTTTAGAAATCTGTAAGTTGGATGGGCATGGTGGCTCACACCTGTAATCCCAACACTTTGGGAGGCCGAGGCGGGCGGATCACCTGAGGTAATGACCCCAGGTGGAGGGAGTTCGAGACCAGCCTGACCAACATGGAGAAACCCCATCTCTACTAAAAATACAAAATCAGCCAGGAGTGGTGGCACATGCTTGTAATCCCAGCTGCTTGGGAGACTGAGGCAGGAGAATAGCTTGAACCTGGGAGGTGGAGGTTGCAGTAAGCCGAGATAGTGCCAATGCACTCCAGTCTGGGCAGTAAGAGCAAAACTCTGTCTCAAGAAAAAAAAAAAAAGACAAGAAAAGAAAAAAAGAAATCTGTAAATTTTAGATTCACTGGGGCCTAAAATAATGAGATTTATATTACATGTGATCAGTTCCTACCTTTTTGCAATTTTAGATGTTTAGCTAGATACTTTCTTCCCTTAGTCACATCAGATATCCTTTTGTTCATCTGCATTACTCAAAATTCACATTAATTTTACCAAGTTGGTGCAAGAACGTTCCCTTCCTGCAGCTGAAAGCAGTTCTTGAAAGATTTTTCTTTTGAGAAAGCTTCCAACAAGCTCTTTGCTCTTTGACTTTTGTTTGCTTCCTAGAAATGCACACGCTTGGACAAAATTACTTTATCCAAATGCCAGTGATTGAAAAGACATTCTAATTATCTGTTGATGGTAAATCGTAAAAGTTGTTTGGGAACCCATTTGTTGAGCTTGTGAATGTTCAGAGGAAAGAATGGTCTACCTAGTACCTCTAAAATAAGTCTGGTATTTGTAACTGCTGTAGGCTTGATTGCATTGAATTATAAATTGAATCATTACTAACTTAACCTCTGGGAGGTTTTCAGTGATTGTTTTATTCATCTGTACTGACTATGCTGCCCACAGCAACTCTGGCAATGATTCCCCTAGTGGTACGAAGGGGCTGCCCAGCCCTGCTGCAGAAATTCATGATGGCTGCATTTGCCTGCAGAATTTGGAAAGATCTAAGGTCTTTGGAGACTAGAAATGTGTTTTTTTCCTTGTCTTAACTGGCAGTATGAGCCTCTGGCATTTCAAAGTGCAAGTCATTAGTGTCCACCAGGGTGATGTTAATCTGTCTGTGTTTCAGTCTCAGGACATTTTCCAGTTGCTTCTGCCACAGCAATCTCTGCCATCTCAGTGCTTTTGATGCCCCTTGTGAATTCAGGAAGTTCCACAGTGCTAGCAGGACTTCACAAAAACTAGTTGCTCACCGATCTTTCTCTTCCATCGTTCAAAGTCATCCTTAAAGAAGCCTTGATGCTTGCTTAAAAGGTGGTGCTTTTGTTGGGCATTTAAAAATATAAGCTGAGAGAAAGCTGTGTTTTCAGACAGTTTCATTCTGTCGCCCAGGCTGGAGTGCAGTGATGTGATCTCTGCTCACTGCAAACTCTGCCTCCCAGGTTCAAGCGATTCTCATGCCTCAGCCTCCCAAGTAGCTGGGATTACAGGCACGCACCACCACGCCTGGCTAATTTTTGTATTCTTATTAATAGTAGAGATAGAGTTTCACCACATTGGCCAGGCTGGTCTCGAACTCCTTACCTCAAGTGATCTGCCTGCCTCGGCCTCCCAAAATGCTGGGATTATAGGCATCAGCCATAGCGCCTAGCCTGTTGTTGTTTTTAAATTCTCAGGGGAAAGAAGACTTTTTTGTTTTGTATTTAGGGCTTGAGTCACGTAGTCTGGGGAAGTTAAGCTGATGTTGATAACATTCTACTGGAGCAGAAAGATGTGGGATTGCCAGAAGGCAAACACAAACAAGGCACTTGAATAGTTGGAAGGGACTCAGGAAAGCCAGAGGGTCCAGGTGACACTGAAAATGGGTGTGAGGGGCAGGAATTGCCAGGACATCCTTTCTTCCTCCATCTTCCTGGCATGACTGAGCTAAATCTCCTGCTGTCTGAGCTGTGGTTTGGTGGGGGACCGAAAGCGGGGAGAGTGCTCTCCTCCTGTCAGATCTTTCCAGACTCCCCAGTGCGTTAATATGACATGAAGCCAAACCAAGCCGAAGAGCTAGCTGGCAATTGTGAAGAGCCTTGGCCTTTTATTTAATCATCAGAAAAACCAAGGCTCGTAAGTGCTGGTAAAGTGCCAGATTAATTATTCAGAAACGAGTGACTGAGATTGGACCAAGTATTGTCTCATTAGCATGCAGTGTCCATGCTGGAGTCTGGTTAGAAAAGCCACAGAGACTACAGGAGGGGTCGATGGGAAGGGAACCAGAAGAAAAATAAAACTTTCTCTTTCTTGTACTGTGAAATCTCACACTATTGGAATATTCCCCTGCCCCCAAATATAGGGTACTCTCCAGTAATATGCCTTGGCCCAGACCCTGTTCTGAAAGAGGCAAGACAATTATTCTGCCAGCCCCTTGCATCTGTGCCCATAAACTTGGCCTTCTTTCCTCTTATAATGCATTGTGTTTAAGGCCAGCGCCCCTCTCATTTACATTCAGATCTCACCTCCTCCTCTTGCTTACTGAAGGACATACTTTGCTTCTGAAATTCTCTTTCTCCTGCACAATTCATTCCTCCTCTTTGTTAAGTGATCGCCATCAGCATGCATTCTCAATTTCTATCTTTAAAAAAACCTCTTTAGCTAGGTGAAGTTGCACACCTGTAGTACTAGCTACTCAGGAGAGAGGTTGAGGCAGAAGGATCACTTGAGCCCATGAGTTCAAGGCTGTAGTGTGCTATGGTCACACACCACACTTTAGCCTGGACAACACAGCAAGACCCCACCTCTAAAAAAAAAGAAAAATTTAAAACTCTTTAGACTCTATTTCTTCCTCTAGAAACTCCTCCTTTTTCCCTCTTTACAGTGAAAGTCCTGAAAAGAGTTTTCTCTACTGGTTTATCCTCTGCTTCCATTCACTCTTTTTTGGGGGGTGGGTGGTGGGGGACAGAGTCTCTCTTTGTCGCCCAGGCTGGAGTGTGATGGCGCCATCTCGGCTGACTGCAAACTCTGCCTCCTGGTTTCAACCGATTCTCCTGCCTCAGCCTCCCAAGTAGCTGGGATTACAGGCACACACCACCACACCTGGCTAATTTTTGTATTTTTAGTAGAAACGGGGTTTCACCATGTTGGCCAGGCTGTTTTTGATCTCCTGACCTCAAGTGATACACCCACCCCAGCCTCCCAAAGAGCTGGGATTACAGGCGTGAGCTACCACGCCCTGCTCTCCATTCACTCTTGAACTTACTCCAAGCAGACATTTGTCCCCGCCATTCCACAAATAACCTTCATGTAGCCAACTCCAGGAGTGAATACTTTTCCTAAGTCTGTTTACTGGATTTCATCCTTTTTTCAACCTCTAAAAATTTCAGTGCCCTGGGATCTCTGGGTTTCTTTCCCTTGACAATTTCCTCTAATGCTGTGGCTTTTTAGACCACCTTTATGATGATGACATCAAAATTCCTATCCCACTTCTCCTCTGAGGTCCAGTCCCCAATCCCCACTGGAATGTTTAATAGATATATTAAACCTCATGTTCGAAGCAGAACTCTTCATTCCCCACTCTCCCTGACTCAAACTGCTTCTCCCACAATTTTCTCTTTCTCATTCATGGCTCTTCCTTTGTTTTGTTTGTGTGTTTGTTTTTTGAGACGGAGTCTCACTCTGTCACCCAGGCTCACTCTGTCACAATCTTAGCTTACTGCAACCTCTGCCTCCTGAGTTCAAGTGATTCTTCTACCTCAGCCTCCCGAGTAGCTGGGATTACAGGCACCTGCCACCATGCCCAGCTAATTTTTTATATTTTTAGTAGAGACGGGGGTTTCACCATGTTGGCCAGGCTGGTCTCGAACTCCTGACCTCAAGTGATCCACCCGCCTTGGCCTCCCAAAGTGCTGGGATTACAGGTGTGAGCCACCGCACCCGGCCACATTCAGGACTCTTTCCTTCTCCCACTTGCCACAGGCAAAAACCTAAAAATCATCTCTTTCCTCCCCTCTCTCACACCCAGTGCATCCTATTTTTCAGTCTGTCAGCTCTACCATGAAGACACCATTCCATTCCAAAACACTTCTGACTCTCTGATCATCATCTCCCACCACTGTCAGCTCTCACCTGGACTACTGGAATAGCCTCCTAACTGCTCACCTACAGTCTATTTTCCATATGGCAACCAGTCTTGTGTTTTGTTTGTTTGCTTTGAGAAGGAGTTTTGCTCTTGTTGCCCAGGCTAGAGTGCAAGGGCATGATCTTGGCTCACTGCAACCTCCTCCTCCTGGGTTCAAGTGATTCTCTTGCCTCAGCCTCCGGAGCAGCTGGGATTACAGGGGCCCACCACCATGCCTGGCTAATTTTTTTGTATTTTTAGTAGAGACGGGGTTTCATCATGTTGGCCAGGCTGGTCTCAAACTCCTGGCCTCAGGTGATCCATGCCCCTCGACCTCCCAAAGTGCTGGGATTACAGGCGTGAGCCACTGTGCCTGGCCCAAAGTAATATTTTAATTACATAAATTTAATAATTTTATTCCTCTGGTCAAAACTCCTTATGGCTTTTCTATCACAATTGGAACAAAAAGTCCCCCAAGGTTGCATGAGATGCCACGTCATGTGCTTCCTGTTCATTTCTCCATTCTCACCAACTTGCTAGCTGTTGCCACCTCTTCCTACTCGCTGTAGCCTTCCTGTGGTATCTCCAACACTTAAAGTTTGTGTGTCAGATGACATAGTATCAGTTTTCATTTATAATAACAGCATGTTGAGCTTCAACTATGTGCAAGCCACTATACTAGGCATTTTACATACATAATTTTTAATCCTAACCATGAGTTTTCAGTGTAGACATTACTATCTCCTCTTTGCAAATGAGCAAACTGAGGCTCAGACAGGTTAGGTAATTTGTCCAAAGTAGTACAGCTAGATAGACAGTGGTAGAGCTGGAATTCACATCTACGTGTTTGCGATTTTATTTTATTTTATTTTATTTTATTTATTTTATTTTATTTTACTTTATTTTATATTTTATTTTATTTTATTTTATTTTATTTTATTTTATTTTATTTTATTTTATTTTATTTTATTTTATTTTATTTTATTGAGACAGGGTCTCACTCTGTCACCCAGGCTGGAGTGCAATGGCACGATCTTGGCTCACTGCAACCTCTGCCTCTTAGGCTTAAGTGATCCTCCCACCTCAGCCTGCCTAGTAGCAGGGACTACATGCATGCACCACAGTACCCAGCTAAATTTTCAGTCTTTTTTTGTAGAGACAGGAATCTCGCCATGTTGCCCAGCCTGGTTTTCAACTCCAGGACTCAAGCAATCCACCCACCTCAGCCTCCCAAAGTGCTGGGATTACAGGCATGAGCCACTGCACCCAGCCTTGTGTTCATGATTTTAAAGTCTAAACCCTTTCCATTGCATTATACTACCTGTTTGTGACCAGGATACTGACTTAATCCTCTCAGGAAAATTTCACTTTTTTCTTTCAGGATTGGGGGCTGGGTTTATGTCTGGGTGCTCACCATAAGGCTGACCTACAAGCCTTTGAAAGAGTTTGCTGAGGTAATTGATCCTGTTTGTAAAATCCTTGGATCTCCAGGAGAGAATGTGGAGGAAAGTAGAACATCTTCCCACCTGAGTGATGGGGCCTGCAGGACTGGGGAAAACAAGCTCCTGGGGAACGGCTGCATTGAAGGCTCTCTTTTGTCTCTAAATGCTAATAGTTCTGGATTCAGAATCTTTTCTCTCTTTGACTGGACCCAGAAATAATAAAACAAAAACCTTACAGCATATAATTTGGCAATTTACTGGTATGGTAAGCTCACAAGAATTTTGTTCTCCTTGACAAGGCTCAGCTAATTCTATCAAAATAAATCTCTGAAGGAAAAAAGCTTTCTTTTAAAGTCAATGAGAAGCTTTTTAAAGAACAAAAATAACACTTTAAAACTGATATTCTGTGTATCTTCTTTCTCTTCTCTTTTTCAGAAGAAATCCTGTCCTTTTTGATAATAGAAAATAAGAAATGTCCGGGAGAAAAATGTCAAAATTTGGCATGCTATGAAGAGTGGAAATTTCTTCCAACATTACATTTTGAATTTTAAAGCGTTTTGAGCACAGATTATGCAGGGGTCAGGTTTCCACAGCCACATGTATCCTTTGTCAGTGACCATGCCCATGAATGGCCTCACAGTATTTTTCACTCAGCAGACCTTGACTAAGAAGAAAACCATTATGAAAGCCAAGTATTTTAGCATCTTCTCCAACTGGTCTCTCTTATGTTTGCTCTCTCAGGCTTCATGGACACTTCTCTGTTGTAAATGTGTTTGATCAGAGATGTTTTTCCTGCAGGTAAATCGCACAGCAAGGTTGAGCAGACAAGCTGAATTTTGTATTTCAGTAAAGCCACATCGACTGTGTATGTGTTCAACATTGTGCTAGGTGGTATAAACGCTACAGTGCAGAAGAGGAAGATAGCAAAAACACGTTTATGAAGAGTCTGTTGTGTGCCAAATAATTTATACGATATATAATTTTATAACATATTGGGTAAACATTATTCTTCATGGTTAGAGAAGAAAGGAAGCTGTGACAAATTAACTCACTCATAGGCAAGCTAGAGTGAGGAGGAATGGAGGAGCTAGGACTGAAGTCTAGAATTGCCTGATACAAAAACACCCCACCCTTTCCATTATACTACATTAGTACAAAATCTAAGTTGAGATTCCCTTCCAAATGTGCTATGCTCCAATAAAATTTTGCCAAATTTGCCAAATGCCACTGATAAAGTCTGAAGGAAATTGGAAAAGAGGAAGATGCAAACATGTCTGGATTTCCAAGGAAGGTTTCATGGAGGAGGCAGGGTAGGGGCTGGGCCTCAAAACCTGGCGGGGCTTGTATGACGAGGGAGGAAAGTCACAGCAAAGGAGGGGAATTACAGGCTGGGAATCAGAAGTTGCCAAGAAGTAGAGGGGAATTACAGTGGCATGTGAAGAGTGAAGAGGTCATTGCTGTCACTGCTGCTGAGGGTGCGTGCTGAAAGCAGTAGCAGATAAGGATATGCAGGTATTAGGACCAGATTGCAGAGGACTTTCAAAGCCAGGTGGAGTTTTAAGTAGAGATATGGTGGAAGGTAGTGCAATCAACTGAATGATTGTGTAACTTGCCAATTCGTGTGTTGAAATTTAATTCCCAATATGATGGTACTTAGAGGTGGGGCCTTTGTGAGGTGACTAGGTCATGAGGGTGGGGCCCAAAAGAATGAGATCCATACTCTTATGAGAAGATGCCCGAGGGCTGGGCATGGTGGCTTACGCCTGTAATCCCAGCACTTTGGGAGGCTGAGGCAGGTGGATGGCTTGAGCTCAGGAGTTCAAGACCAGCCTGGCCAACATGGCGAGACTTCATCCCTACTAAAAATATAAAAAATTAGCCAGGTGTGGTGGCATGTGCCTATTTTCCCAGCTACTCCAGAGGCTGAGGTGGGAGGATCTCTTGAGCCCAGGAGGCAGAAGTTGCAGTGAGCTGAGATCATGCCACTGCACTCCAGCCTGGATGACAGAGGGGAGCCCTATCTCAAAAAAAAAAAAAAAAAAAAAAAGAGAGAGAGTCCAGAGAGCTAGCTTGCCCATCTCCATCATGTGAAGATATTATGGGAAGTTGGCAGTACACAACCCAGAAGAAGGTCCTCACCAGAACCCAACCATGCTGTCGCCCTTATCTTAGAACTGTGAAAAATACATTCATGTTGTTTATAAGCCACCCAGTCTATGGTACTTTGTTATAGCTTCCCAAACTGGCTAGGGTGGATAGAACATATGACTTTCAGAGGGGAAAGTTTTATAATTAACTGAACATGATAGAATTCTCAGTGTATGTGAATCTTTTACACACATTGGAATACATATATCATAATTTTGTTTGGTTCTGCAATATAGTAAAGTTATTCTTCAGATAGAATATAAAATATACACAACTATGACCACTTTGACATAAGCGCTCAACAGGACCTTCAATCCATCATCACCAGGGTCCCAGAGTTAAGAGAAACAACTGTGTCTACTTAGCCGATGGTGGTGTGTCAGCACCATGGACAGCGAGGCAGTAGCGACAGACTGCATCTACAGGCAGAGGAATTTAGACTTCTGTAAGGTAGTAGGTCTTTCGCATAAAAGCAGTGGAATGGAATCTTTCAGTGAATTTCAAAGACTAATCTTTTTCCCAGGCTTCCTTTTCTTTGGATTCCCACCAGGGAAAGGAGAACCTCACGTGTGCTGACTCTGAGGATCTGGTGTACAGATGCACACATGTGAACATGCTAGTGTGTGCACACATGCAACTGAAAGCTTTCAGAAAATTAAAACAAATTCATTTTACAAAGACTAAGGACCCTGGAGGAAGAAAATAGGGAAATTTTAAATTGGCACTTTTGCCCTCCTGAACACAGCCTTCCCTGAGTACCAATGCGTAGAACCAAATTGGCCGTGATGTTGAGCATCCTGAGATCAGACAATTCTCCCTGGTCTGAAGCCCTCAGCTTGCCTTTGGCTGAGGCCCAAGATGGAAAAGGACAAAAACAAAACAAAACAAAACTGCAGAGGTTAGGTGGCCTAATTCTTTTTTTTTTTTTTTTTTGAGATGGAGTCTCACTTTGTCACCCAGGCTGGAGTGCAGTGGAGAAATCTTGGCTCACTGCAACCTTCGCCTCCTGGGTTCAAATGATTCTCCTGCCTCAGCCTCCTGAGTAGCTGGGATTACAGCTGTCCCGCACCACGCCTGGATAATTTTTGTATTTTTAGTAGAGATGGGGTTTCACCATAATTGGCCAGGCTGGTCTCGAAATCCTGACCTCATGATCCACCCACCTATGCCTCCCAAAGTGTTGGGATTACAGGCGTGACCCACCGGGCCCAACTTTTTTCTTTTTTGTTTTGGTTTCTTAAGTCTCATTTGCAAACTTCTTGACCAGGCCTAGCTTGAGGTTGAGCCTAAAGAACATCTCAGGGGAAGTGTATAAAATAAAAGGATTTGAGGCCAGGTGCAGTGGCTCACTCCTGTAATTCCAGCAATTTAGGAGGCTGAGGCAGGCAGATTACTTGAGCTCAGGAGATCGAGACCAGCCTGGGCAACACGACAAAACTCTGTCTCTACAAAAAATACAAAAATTAGCTGAGCATGGTGGTGCACACCTGTAGACCCAGCTAGTTGAGGGGCTGAGGCGGGAGGATAGCCTGAGCCCAAGAGGTAGAAGTTGCAGTGAGCCAAGATCATGCCACTGCACTCCAGCCTGGGTGACAAAGTGAGATATTATATCAGAAAAAAATAAAAAGGATTTGAAAGAGGAGTGTAAAGTGATTTACAGTCTACAAAAAGGCATCTGCAGCACATCTCATTAAAAATCAGGGCGGGGTATACAAAAAATTAGCCGGGCGTGGTGGTGGGCGCCTGTAGTCCCAGCTACTCGGTAGGCTAAGGCAGGAGAATGGCGTGAACCCGGGAGGCAGAGCTTGCAGTGAGCAGAGATCACGCCACTGCACTCCAGCCTGGGTGACAGAGTGAGACTCCATCAAAGAAAAAAAATCAGGGCAGGGTGGGCAATTCTGTCACTGAGGGCATTATCAGTTCTGCTGTTGTTGAAGACATTAACACAACTACGATAGGACCACTTTCTGATAATAAACCCTCAGTGGATAATGCAGTCTTATTGTTTTAAGTCTTTAGCATGGCATTCATGGGCTATTGTTCCAGTCTTTGTCTCCGGGCCAGCCTCATACTCATCACAAGTTTCTACTACTTTCCTCTAGAGCTTTGCCCCAATCAGACCTTATGGGCCTCCATGCCATAGTTCTTTCTTTCTTTTTCTTTCTTTTTTTTTTTTTTTCAGACAGTTTTGCTCTTGTTGCCCAGGCTGGAGTGCAATGGCGAGATCTCAGCTCACTGCAACCTCTGCCTCTTGGGTTCAAGCAATTCTCCTGCCTTAGCCTCCTGAGTATCTGGGATTACAGGTGCCCACCACCTTGCCCAACTAATTTTTGTGTGTGTGTGTGGTGGATTATCATAGGCGGTGGAGTTAAGAGCAATGTTTTGCGGGTGGGGGTGGATCTCACAAAGTACATTCTCAAGGGTGGGGAGAATTACAAACAACCTTCTTAAGGGTGGGGGAGATTACAAAGTACACTGATCAGTTAGGTTGGGGCAGAAATAAATCACAATCATGGAATGTCATCAGTTAAGGCTATTTTCACTTCTTTTGTGGATCTTCAGTTGCTTCAGGCCATCTGGATGTATATGTGCTAGTCACAGGGGATATGATGGCTTAGCTTGGGCTCAGAGGCCTGATATTCCTGTCTTCTTATATTGATAAGAAAAACAAAACAAAATGGTGGTGAAGTGTTGAGGTGGCGAAAATTTTGGGGGGAGGTATGGAGAGATAATGGGCGGTGTTTCTCAGGGCTGCTTCAAGCGGGATTACGGGCGGCGAGGGAACCTAGAGTGGGAGAGATTAAACTGAAGAAAGATTTTGGGGCAAGGGGTGATATTGTGGGGCTGTTAGAAGGAGCATTTATCGTATAGAATTATTGGTGATGGTCTGGATGCGATTTTGTATGAATTGAGAAACTAAATGAAAGACACAAGGTCCAAATAAGAGAAGGAGAAAAACAGGTGTTAAAGGACAAAGAATTGGGAGTACCCAGGACATCCAATTACAAAGCGTCCAAGGGGGTTCAGCATAATTACTTGCTTGGTTGGCACAAGTTTAGGCTCTATCCTTGAGTTTTTTTATGTTGTCATATACCATGCCAGATTGATTTAGGTAAAAACAGCATTCTTCATTTAAAAATATACAGTCTTCTTTTTTTAGCAGTGACTAAGTCGAGGCCTTGGCAATTTTGGAGGAAAGAGAAATGCAAAGCCAGCAATTGTTTGTTAAAGAAGGATTAGAAATGGCTAGGAAAGAGTGAGTTTGATATTGTGGTGGAGATAGCTGGGGAGAGGTAGAGGGTGTCATAAGAACGGGAATGAGAATTAGAGTAAGTATAAAAGTAAAGTATAGGACTTCATCAGGGTGAAAGTATTGGAGTGTACTTTGTCACTGAAGATATTCTATCCACTTAAAGAGAGACTTAAGGGTGGCAGTTTGAGGTAAAACCAGGCGCCACTGAATACCAAGAGACTGATAAACTGCTTCGGTGATTTCACTAATAAAGGCCGGTGTGTTATCAGATTGTATCAAGGTGGGAAGGCCAAACCAAGGAATTATGTCTGACAGACGGGAAGAAATGACCGCGGTGGCCTTCTCAGACCCTGTGGAAAAGGCCTCTACCCATCCAGTGAAAGTGTCTACCCAGACCGAGAGGTATTTTAGTTTTCTGACTCGGAGCATGTGAGTAAAGTCAATTTGCCAGTCCTGGGCAGGGGCAAATCCCTGAGCTTGATGTGTAGGAAAGGGAGGGGTCCTGAACAATACCTGAGGGGTAGTAGAATAGCAGATGGAACACTGAGAAGTGATTTCCTTGAGGATAGATTTCCATGATGGAAAGGAAATGAGAGGTTCTAAGAGATGGGCTAGCAGCTTGTAACCTACATGGAAGAGGTTATGAAATGACGACAGAATAGAATGGGCCTGTGAGGCTGGAATGAGATATTTTCCTTGGTCTAAGAACCATTTGCCTTGTGTGGGAAGAGATTGATAGGTGGAAGTTTCAGCGGGGGAGTAGGTGGGAGTGACCTATGATGAGGAGAAAAACTGGCCATGAGGGACAGAAGTTTGAATTCTAGCTGCTTCTTTAGCTACCTTATCAGCATAAGCGTTGCCCTGAGCGATGGGATCTGATGCCTTTTGGTGGCCCTTGCAGTGTATGACTCCAGCTTCCTTTGGAAGTAAAGTGGACTTGAGAAGAGTTTTTATTAAAGAGGCATTAATGATGGAGGACCCTTGTGTAGTGAGGAAACCTCTTTCAGCCCCTATAATAGCATGGTGGTGCAAGATAAGGAAGGCATATTTAGAGTCAGTATAAATATTGACACATAGTCCCTTTGCAAGGGTGAGGCTCCGAGTTAAGGCAATGAGTTCGGCTTGCTGAGAGATAGTGGAGGGGGGCAGAGTGGTAGCCTCAATGATAGATGTGGAAGATACTATAGCACAGCCTGCCTTTGCTAGTGCGTGGCGATTAGGCCGGGTGGAACTGCCATCAATAAGCCAAATGTGATCAGGGTGAGGAACAGGAAAGAAGGAAATATGGGGAAATGGGGTGAGTGTCAGGTGGATCAGAGAGATACAGTCATGGGGGTCAGGTGTGGTATCCGGAATAATGTAGGAGGCCGGATTGAAGACTGGGCCAGGAGCAATGGTAATGTGGGAGACTCAACAAAGAGTGAGTATAGCTGAAGGAGCCAGGGAGCAGAAAGTATATGCGTCAGGTGTGAGGAGGAAAATAGATTTTGGAAGTTATGAGAGCTGTAGAGAGTGAGTTGACCATATTTTGTGATTTTTAGGGCCTCTAAAAGTATTAGGGTGGCGGCGGCCACCACATGCAGACATGAGGGCTAGGCTAAAACAGTTAGGTCAAATTGTTTGGACAGAAAGGCTACAGGGCACGGTCCTGGCTCTTGTGTAAGAACTCTGCACAGCCCTGCAATTCGGCTGTGTGTAATGAAAAGTGTTGGGATGAGTTAGGGAGATCTAGTGTGGGGGCAGCTTCTAGGGCTCTTTTTAAGGAACAGAAAGAGGAGTGGCGAAAGGATTTAGGATCTATGGGGTCAGCTAGGTTTGGTTTTGTGAGTTGATATATTGGTTTTGTTAGGATGGCAAAACCAGGTATCTAAAGGCGAAAGTATCCTACCATGCCCAGGAAGGAAAGGAGTTGTTGCTTTGTAGAAGCGTTTGGGAGATTAGCCGGACACAATCAGCAGAGAGAGCACATTTGTTTTCATGAAGAATTATGTCGAGATAGGTAATGGATGAGGAAGAAATTTGGGCTTGACTGAAATAATGGGGGCTGTCTGTGAAACCTTGCAGTAGTATAGCCCAGGTATTTTGCTGAGCCTGATGGGTGTCAGGGTCAGTTCGAGTGAAAGTGAAGAGAGGCTGGGATGAAGGGTGCAAAGGAATAGTAAAGAAAGCATGTTTGAGATCCAGAACAGAATAATGGGTTATGGAGGGGTTGTGGAGGGATGTATTGAGGATAGGAGAGTATATGGGTTTGACACCACAGGGTGGGTAGGCAAAACAACTTGGTTGATAAGTTGCAGATCCTGAACTAATTGTAAGACTTGTCCAGTTTTTGAACAGGTAAAATGGAATTCTAAGGAGAGTTTATAGGCTTTAAAAGACCATGCTGTAACAGGTGAGTGATAACAGGCTTTAATCCTTTTAAAGCGTGCTGTGGGATGGGATATTGGCATTGAGTGGGGTAAGGGTGATTAGGTTTTAGTGGGATGGTAAGGGGTGCATGATCGGTTGCCAAGGAGGGAGTAGAGGCATCCTATACTTGTGGTTTAAGGTGGGGAGATACAAGGAGAGAATGTGAAGGAGGCTTTGAACCGGGGCAAAAGGCAGCAATGAGGTGTGGCTGTAACCCAGGAATAGTCAGGGAAGCAGATAATTTAGTTAAAATGTCTTGACCTAATAAAGGAACTGGGCAGGTGGGGATAACTAAAAAGGAGTGCATAAAAGAATATTGTTCAAGTTGGCACCAGAGTTGGGGAGTTTTAAGGGGTTTAGAAGCCTGGCCGTCAATACTCACAACAGTTATGGAGGCAAAGGAAACAGGCCTTTGAAAAGAAGGTAATGGGGAGTTAGTAGCCTCCGTGTTGATTAAGAAGGGGTCGGACTTACCCTCCACTGTAAGAGTTACCCAAAGTGTCTGTGATGGTCCAGGAGGCTTCCGAGGTGATTGGGCAGCGTCAGTCTTCAGCCGCTAAGCCAAGAAGATCTGGGAAGGAGTCAGTCAGAGAGCCTTGGGCCAGAGTTCCAGGGGCTCTGGGAGTGGCTGCCGGGCGAGTTGGAGAGTCTGATTTCCACTGGGGTCCCACACAGATGGGACACGGCTTAGGAGGAATTCCAGGCTGCGGGCATTCCTTGGCCCAGTGGCCAGATTTCCGGCACTGGAAGCAAGATCCTGGGGGAGGCGGTCCTGGAGGAACACCTGGCCGCTGTGGTTCAGGCGTTTTGAAGTTCTTGTGTGCTGGAGATGTGGCTGGGGTTTCTCTCACAGTGGAGGCAAGTAATTGCAACTCAGAAATACGTTGCCTCTACTCTATTATTGTACACCTTGAAGGCTAGGTTAATTAAGTCCTGTTGTGGGGTTTGAGGGCCGGAATCTAATTTTTAGAGCTTTTTCTAATGCTGGGAGGGGATTGGGTAATAAAATGCATATTAAGAGTAAGGCAGCCTTCAGGAACTTCTGGGTCTAGGGTGGTAAAGCGTCTAAGGGTTGCTGCTAATGGGCCATGAACTGGGTTGAGTTCTTATATTTGATAAAAAAGAGCCTAAACGCTAACTGATTTGGGAGAGGTCGGATAAAGAAAAAGGAGCATTAACCTTGACTACGCCTTTAGCTCCAGCCACCTCTTTAAGGGGAAATTTTTGGACAGGTTGGGGAGGGCTAGTCGCGGAACAAAACTTTAAGCCAGACCAGATGTGAGGAGGGAAGGTGATAGAAGGATTTTAGGGTGGGGGGAGCAGAGGCTGAGGAAGAATTGGGACCTGGCTTGGCCTGGCCAGGAGCAGCCTGGGGAGAAGGGGAGAGGTCAGATGAGTCCATAGAAAAGAAGGATTCAAAGGACTCAGAGCTTGGGGTGGAGACTGAAGGAACAGACAGGAGAGAAAGAAGAAAGATTTGGGATGAGTCTCACTGGGAGCAGAGACTCGGGCGGGACCAATGTGTAAAAGAATGCCTGGATGTCAGGCACCTCAGACCATTTCCCCATTTTTTTGACAAAAATTATCTAGATCTTGTAGGATAGACAAATCGAAAGTGCCATTCTCTGGCCACTTGGAACTACTGTCAAGTTTGTATTGGGGCCAAGCGGTATTGCAGAAGAAAATAAGACGCTCAGATTTTAGGTCAGGTGAGAGTTGAAGAGGTTTTAAGTTCTTGAGAACACAGGCTAAGGGAGAAGAAGGAGGAATGGAGGGTGGAAGGTTGCCCATAGTGAAGGAGGCAAGTTTAAAGAGAAGGGTAGAGACACGGAGAAGGGGGGTGGGGAGCAGCTCTGGGCTGCAACGTGGGTGAGCAGCCAAAGCAGGCGTCCCCGCAGTTGACTTGCCACCAAGGGAATGTGGGTGAATGACCAAGGCAGGCATCCCCGTGGAAATCAGACACCAATGGAACGTGGGTGAATATCAGAGAGGCATCTCTGCAATGATTAAACACCAAGGGAAGGCTGCCTTCCCAAGTCCGTGACCGGTACTGGAGTTTTGGGTCCACGGATAAAATGTGTGTCCTTTGTCTCTACCAGAAAATGAAAAGAATTGAAATTAAGAGAAGGGAGAGGCCGGGTGCAGTGGCTCACACCTGTAATCCCAGCACTTTGGGAGGTCGAGGTGGGTGGATCACAAGGTCAGGAGTTTGAGACCAGCCTGGCCAATATGGTGAAACGCTGTCTGTACTAAAAATACAAAAAAATTAGCCGGGCGTGGTGGCACATGCCTGTAATCCCAGCTACTCTGGAGGCTGAGGCAGGAGAATTGCTTGAATCCGGGAGGCAGAGGTTGCAGTGAGCCCAGATCGCGCCACTGCACTCCAGCCTGGGTGACAGAGCGAGACTCCGTCTCAAAAAAAAAAAAGAGAAGGGAGAGATTGAAGGGTGGTGCCAAGATTGAAAGGAGAAAGAAGTTGAGGGATAGTGAGAGAGGTTGGAGAAGAGAGTAAAATGAGGCTGCTTACCCGAATTAAAATCGGTGAGATGTTCCTTGGGCTGGTTGGTCTGAGGACCTGAGGTCGTAGGTGGATCTCTTCATGGAGTGAGGGTGAGGACAGGGGACTGGTCTCCTGAAGGAGTCCCACTGACCTGGGTCTTCAGCGCCAAATGTCTCACGTGTCCATGTGAAGAGACAACAAAACAGACTTTGTGTGAGCAACATGGCTGTTTATTTCACCTGGGCGCAGGCGGGCTGAGTCCGAAAAGAGAGTCAGTCATTTTTTATAATTTTAGTAAAGATGGGGTTTCACCATGTTGGCCAGACTGGTCTTGAACTCCTGACCTCAGGTGATCCACCCACCTCGGCCTCCCAAAATGCTGGGATTACAGGCATGAGCCACCTTGCCTGACCATAGTTCTTGCTCTTTGGCCCCTTTGACTGGCATGGTCTAAATACACCACATCTTTGTCTCTTCATAAGGGTTTTACTCATCTTTTAAGCCTTTTGTTTTCATTTACTTCTACTAATCCTTCCACTAAATCAGGACTTTTAAGGCACCAATCAATAATGCATAGCTTTGTATATTGGTACTCTGTGCATTTGAATTACTCTAGCACTAGATTGTTAACTCTTTGAGAGCAGTAATTGTGACTTATGTTGTATGTCTGTTGGGAAAGTTCTGTGTATCAAGCTACACATGCATACCAGTTGTCCAATTAGACCTTCAACATAGACTGTGAAAGCTGAGAACTTCTTAGAAGTGAAGGAAAAAAAGACAGGACCTGAGTGGATTGCCACCAGTCACCCTCTTCTTTCTGCCTCTCTTGAATTTCTTTGCGCAAAAAGAATGCAGTGTTGGTGTCCTCATTTAATCATTACTATGGTTTTTGAGGCTCTTAAAATTAACTTTACCCTAATGCTTTTCTAAAATGCCACTTGACAACAGTGTACAGGTATTTTACATAACTACTGTATACTGGAGGTGTCTTCCATAGAATGTAGTGATCAAAATCCAGATCATACTTATATCCCGTCAGTGTTTCCATTCTAAGCTCCTCTCCGGAAGGATTTGTTACTTATTTTTTAATTTGTATCAGGCTCCAGCCTGACATTGGAGTTCTCGGTCCTGCTATAATGTAAGAATCCTTTTCTGCCTCAAAATGTATATTTTAATCACTACAGCAATTCAACGTGGAATGCTGTGTTTCTCTGCTGGGGAAGCCAATTCAATCACCCACACCTTCTGGGGGCAACTTTGATGGTCAAGGCTGTGGGACTGCTCAGGATCCCCTGTGAGGCATCCTATGGGTTGGATGTCATCCTTGAACCCAAGTGACTCAAGGGCTCTCAGCAACATAAGCCACGTGTATTTCCTCACCCTGAGTCCTCATTGGTTTATTTTTTGTTTTGTTTTGTTTTTGTTTATTTTTGGGTTTGTTTTGTATTCTTTTTTGAAACAGGGTCTCACTCTGTCACCCAGGCCAGAGTGCAGTGGTACTATCACAGCTTATTGCAGCCTTTACCTCCTGGGCTCAAGCCTCCTCCGATCTCAGCCTCCTGAGTGGCTGGAACTACAGGTACATGCCACCATGCCGGGTTAATTTTTTAATTTTTTTTTGTTTTGTAGAGTTGGGGGTCTCACAAAGTTGTCCGGGCTGGTCTCAAACTCCTAGGCTTAAGCAATCCTCCCACCTCAGTCTCCCAAGTAGGTAGGACTACAGGTGCATGCCACTTTGCTTGGCTAGTTTTTTTTTTTTTTTAATTTTTATTTTGTAGACATAAGGGTCTCACTATGTTGCCCAGGCTGGTCTTGAACTCCTGGGCCGAAGCAATCCTTCCACCTCGGCCTTCCAAAGTGCTGGGATTACAGGTGTAAGCCACCACGCCCAGCTGAATTCGCGTGTTAAAGTGCTAAAGACAAGAGACCTCCAGACATTTCCTGGACAGGAGGCCTGAGCTCTTCTCTTTTGATACATGCTGACCTGGGCTAGCAGTGGACTCTCAGGAAAACTGGACACTCTCTGATCCTCACTCTAGGAGTCAGTCTTGTCTTTTCTTTCCTCTAGGTTTTTTTTTGGGGTGGCCTTTGAAGACCCAAGTTTATTATCCCTTCACTCCTCCTAATTCTGAGAACTTTGTCCCCAGCAGGGTCAGGGAGTAAGAAGGGAAGTGCTTGCTTCTCATAGGTCTACTTTAGGGTCAAGGGCATTTCCTATACCTCATCTTCTCTTTTCCCCCAATCCCTATTCCCTTCTGGTATTCAATTTGTTTTTAGGCATCTCTAGTGGATTTTCACCTTCTTTATCTTTACATTGATTTTCCTGTGGTACCTCTGTGGTATCAGAGGGTAGAGAGAGGCAGGGATTGAAAGAATAGAAGGACCAGGTGCGATGGCTCCGACCTGTAATCCCAGCACTGTGGGAGGCCAAGGCAGCAGATTGCTTGAGCTCAGGAGCACAAGGCCAGCCTGGGCAACATGGTGAAACCTTCTCTCTACAAAAAATACAAAAATTAGCCAGGTGTGATGGTGTGCACCTGTACACCCAGCTATTAGGGAGGCTGAGGTGGGAGGATTGCTTGAGCCTAGGAGGCTGAGGCTGCAGTGAGCCATGATCACCTCTCAGCACTCCAGCCTGGGTGACAGAAGAAAGAAGGAAGGAAGGAAGGAAAGAAAGAAAGAAAGAAAAGAAAGAAAAAAAGAAGAAAGAAAGAAAGACAAAGAAAAAAGAAAGAAAGAAAGAGAGAGAGAGAGACAGAGGGAGGGAGGGAGGGAGGGAGGAAGGAAGGAAGGAAGAAAGAAAGGAAGGAAGGAAAGGAAGAAAGGAAAGGGAAAGAATAGAGGGAAGGTAACATTGGCTCTATGGACCAGGTGTGGTGGCTCATGTCTGTAATCCCAGCACTTTGGAAGGCCAAGGCAGGTGGATCACTTGAGGTCAAGAGTTTAAGATCAGGCTGGCCAACGTGGTGAAACCCCGTCTCTACTAAAAATATAGAAACTAGCTGGGCGTGGTGGCAGGTGCCTGTAGTCCCAACTACCCAGGAGCCTGAGTCAGGAGAATCACTTGAACTGGGAGGCGGAGGCTGCAGTGAGCTGAGATTGTGCCACTATTCTCCAGCCTGGGTGACAGAGGGAAACTTGGTCTCAAAAAAAAAAAAAAAAAAAAAAAACCAGTTGGCTCTATTGATTGTTACAACACAAGCCTGCTGTGGGAATTTCTATATTTAGAGGCTTCTTGCTTTGGGAATTTTATCCAAAGACTCACTGTGTAGCTAACGCCAATTACTTACTTGCTTTGTTTCCTCAAATGTCATGGGAGGCGATTCATAATTTAGTGCACTCAACAAACATTTATTGAGTAAACAAGATACAGACCCTTTCCTTATGCCACTCACAAGCTAGCCATGGTAATAAACAATTGAACAAACACTGACGATACAAAAAGGAAGTATAGGCCCAGAGGAAAATGTAACAGGGGCTCTGACTGGAAAAGGCTTAAAGGTGTTTTCCCAGAAGAAATATCATTTTAGCTAAGGCCTGAGGATGAGTGGAGGTTACTTGACAAGAAATGGGGGGAAAAATCGAGGCTGAGGTCCTGAGGCTGAGCAAGTCTGTTCTGTGGAGTGTATTTAATGAGTTGGGTATTCAGAGCAGATTCTTTTTAAATGCCCCCTTCTCTATTCCACAAAATTATTTGGTAAGAATCATAAGATAAAAGAAAGAAAATAATGGCTAGAAAAATGAAAATAGTGAAAAATTTCTTTTATATAATATCATATATATATAATGATGCCTGTAAATTTTATTTATTTATTTATTTATAGAGACGGGGTTTGGCCACGTTGCCCAGGCTGGTCTCAAACTCCTGGATTCAAGTGATCCACTCGCCCTGGCCTCCCGAAGTGCTGGTATTACAAGCGTGAGCCACTGCACCTGGCCTGTAAAATGTAAAGAAATAAAATTAAATAGATACTATGACAGAAAAAGGAAAAGAGTAATAAAATGATGTTTAAAATTCATAATGTATTTTTCAAAGGGGAAAAACTAATACCTATGTATTGTTCTGTAGCTGAATAATAATATTATAATTTCTGTTTTTGAGATTTAACTTCTGCAGATTTATCAATGACTACATCAAAACTGGTTTTATTTGCATGTTCCCATCCAACAATCAGTATAGCTAGATTTTTCAACCCACCTTCACCTACAGTTGATCAAGGAACATTTTTATTCATTTTATTGAAAAGTTTCTTTCACATGAAGCAACAAAAATCAAATAGGGTAAAGATTCATAAAAATTCCACTTCATAATAAATTCCACAAGGTGCAATACTTTTCATGTCTTTTGCCCTCTGACTCTAGACACTTCTGAATGTTTCCATTTGGAGCTTTTGTGTTAAAAATTGTGTTTCTTAGACTTGACAGTCACTGTACTGTTATTGTTATTTCAAGTCTACTGACAAGAGAGGTTGGTACTTTGTACATGTGGACAATTTCTCCTTTCACTAGAATATGTAGTAAGATACATATTCACAGAAATATGTAGTATGCTGGGAGCTGAAGACTTGAGAGCAAGAATGATTCCAAATGATTGTAAACTTACTCTTGAGACAAATACATAGAGCTGAGCTCATATGCATGGGACTTGACTGTATACTTGAGTGTTCCAAAGTACCTTTTACAAAGACTGCAATGATTATTAAGAGATAAGTAATAAAATTGGGCTAATTTGAAAGTTATATATATTAATTATATACATATAATTAAAATTAACAGTAATTGCAGCAATTGTTTAGTACTTAAGACTTACGAAAGATTTGTTGTTTGTATTTTATGAATTCCCTTCAGCCAAAAATGACAAGGGACACAAATTAGCTGGGCGTGATGGTGCACACCTGAAGTTCCAGCTACTTGAGAGGCTGAGACTACGGGCACACATCATCAGCTAATCTGTAATTGAACAAGTTGGGTTTATTATTTGTTTGCATAGAGGGAGGACACACACCATGAGAACCCATGGGATGTCTCAGAAATAGGATATTAGAAAAAACCTATTTGGTTTGGATCTGGGCTTTAGTTGGGTAATTTGCAGGAGGGTCTAAGGAAGCAGGGGTTTACTCTGGATTGGGTGCCATTAGAAAGTGGACGCAATTCTATGATTTGACATTTTAATAAGTCTTATAGTGGGAGAGACCAAAGACCAAAACTGTAATTGATAAAGAAGCTGGAGAGTGGGATATATGGTGCTCTGTGTTGCACAGTGACCATGTCTGAAGTGGATGTTCTGTGAAACAATGCATCCCATTCCTGCCCTCACCCAGGCAGATTGCTCTCACCATTCCACTCTTGGTTCACCACTGCTGATCTGTTTGAAAAATGAATAGTTTCTTTTGTCGGATCAAGAGGTCAAGGAGATGGGGAAGTAGATGACAGAAATTGGTCATGAAGGGCCTAGTCTGTCAAATTAAGTCAATTAAACTACATCTAAAAATAATATGGAACCATGAGAAGGTTTATGTAAAGATTATTAGATTACTATTTTAGAAAAATCCCTCTGTAAGGAAAATGGACTGGGGAGGAGGTTAAGACTAGAGGAATCTTTTCTGCAATAATCCAGGCAACCAGGTGTGGTGGCTCACGCCTGTAATCTCAGCACTTTGGGAGGCTGAGGTGGGTAGATCACCTGAGGTCAGGAGTTTGAGACCAGCCTGGCGAACATGGTGAAACCCCGTCTCTACTAAAAATACAAAAAAATTAGTTGCGTGTCATGGTGCATGCCTGTAATCCCAGCTACTCAGGAGGTTGAGACAGGAGAACTGCTTGAACCCGGGAGGTGGAGGTTACAGTGAGCCAAGATCACGCCATTGCACTCCAGCCTGGGCAACAGAGTGAGACTTCATCTCAAATAATAATAATAATCCAGGCAAGAGATAATGATGAGTTGAACTAAGATGCTGGAGAAATGAGGACAGATTTGAGAGCTGGATGACGGGTAGAATGAAAAAGCCTTAGTGGCTGGCAGTATATAGATTTGGGGGAGTCAAGGATGACTCCAACCTGAGCAGCAGGGTGGTTGGTGAGTCTATTTTCCAAGCCATGGAACACTGGAAGAAGACACGGTTTGGGCTGAGATGGGAGAAATGATGAGCTCAATCTTGGACGTAAGTTTAAAGTTCCCATGAGGCATTTCAATGGAAGTGGGTAGTGGGTAACAGAGTCAGGATATCAGAAGCCATTTCCCAACTGGAGAAACATTAATTAATATGACAACTATTTTTTTTTTTGCATTTGCTATACTATACACCATACCTGCCACAGTCCTGATAAAGACACAGCAGTTAACAAAACAAAATTCCTATCTTTATTGACAAATAAGCGAATAGTACGTCAGATGGTGATAGAAAAACAAAGCAGAGAGAGGGGATAGGGAGAATTAGTAGGATATAGGTCTGAGATATAAGTTTAGAATTAGTTCCTTGGCTTCAAGAATTTGTGATAAATACAAATTCTGATGACCTTCAAGAAATGTCAGGATCCAGTCTCCAGTGGCAAGGTCCTTTCTATTTAAATCCATAACAGGGTCCACTCTGCTATTCGCCAGACTTCCCAGATCATAAGAATCACCCAGGAGGCAGAGGTTGCAGTGAGCTGAGATTGCCTCACTGCACTCCAGCCTGGGCAACACAGCCAGATTCTGTCTCAAAAAATAAACAAACAACAATAACAAAAAAACCTAAAGTGGCTTGGAAATTGCCACTTAGTGATTGGGAAGATTCCAGGAAATATTAATTTTTAAGAACATGGTTTATTCTCTTAGTTTCTTTGTCACAACCCCAAGTAATTTGGCAAAAAATTCTTCCTCCAGGCTAGATCCTATAGGTTGCAAGAGATGATATGCTAACTGCCCTCACAGAACTTACAGTTTAGTTGGGAGAAATGACTTCTGCACATGAAACCAAGAGCAGAGCTTAGATTTAAAATGAAAATAATCACACTTGGACATTGCTGGGTTGTCTCAGTTCCCAGGGGGATTACAATGAAGTGCACCCACTCCAGAACTAAAATGTATAGGACTGAATTGATGAGACTAGCCATCTAGAGAGAGACCCTTTAGTCTGAAGATGGGTGGCCAAACACTGTCAGATACCCTCAGCCTGAAACAGAATCCCCAGAAAAACATTGGGATGGATGGAGCCAATCAGAAAACAACAACAAAAAGAAAAGCAGTGATTTTCCTGGAATCTGGAAAATGGCATGAGGAGAATGGAGGATATACAAGATAAATAAATTCTTACCAAGTGTCTACCAAAGGCCAGGTTTGGGACTACTAGGCAACTGATGTTTCAACCCACGACAAGCTTGTGAGGCTGATTGTGCCTTTCTGCTTTATAGATGAGGAAGCCACCTCAGAAAAATTTAGTAGCTAACCCAAAATAAAGAAATTGCTTAAAGTCTATTTGACTTCAAATGCCAAGGATAACTAGGTAAGATTAACTCAAAGACAAATTTTTAAAGCTACAAGCTTTTTGTCTATGATAGTTTCTCTCTTTCTCTCCTCCCACCCTCAGACTCTTTTAAATATTTTTATTATTTATTTATTTATTTATTGATTTATTTATTTATTTAGAGACAGAGTCTTGCTCTTTCGCCCAGGCTAGAGTGCAGTGGCGATCTCGGCTCACTGCAAATCTACCCCCCAGGTTCAAGCGATTCTCCTGCCTCAGCCTCCCAAATAGCTGGGATTACAGGCGCCCGCCACCACACCCGGCTGATTTTTGTATTTTTAGTAGAGACGGGGTTTCACCGTGTTAGCCAGGATGGTCTTGATCTCCTGACCTCGTAGTCTGCCTGCCTCAGCCTCCCAAAGTGCTAGGATTACAGGCATGAGCCACTGCACCCGGCATATTTATTTATTTATTTATTTTTGAGACAGAGTCTTGTTCTGTCGCCCAGACTGGAGTGCAGTGGCACATTCTTGGTTCACTGCAACCTCCACCTCCCGGCTTCAAAGGATTCTCACGCCCCAGACTCCTGAGTAGTTGGGACTACAGGTGTGCACCACCACGCCCGGCTAATTTTTGTATTTTTAGTAGAGACAGGATTTCTTCCTGTTGGCCAGACTGGTCTCAAACTCCTGACCTCAAGCGATCAGCCTGCCTTGGCCTCCCAAAGTGCTGGGATTATAGGCGTGAATCACCATGCCCAGTCTCCTTTAAATATTCTTGATACTCCTATAGTGTCTGTTGACACGCATGCACTGGCTGTGGGAGCAATTCGGAGCTAGGACATGCAGCAGTTTCTCCGCCAGCTGAGTTGACAGCCTGGTGGACACACTTTTCCCACTTGTTTTTGTGGGACCAGTAGCTGTCAGAGACCTCCACCTCAAAAGCGTGACTTCTCCTGTCATAGGGTAAGGCTGCCAGGAGTCAGATTTTGAGATGAAGTTTAGCAGTGAGTTGATTGATTAAGGAGTGCTCTCATGATCAGTATTTACAGAAAGAAGGAGAAGAAACTGGGATTGGGTAGAAGTCGAGTTGTAATGCCATCCCAACAAAGGCCTCAGTTGATGCCACGGGGAACTCTTTAAGCACTAGGATGACCTCTCAGAGTTGTCCCAACTTAGGCTGATCTTAATACCCCACACTGATAAAAAAAAATCCTGGCAGGAAGTGTGACCTCAGGAGAGGCAATTTTGTTCACGCAAGTGCAATCTTCCTAGGGGACTAACAGCCGACGGCCAAGTTCCAGTAGCACTGCCAGTGGCTAGGGGAAAAAGACCTTCACTCCTAGAGGGGAATCTGGACCATGCATCACAGCGTTCACTACAACTTGCAAAAATTGTAGAGGATCGGCCAGAGTTAAGACTTTAGCCCAAATGACTGTTGCCGCTTTCCATCCATTTCCCATTTCCCATGATTTATCAGTTCATATTTGTCCATCTCATTTTATTTCAGAATACGGCAAATCAAAGCTGATTTTCATTCCTATGCTAAGAGGAGAGGTGTTGTCCAGAAGAATAAACCATCTCACCGAAGAGAAGGGTAAAAATAAGGGAAAATTATACAAGACTGACCCCATTGTTACAGTTGATTGGTTTACAGTGGCAAGACATCAGAACCACATGATGGGTCCACTTAATGGATGGGTTTTTGAGAATGGCTGGTAAGCGGGTGCCATGTTAGTTCTGGGTCAGATTGAAAGGTCATGCCTAGTTCCTTTTCCAGCCACTGTGCGACTCTCTTCAAAATATAGAGAAATCATTGGGGGGAAAAGCAAAGAACACACCCTCACACCGTGACCATTCTCCCACTTGGTTGTCAGAGTCCCACTTTTCTAACCACAGGGTCTCCAGTGCAAGCTCAGAGATGAGAGAGAGGAATAAAATATCTTTTTACAATGATCATAATAATCCCCAATCTCTGCTCTCCCTGGAGGCTTATTTTGAAAATCACAGCGATTTAACTTGTTAGCAGTTTAATTCACTTTTAAAAGATTAACCAGACTAATTATTCATCAGATTTCACCATCATTGTCAGCCTCAATAAGGATCTTTTGTTACAATGATTAATGTGTTTTAATTGTATCTTCTCTCAGAGCAATAATTCGATCGCACAGTATTTGCCGAATCTATGGAAATCTTGGAAATGCTTTGACAGCTGAGCTATTCTTGGGAAATGAAAGTAAAGGAATATATGTAACTAACAAAAAGTGTTTTATAGTGTATCATTAATATGGATTTTCTTCCTCTCTGACAGAGACCTTGCTCTACCAGCTTCAGTCCATGAAGCTGCCTGCTGTTCAGTCAGTTTGCCATTCAGGGACATCATAGATCAACTAATACAGCTGACTAAACTGTCTCCAGTTGGTGTCTTCAAATATATGCTAGTCATAGTAATACTCAGAGCAAATATATCTAGGTCACAGGGAAAGTTAGTCAACTAGCCAGTGTCCATAAATAATCATCCAACTAAGAGACTGGATCCTGTGTTGACCATTTTGTTTTCTACCTAATGCTTCATCCTCATTCATTTAACTGGTGGCTGCTGTCCAAGTTAAGGGTTTTTAGAACAGCAAAAAGGTTTGGAGAACCTGATAGAGAGATGAATTATATGTGGCCAATACTAATTTCAAACTTAAAATGTGTTTTAATATTCTTATTTTTTAAAGCACAGTGGTTCTAAGAGCTTTGGGATCAGATCTGAATTTTATTCTTGGCACTACTACTTATTAATTATGAGAGCTTGCTGGAAATTAGCAGGACCTAGCCTCCCTGAGCCTTGGTTTCCTCATCTCTAAACTAGGTATAATAATATCCACCTCATAGTGAGAATTAAAATGAAGTGTTACATGTAAGACTTAGTATACTTCCTGGACTACAGTAAGCATTCAATAAATTGTTTTTGAAAAAGCGATAGGCCTTCATAGTGCAAGACAATCATATGTACATGAGCATTTCAGATGATAACAATTACCCTGAGATCAGTAAGAAAGGTGTGCTGTTATTGTTTTTGTTTGTTGTTTTCAGACAGGAAAACTGGGCACAAAGAGATGTGGTAATCTTTGTAAATTGGTCATGTATGTTCATCAATAAACTACTTGATCAAGCACGAAGTGTGCTCTACAACCCACAGAGGCTGACTTCCATTCCTGCTTTTTCAACTGCATCCTTGGAGGCACCAAGGGCTCTGAATGAGCAGAGTGGTTGAGAACAGAAGTAATTCATTATTTGTTGACAGACTTTAGCCCTGCTGTTGTGATTACATGAATGTAGTAATTTTTTAAAGCACAGTGGTTCTAAGAGCTTTGGGATCAGACCAACAAAACCAGGCATAACTTCACTTAACTCATGTCAAGCCAAGGAGGTAAGTATCACTCTTCCCCAAATTTGACAGCTGAGGATACTGAGGCTTAGAGATATTTAGTAATGTGCTTTGACGGATTCAAACCCAGATCTGTCTGATTCCAGAGTCTGTTTTAACCATACACTATTTTGCCTCCTGCCAGTCCCACTTAGAAAAATGCAGTTTTAAACAGGGTCTAACTGAGACCTATGAGGTCTATATAGTAACCAATGACCATTTTTTGAATTATTGTGCTAGTGCTTCATACACCCTGACTCCAAATTTTATTTTCTTTTTTTTTGTTGAAACAGAGTCTTGCTCTGTTGCCTAGCCTGAACCGTAGTGGCACAATCACAGCTCACTGTAGCCTCCTTCTCCCAGGTTCAAAAGATCCCCTCACCCCAGTCTCCCAAGTAGCTGGGATTACAGGTGTGCACCACCATGCCTGGCTAATTTTTAAATTTTTTGTAGAGATGAGGTCTCCCTGTGTTGCCCAGGCTGGTCTTGAACTCCTGGACTCAAATAATCCTCCTGCCTTGGCCTCCCAAAGTACTGGGATTAGAGGAGTGAGCCACCATGCCAGGCCTAACATTTTCCTTAATTTCAGGGCCACAGTTTGGGAAACCCATTGTTCCCTCACTTGGGCATCAGCACTGTCTGTGAAAAAGGATTACATGGTCAAACATTAGAGGGTCAATTCTTCCTTAGATATTTGTAACACAAATTTGCATAGTAAAGGCTCTGAGAAACACTATTATTAAAACAAATTGTGTCAGCCGGGTGCGGTGGCTCATGCCTATAATCCCAGCACTTTGGGAGGCCAAGGCTGGCAGACCATGAGGTCAAGAGATCAAGACCATCCTGGCCAACATGGTGAAACCCTGTCTCTACTAAAACACAAAAATTAGCCAGACATGGTGGCGGGGGCCTGTAGTCCCAGCTACTTAGGAGGCTGAGGCAGGAGAATCGCTTGAACCCAGGAGGCGGAAGTTGCAGTGAGCCAAGATCCTGCCACTGCACTCCAGCCTGGCAACAGAGCAAGACTCTGTCTCAAAAAAATTAAAAAAAAAGTGTTAAACCTGATTCCTCAACTTATTTGACCACAAAACCCTTCTTTTTAGTTATAATAATTAAGAACCTATGGGAACTCATTTAGATTCATTTAAATAAAAATCATTGTGAAATTTTTTAGCACCCAGTATACCCCAGACTGCTCTCAGAACTTCATATGTATTAACTCACGTTATAATATTCTTAATGAGGCAGGTATTTTAAAAATAATCTTTTCAGGTAGGTATTTTTATTAAGCAGCTTTCCCAAGATCACCAACTAGTAAGTGGCAGAGCCAGGACCTGAACTGAGGTTGCCTCTCTCTAAAGCCTATGCTTCCTCAGCTTCCATGGAAGAGCTAAGAAATAGTCAGTCATACGCAAAGGTATGCTGTGTTTTTTCCTACTTTAAATCTAGGATAAATATGCAACACCAAATTACCATCTGATCACATGGACCCAACTAAAGGGGAAAAACAACAGGCAAAGCCACTTCTCTGAATCGGACACTCAAAACCATCCGATTTGTCTGTTTGATCTTAATAACAACATTCTCCCCTATAGTGTTGTTTAATTCTTAAATACTTTTCATTTGTTCCAGCTATAGAGGTCTACTTATATTTTTGTAGATGTATTTTGAAGCAGAGGTAACACCCTCTTATCACCGTATCTTTTCCTGGGTAATAATCACTTCAATTTTCCTCCAGGCCAAATGGACCAAGATCAGACAGATAAAAATTCTTACTTAGAAACAATCAGGTGATCACCCATCAGAATTAGGAAAGATATAATTTTCTCCAGGAAGGCAAAAGGCACTCGAATTTTCCTTTCTTTTCTCTTCACTGCTTTTCCTTTTCTTCCTTTTCTTTTACTTTATTCAGTTTCAGGTGGAATAATGCCTTGAGGGATGACAGAGTTTGGGACTCACTCACTTAACAGAAGGTACCCCAGCCTAGAAGGAGGACCAGGAGGAAAGACAGACCTCCAAAAGGGACAGAACACCCCAAGAAAGTTTTCAAGTACTATTGTTGCCTTTTTCTTTTGATCCTTTCTCCCCACAGAGTGGCTTTTATTTTTAAGCATACTTTTCCAAGTTGTTACATTAACAAATTTGCACTGGTTTCTTTATCCTTGTCATCTAAAAGACCACCTTGTCTGTGGATGGTGAACTTTTTCTTCATGCCAGGCCTGCTGTACTGTCTAATGTCACAAGTGTCTGCTCACATTAGCTCCTGGAGACTGGAGAAGATTCCGCATGGGGCCTTTCCAGCAAGTTGATTTGACAGAATGAGTCCCCATGCTAGCTCATGGCACTTATCAGTTAGTCAGCCTTCCGCAGGGACAGGAATTTAGAGTGCACCATATTCCACTTCCAAATCAACTGCTGTCCCCTCAGGAAGCTGTGTGTTGCATTATTAAAAGAGATGCCTTCAACCACAGGACCATACTTAAACATTCATCCACATTAAAAAAAAAAGTAGAGAGTTGGGGAGAGACAACAAAACAATGCCCCAAACCCTTCACTGTGTTAACTCTTTCCCTCCAGGGTTCCTGCCTCCGTCAATGAACAGTCCTGGAACTTTTACTAGTGAGCATGAACATTTGTAATATTGTGAATGTTACCTTTATTCAAAGGGAGTGCTTTTGCATTACTTTGGATGGCTATGAAACATTCCCCGAAATTCTGAGATCTTGGAGGTGAGGTCCCCATCATCTTTGATTTCTCCTTTTTGCTGAGCTCCTGTTACAAAATGAAACACAAAAATGCAGCTGCAAGAAACAGCAGTGACTTTGATTTACTTGTTACCTACTTCTCCTAGTTCAGATAAAATGAGGGAATTAGTGCTTCATTGAAAATCAACAGATCTAAAACTCACACTTTAATAATTAAAACTTCAGATCTTTCTAATTTTAAAAAAATAATATATGTGCCCATTTTACCTTTATCTTTCCAAATGAGAAATTGATGAGATTGCTGGAGAAAAAGAGAGATCCTTTTTAAAGCTGTATGTTGATATAAATATGAAAATGGATTAAACTCTGCTTCCAATTTCCAAACATGTGTACTTCAATGAATATTAAATGGCAGGCCCCTATCACCATCATGACTTATTTACTCACTGGAGTTTTTATCAAAAAGGGACCGGAGTTGCCTGTGGAGCATGAAAGTCTCCTGTAATTGAGTTTAGAGTGGTAAATCCACTAAACAGGCCACAGCCCCAGAGACACCCCCGAAACCCACCTGTCAGCTGGTGTTAGATCACAGCTCAAACAAGGCATGGCTGCCTGCTCCTGCTAAATACCACTGTGGCCCAAAACAAAAAAAAGAGACGTCATTCCCCAGGGGGTGAAGGAGGGCTGGGGGCAAGCCACGGGAGTTGGGAGGGCAGGCGAAAAACTCTCATCTAACAGCTGCCCCATGTCAGCTGGAATCATGATCTGAAACTCAGCTTGGGAGGGGGACAGGCTAGGGCCTTTTTTGGTAAGGTGTCATTTCTTTATTTCAACATCCATTATGTGTGAGCGTAATAGAGTGGACAAGAAGCTTTTTTTTTTTTTTTTAATCATGATTGAGCCATGGAAATCAAAGCCCAGAATTTCAAGGGGGATAAAGATACAGCAGGCTTAAGACTCGTGCAGAAAGGTCCACATCTGGAAAGGGAGAGAAGCCCCAGATGAAGACATGCTGGGTCAGCAACGTTCAGCTCGAGCGTATGAACATTTTAAGCTAAAGAACCATCATTCACCCAATAAACATTTATTAATTGTTTACTAGTGCAGATTACTGTATCAGTTGCTGAGTGTATCAAGATAAATAAGACATAGTCCTTGCCCTGAAAGAACTTAAAATGTAGTTGGGGAAAACATGCAGGTAAGTCAATTTAACAATAAAGCGTCAATGGCTGTGGGAACAAAATTATGTGCTCAAGTTGGTAAGTTAGGAAGGCCTCTTGGAGGAGATGACATCTTTTATGTTTTTGTGTTTTTTTTTTTTTTTTTTTTTTTTTTTTTTTGAGATGGAGTCTCTCTCTCCCAGGCTGGAGTATAGTGGCACAATCTTGGCTCACTGCAACCTCCGCCTCCTGGGTTCAGGTAATTCTCCTGCCTCAGCCTCCTGAGTAGCTGAGATTACAGGCACACACCACCATGCCCAGCTAATTTTCGTATTTTTAGTAGAGACGGGGTTTCACCATGTAGGCCAGACTGGTCTCGAACTCCTGACCTCAAGTGATCCGCCTTCCTTAGCCTCCCAAAGTGCTGGGATTACAGGCATGAGCCACCTGAGGAGGTGACATCTAAGCTGGGTTTTTCAGAATGGGTAGGATTTTGCCGAGCAAAGGAGAAGGGTAGGGTGGGTGTGGGGATGGCGATAGGAATGAGAAGCCCTTACTGTATAGAAAAGACATAATATCAAAAGGGATAGAAGCCAGGTGTGATGGCTTACGGCTATAATCCCAGCTACTCAGGAGGCTGAGGCAGGAGGATCATTTGAGCCCAGGAGTTCAAGGCCAGCCTGGGGAACATAGTGAGACCCTGTTTCTAAAAATAAAAAAAAAAAAATAAAAAAGATAGAATATGGTGCCCTCACAGGACTCTCAGAGGCTTGACATGGCAGGGGCATAGGTGATGGGAATGGAATACAGCTTCAGGGAGATGGGGCTAGAATGGGAGACAGAGAGACGTCAAATGATCAAAGGTTTTAGCAACCTGGCTAATACATTTGAGGTTTATTCTGAAAGCCATGCGGAGCAATGGAAGGAGGTAAAGCAGGGGAGTGACATGGTCAGATTTGCCTGTTAGGAAGGCCCATTTACCTGCTTTGTGAAGCATTTTGTTAAAGAGGCAAGGCTGGAAACGGGAAGGCCAGGCAGGAGGCAGCTCCAGGAGTCTGAGAGAAAGGATGATGGCCTGAACCAGTGATGGAGGGGAGGGGACAAATTGAGAAATATTACAGAAAAGAGTCAGTAGAACTTGGAAGGCAATTGAAAAGGGGACAAGAAGGAGGAATCCAGATGGCTCCAAGGTCCCTGGCTTGCCTCTAGGATTGCTAGATTTAGCACATGAAAATACATGCAATATTTGGGACGTAACGATACTATGACATTATTCCTTGTTTATCTGAAATTTGAATTTAACTAGGAATCCTGTATTTACTCTGGCAACCCTACTTTGGTGACTGGTAAATGGTGGGTCATTTTTCAATCTGGGGATGGCAAAAGGCACAGTTGTGGGAGAGGGGGCCAAAAAGATCATTTTACTTTTATTTATATTCAGTTTGTGATATCTGAGGGATATAGTAGACATCCCATTATCCCTCAATACCTTCCTGCCCTTTTTCTATAACAATGGTTTTAACTGCACATGGCCAGTCAGCTAAAGACTTTACTTCCCAGCGTCCCTTACAGTAAGTGTGGCCATGTGACCAAACTCTGGCCAATGGGATGTAAGAAAAAGCAATGTATGCTTTGCCCTTAGAAGAAGTAGGCACAAGCTCCCTTGACCCTTTTTTCCTTTCCACTGGTTGAAAGATAAATCAGAACTAACGCAGCCACCTTGGGCCTAGAGAGGAGAAGCACAAGTTGAGGACAGCAGTGTCATCTAACTTGCCCTGGGCCGCCTATCTCTGAATTTTAGAAATAAGCTTAGCCTGTACCCTAACTACGATAAAACATCCAAGAAGAAATGTCCAGTAGGCAGTTGGATACACCAGTCTACAGCTTAGGAGAGGGCGTGAGCTAGAGAGAAAGAATTGGGGGTGATTTAGTATGTAGGCACTGAGTGAGGCTTAGTTTAGATGAGCACTCCTAGGAGAAATGTGAGGTGTGAGATGAATGAAGGACAAGAAAGCCAAATACTATCATCTTTTTTTCTTTTGATGCTTTTTTTTGAGATAACCTTAAACTTTATCCTCAAGTAAATACAGATGTTCCAGGAATCCTAGGATGATTTTTGAGCGTTTTGTTTTCATTTCATTTCCTCTATATAGCCATGCGTTAATATTCAGTGCTACTGAATTCATTTGTTTATTTATTTGTTTGTTTGTTTTTGAGACAGAGTCTCCCTCTGTCACCCAGGCTGGAGTGCAGTGGTGCGATCTCAGCTCACTGCAACCTCTGCCTCCCAGGTTCAAGTGATTCTCCTGCCTCAGCCTCCCAAGTAGTGGGGATTACAGGCACCTACCACCATGCCCGGCTAACTTTTGTATATCTAGTAGAGACAGGGTTGCCCAGGCTGGTCTCGAACTCCTGACCTCAAGTGGTCCGCCCACCTCAGCCTCCCAAAGTGGAGTGGCATTCCTGCCAAAGTGGAATTACAGGTGTGAGCCATCACGCCAGGCCCTCATTTGATTTTATTTGGATTTATATTTCAGCACCGGCTGGGAAGAGAATGTGTTCTCATGCCCTGTGGGCATTTGGACACTCTCACAGGTCCTGGTGGGTGTGCTAGGGTCTGTGTGAGGGTCAGGTTATGTGTGTGTGATTTTGCATGTGCCTCTGTGGGTGTGTCAGTGCGACACGTGCCTTCGTTTCTCTGTTCTCGCAGTTGTCTTTTCAAATCTAAAGTGTTTGAAGGAAGGAATCTCCCAAACTTCCCCAAAGATATTTCTTGCCTCTTCTCTATAAGTCTTCCTATTCTCAGACACCAGACTGAGGCTGAATTTTACATAATATGAAATAACCATGATCTGCATGAGGGTCAAGGGCACCATGAAGAGTGTGTGTGTGTGTGTGTGTGTGTGTGTGTGTGTGTGTGTGTGTTATGGAAATTTCTAAATATACTCAAAAAATCAGAATAAAAAGAATCTCCATGTATCCATCACCCAGCCTCAATCATTATCAACATTTGGCCAATCTTGCTTCCTCTCCCCCAACTCTTTTTTCCTTCTAGTGTATATTAAAGCAAATATTAGGTAGTTTGACATTTCGTTTGGAACACTTAAGTTTTAATCTGTAATTGATAAGACTTTTTAATACATTTCACAATGTCATTGTTTACTTAAAAAAAAGAACAATTCCTCAATATCATCTAAACTCAATCCATATTCAAATTACCTGATTATCTCAAAGACATCTTTTTTCAGTTGTTTTTTAAAACTCCACATATTGCATATGGTTGTGTCTTTTTCGTTTCTTTTATTCTGAAGCAGTTCACCCTTGTCACTGATTTGACAGGGAATCAGGTAATTTGTTCTGTATAATGTCTTAAGTTCCGTATCTGTCTGCTTCACTGTGGAGTGGTTAACATATTCTTCCATCCTCCATATTTTCTGTAAACTGATAGTTATATCTGGGCCTTGATTAGATTCAAGGTCAATGTTTTTAGGCACCTATACTTTCTAGGGTGGCATTACTGTGAGACATATAATATTAATATCTTTTTTTTCACTTTTAATACTAATAGGATTGATCAATGGGTTTAGGTAGCATCATCCCATAAAGTTCTCCATTAACCTTTCACCTGATGATTTTAGCATTTGTTGATTGTGACCTAAGTCCATTATGTCATTTCAAGTCTTAGTGATTTAAAAAAATTTTTTTCAGGCCAGGCACGGTGGCTCATGCCTGTAAATCCAGCACTTTGGGAGGCTGAGGCAGGCGGATCACGAGGTCAAGAGATCGAGACCATCCTGGCCAACATGGTGAAATCCCATCTCTACTAAAAATACAAAAATTAGCTGGGTGTGTTGGCACGCGCCTATAGTCCCAGCTACTCGGGAGGCTGAGGCAGGAGAATCACTTGAACTCAGGAGGCAGAGGTTGCAGTGAGCCAAGATCGTGCCACTGCACTCCAGCCTGGCGACAGAGTGAGACTCTGCCTCAAAAAAAAAAAATTTTTTTTCTTCCTTCTGCATATATTATCTGGTATTCTTCGAGCTCTAGAATTTTGCTAATCAAAGGGAATAGTGGAGTTGCCAGGCTCTCAAGGCCAAATGAGGGCCCTGTTTTCTTGGCCTCTTTCCATGTTAAAAAGATTAATCCACCCTCCCCAAAGTGGCCACACCTAAATCCTAGTCTCTAACCGAAGGCAACTCTTTGTGCTCAGATAAGGTGGAAGTCAGCAAGGATCCTAGTAGAGGGGTCTACCCTTTGCTCCAGGAAAAAAGGGGCTCTAGGAGTAGCAGCAAGGCCTTCCCAGGACACAGGGAACTCAAGGCTGCTCAGGAACTGAGGCCTGATCTCCAGAGATCATCATTAGTTTGGGGAGGGCTCCCTTTGTCCACCCCCTTACCCTACCCCGGTCAGGCTCATTCTGGGGCCCTGGATTTCTGCTCTTCTCCAGGGAAGCAGCAGCATTCAGCCACTCACACCAGAAACAAATATCTGGGACTGTGGCTTTGACTTTCTGGTGCTTTTCCCTGTATCCTCAGATGAGCTCCACGTCCTTTGCCACCCTTGGCTTGGGCACTGGGCTGCATACCTCCTGCAGTTGCCCTTCTTTGAGGAGCAGGGACAGAGCTGATCTCCTGTTCCATGTCCCTCCATTAGCCCTTTCCTAGATCTAAGTCTTCCCCAAAAAGCCCTGGGACAAACAGTCCCAAAGGCAGGGCCCAATTGCTGGATTAAATGCTTAACTCCGAAGGTCCAGGATATATTTTATTTATATATATCTCGATTATTAACTCTATCCCAGGCTCCATCCCCGGCTCAGTGTGGATAACTCTCCCCTCAGCAGCCGAATAAATCAGACCATTCTTCCTCTCCTGTAGAAGTTAGGTCTGCATGGAAAAGATAGCACTTACACTCATTTCTAAGAGGAAGATGTACTTTAAGTTCTGTATGAAAACATTGAGTTCCATGGTATACACTGTTGGCATGAAAACAATGAGACTTTTAATTGCTCCCGAAACTCTAATATATATATTAGAGTTAATAATTAATATATAATATAATAGATATTATTATATGTAATATATATATATATATATATATATATATATATATATATATATAAATACTTGAAAATAGTCACCTGCCTTTAGACAGTTGTAAGCCACAGGGGAAACTCTTTGAATTCCCACCAATAACCATTTGGCTTAGAACGACTTTCAGCTGTTTCTAAAAATCAAATTCACCCTGAAACGAGGGTGGTTTGCTCTCACCTCACGATGGTGGGGAGAAGGTGGGCAGCAGTTAAATATGCCGTGGGGCTGAATGTGACCAACACGACAGTGCAGGGAAAGCTCCTTTGTCCCTGCGCGGCCCAGACTGGGACGCTAGATGGCAGGCTCACCTTCTAGATGGAAGCTTCCGGCTCCTTCTAGAGGGAAGCAGCCAGCCCTGGCAGCCCGGCCTCTGCTGGCAGTAGCCACACACTCCTGAGCAGTTCCCAGGGGCCTCCAGTGGGCTCCCCAGGGAGGGTGTGACCGATCCTCAGTGGAAGGCCCCAGAAGTGTCTGATGTGAGAACAGGGAACGCCTGCCTGTCTCCTGCAGCTGCAGTGGGATCAGGGTTAGGGCCCACTTGATCCCAAACCTCATGGTTTGTGGCTATGGTGACTCCACTGGGCTGCCAGCCACACCCTCCTCCCACCTGCCTGTCCCCGTATGGGGGTGAGAAATGTCTCCAGCTTTCTTGGGCTGGCCCAAGGTTCGAGGTCTTTCAGGATGTCTGAAACTTGAGGTTACGCTTTATGCAACCTATTATCAAATAGAGGGTCTGGTGGGGTGTGGTGGCTCATGCCTGTAATCCCAGCACTCTGGGAGGCCGAGGCGGGCAGATCACCTGAGGTCAGGAGTTCTAGACCAGCCTGGCCAACATGGCGTAACCCTGTCTCTAGTAAAAATACCAAAAAAAAAAAATAGAAAAAAAAATAGCGGGGTGTAGTGGTGCGCACCTGTAGTCCCAGCTACTCGGGAGGCTGAGGCAGGAGAATCACTTGAACCTGGGAGGCGGAGGTTGCAGTGAGCCAAGATCATGCCACTGCACTCCAGCCTGGATGACAGAGCGAGACTGTCTCAAAAAAAAAAAACAAAAAAAACAAAAAAAAAAAAAACAGAGGGTTCTACTCTGGGTGTGGGCACTGCTGAGTGCCAGGAAACACTGCTAAGTGCCAGGAAAGAAATGTACAAGCCTGGGCTGACCACTGGGCTTGGGGTCTGTGTTTTCATTAATGTTCACGCCTCAGAGCATTCTTCACCCTTCTTCTTTTGGCTGCCCCTGCCCTCCTCCCATCCTACCCAGGGTTTACCAATAAGTACAAGTTCTCTAAAGGGCAAGAACCTTCAAGGACTTGCTTCTGGATTCCTGTGCCTGCTGCGTGGTGAGGCTCAGTGAATGTCTGCTAAATGAGTGATTGATTGAATAAATTAATGTTGGGATCCAGAAATCATCTGGCTTAGCCTCCTCCTTTTAGAAAGGGTATCAACTAATTGGAAATGTATTATGTTTTCTAGGATGCCTGCTTTCATCTTTACCCTCCTTCCCCTCTCCCATTTGAGATCCCACTCCCAGGGTCTCCATTTGGGAGTGCCTGAACCTTTCTTACATCTAGCTGAAATCCCACACACTGCAATTTGAGACTGATCTTTTTTGCTCTGACTTCAGTGTAAGTCGATGATGGAATTGGGGAATAATATTGTTATGGGCTGAACTCTGTCCCCTATAAATTTTCTACTGGGAAATTTGAGGTACTCCCAGTATCTCAGAATGTGATGGTATTTGGAGACAGGGCCTTTAGTTAAAGTGGGGCCATTAGAAGGTGGCCTAATCCAGTCTGACTGATGTCCTTGTAAGAGGAAATTTGGACTAAAAGATACCACAGAATCACACACAGAGGAAAGACCAAGTGAGGAGACAGCAATCGGGTCAACATTTGCAAGCCACGAGTGGAGGTCTCGGAAGAAACCAAACCTGCTGACACCTCAACGTTGGACTTCCAGCCTCCAGAACTGTGAGCAAATAAGTATCTGTTGCTTAAGCATTCCCCCTCCCCCAAGACTGTAGTATGTTGTTAGGGCAGTCCTAGCAAACTAAGACAAATATGACAGCTACATGATTATGCATGATACCTGATTATGATAGAAAGATACATGATTATAATAGAATATAATAAAAATGCTATGATACAGAATACTTTGCCCCTTTGTCGGCATGTCCAGCATCTATAGAACTATTATCCAGCTGATGTGATGGTAACTGAGGTTTCCACCCCCACCTCTGGCTGCTGGCTCTTGCCAGACAGGCAGAGAGGAGGGAGAAAGACCCCTTAAGAAAGGAGAGATGTTCATAGCTTTAGTCAGCGTGGGCTGCCTGCCTGTCTAGGTTTTTTTTTTTTTTTAGAAAACCAGGCTCAAATGTGATGAAAAATAGGTTGGTACAGCTCCCAGGAGAGGGGGTTACCTAGTAGGACAAAAGCCAAGCTCCCCGAAGAGGTCAGCACAGCCTCAGTGGCCCAAAGGTTGACACATCAAGATATATTAGGTTTGTGGAGAGAGAAAGGAGCAAAAGAGGCAGCTTGTTGGAGATTAGATTAGACCAGAGAAGACTGTGTAAAGGCTACACAACGGGGGGACTGAGGAGATGGGACGAAAAGAGGGAGGGCACAGGGCTGGCTGAGGAAACGACAAAGAGAAGCTGAAACTTTGAAGCAAAATCAGCCCAGTGAACACAGAGCACCTTGGGGTCAGAGATGAGCCAGGGGAAAGCTGTGAAAATCAAGGCAATGTCTCTCTCCTACCTGGGTCACATTTAAGTGGTAGGATTTGGTCTTTTGAGAACTGACTAAAAGTAATTGACTCTCTTTAAAGTGGAAATTCTTTTTTTTTTTTTTTTTTGAGACAGAGTCTCACTCTGTTGCCCAGACTGGAGTGTAAAGGTGCAATCTCAGCTCACTGCAACCTCCGCCTCCCGGATTCAAGCGATTCTCCTGCCTCAGCCTCCCAAGTATCTGGGATTACAGGCACCCACCACCATGCCCAGCTAATTTTTGTATTTTTTTTTAGTAGAGACAGAGTTTCACCATGTTGGTCAGGCTGGTCTTGAATTCCTGACCTCAGTTAATCTACCCACCTCGGCCTCCCAAAGTGCTGGGATTACAGGCATGAGCCACCGTACCTGGCCTAAGGTGGAACTTCTGGAGCACACTGAGAGTGAAGGGGGAGGATGGATGGAGAAAGCTAAAACTGAGAACCTGCTCTCCTGGACACGTAGCCACAGGACATTTCTGGGGCACAGTCAGACCCTCCCTTTCCTTATGCTTCCAGAGACCATTTCTCTCCTCCCGTAAATGTCACAGTAAGATATCATTGGGAAAAAGAGAGAAATTCCCCAACAGGAGCACATGTAGAGGTGAGACCATCATCCACAGACTGTCTCCCGCCTGGCACAGACCTGCAAGAAGGAAATCAGGGAAAGGGGGATAAAATTCAGATGTCCCCTTTGTCCATCCTCTCTCCTCTGCCCCCAATTTCCACCAACTTAGCCTGGCTCAGATGAGGAAACAAAGAATGGGCCTTGGCTCTGCCTCTCAGTGCCCTTGGTCTCTTGGTCCTGGATTTAGAGAAGTGACCACGCTCCCACCCCCAATGCCCTTTCCCTCCTTCTCACCATATTCCTCACTCAGGGAAAGGGATGGAGGAAAACCTGGTCTTGCAGCTCCAACCATGTGTGCACGGGTAGCAGAGTTGGGAGGTTGCACTTTAGTTTTAGTAATACTTGGGTCCCTAAGGAAAAAGAACAAATCTCGAAAAGCTTAGAGATCATCAAAATAACTCCCCCACTTTCTTCATAAAGTTGTTGCATTAGTCCGTTTTCATGCTGCTGAGAAAGACATACCCAAGACTGGGTAATTTATAGAGAAAAAGAAGTTTAATGTACTCACAGCTCCACGTGGGTGGGGAGGCCTCACAGTCATGGTGGAAGGTGAAAGGCACATCTTATATGGCGGCAGACAAGAGATAATGAGAGCCAAACAAAAGGGGAAAATTCCTTATAAGATCATCAGATCTTGTGAGACTTGTTTACTACCATGAGAACAGTATGGGGGAAACCAGCCCCATGATTCTATTATCTCCCAGTGAGTCCCTCCCACAACACGTGGGAATTATGGGAGCTACAATTCAAGATGAGACTTGGGTGGGGATGTAGCCGAACCATATCAGTTGTTGAGACCCACAATGGGGAAAGGACCTACTGAAGGTCACACAGGACCGATCATATTGTCCAATAGGTTTTCCCAAATATATCAAAGCCATGTAGTTCATTTAAAAACATGTCCCATAGAGGCCAGGCACTGTGGCTCACACTTGTAATCCCAGCACTTTGGGAAGCCAAGGTGGGAGGATTGCTTGAGCCTAGGAGTTTGAGACCAGCCTGGCAACATGGCGAAACCCCATTTCTAAAAAAAAAGTACAAAAAATTAGCCAGGTGTGGTGGTGCTTGCCTGTAGTTCCAGCTACTTGGAAGGCTGAGGTGGGAGAATCAACTAAGCCAGGGAGGGCCAGACTGCAGTGAGCCATGATCGTGCCACTGCACTCCAGCCTGGGTGATGGAGTGAGACCCTGTCCCAAAACAAACAACAATGACAACAAAAACCTAACACCATGTCCCATAGAGCAATAGCTTAAATCCAGTCTATTTTCAAAAGGCCAGTTCTTGAAGCACATTATAATCCCCATAACTACTTTATGCCAAATAAAATTGTAACATGCCAAGAAAATAGATGGAATCTGCTCCCATGTAACTGCATCTGGGTGAATGTTCACCTCTGGCCTTGGGTTTTATAAGGGACATCAACGTGGTAGATGAGGGGTGGCTTGACTATGGTGGTGAGGAGTTCAGAAACTAGGTCATACGAGAGCACAGAAGAGAAACTACGGAAATCCAGCCTGTAGAAGAAAATACTGAAGAGAACCATGATGATGAGCTATAGCAGGTGAAGGTTGAATGTAGGAGAGCCGTGGCAAAACTAGAAGTCAGATTCGGATCAAGTGTAAAGAACTTTCCAGGTTAGAGTGTGATAGAATGAGATTTTCTTTCCTCCTCACTCCTCTCTGGAAAGGAAAGGGTCTTTGGTAAGATGTAACTGAAATTCACAAGAGAAAGGCTGTGACCTTGTAGATGATTCCCTCTGAGGGACCCAGAGCCACCTCAGAGACCTCAAGGAACTGCAGTCTTTCCATGGTGGAACCAGCATTCTGTGCAGAGGGCAGATAAGAAGATGGCAGAGCAGGAGAGGAGTGGAGAAAGAGGGGCTCCAGAATCCATGAGTGCTGTGGTACTGCTGAAGCAGCGGGAGCTGGTGGTGCAGTTCAGTCTCAGCTGGAGGTGTGCAGTATGTGAGTGCTCTGAGTACAATGACGTTCCAGTGCTCTCTGTTCAGGGACATGGGAGCCATTTTGCTGGGCACATAGATCTGAAGGTTGGATTGGGGTTTCCTTTGTGCATCACGGTTGCAAATGCAGCAGTCGATATCACGCACACAATATTTTTGAATGGGTTGATGGAGGTTGCACGTTGAGTGCCCTCAGCCCTTTTCAGTGGAGGAGAGTGGAGAGGGACTCAGTGGCAGTAAAGGCAAGGCCACCGTAGGGGAAGAAACACAAAGTACTTGCACCGTCGTTTTACGTACGTTCTCTTTTGCCTTGAAGCCTGGCTGCAGCATGTAGTTGTGTAGGTTGTGCACTGCACCACTCCAGGAGGCATTATTTACAACCTGTGCAACTCTAACTGGCAGGGACTATGTAAAAGCCAATAGCCAGTCCCAAATTGCCATTCAAAAAGACTCATTGCCTTGAGGGGGACAACTAGCCTTTTCACAGACATTGGGATGAGATTAACAAGATTCCACCCACACCTCTGATGAAAGAGGAGTGGCCCTTCCAGTTATTTTCCCACTGGAGAAGACCTTCAGGAAAATCACAATGTCAGTTGTTCTCGAGTTCTAACTTTTTTATTTTTTTGAGATGGAGCCTCACTCTGTCGCCCAGGCTGGAGTGCAGTAGCACAATCTCGGCTTACCTCTGCCTCCCAGGCTTAAGCAATTCTCATGCTTCAGCCTCCCGAGTAGCTGGGAATACAGGCACGCACCACCACGCCCGGCTAATTTTTGTATTTTTAGTAGAGACAGGTTTTCGCCATGTTGGCCAGGCTGGTCTTGAACTCCTGACCTCAAGTGATCCACCCGCCTCAGCCTCCCAAAGTGCTGGGATTACAGGCGTGAGCCACCACCCCCGGCCTCAAGTTCTAACTCTTGATATTTCTATTTTATTTTTTATTTACAACACTCAGAAGCAACTTAACCAGAATGATATGCGGATGGAAAATGTTGCAGACTTGGACCCCAAAGTATAAGTTATAGGCCTAATTTTGGCCTAATGTGATTTGAAATGGGAAACCATAGTTGCAAATAGCCCTGAATGTGATTAAACCCCAATGGGGGTTGGAAATGATGGAGACATGACAGATCCCTTGCAATAGCTCACCCCACACAATAGGCTAATGAAATTACGTGCCCGACACACAGAGTATTTTCTGAAAACTGAAAATGCATCTCTGCAGTTCATATGCTGGGTATTTTTTTCCTATGGAGAACAATAAATTTCGAAAAATTACTTGTTATATCTTTTTAACTTGCAGGAAGAACTGATTTGCCAGTTCTGTTTCCTAGAGAATATACAGTTCTCCTGAAAAAACGTCCACCTTCCTTCATAGGTTAATAAGAGAAATCTGGAAGGAAGAATGATAAATTGGCCAGAATGTTGGGGAAGGAGAAAGTTTGATGTGGACAAAGTCACAAGACTGGGATTAAAATAAGGCATAAGCTGGCCTGGTTTTCACAGAAACTTGGGGTGGAGATTCCTTCAACCACTGAAAGCTCTAGAGTAGACTTAATTTTGGTACAATCTTGACATATTGTGAGCAAATGTGTTTTGAAGACAGTTTTTACACCCCATTTTAAAAAAATCCTTTTTTAATCCTACTACTTTATCTCATTGATCTGTTTCCCTGTATTGCAAAGTTTCTTAAAAGTTCACCATTCCTATTGAAACCACTTCAATGCAAGCTTTTGCCTCTACGACTTCACAAAAACCATGCTGCCTAAGGTCACCAATGGTCACCATGTAATGGAATGTATAATGGAATGTGATAGTTCTTAGTCCCTCTCTTCCTTTTCCTGTTTTTTTTTTTTTTTTTTTTTTTTTTTTTTTTTTTGAGAGGGAGTCTCACTGTGTCACCCAGGCTGGAGTGCAGTGGTACCATCTTGGCTCATTACCACCTCCGCCTCCCAGGTTCAAGCGATTCTCCTGCCTCAGCCTCCTAAGCAGCTGGGATTATAGGCGTGCGCCATCACGCCTAGCTAATTTTTGTATTTTCAGTAGAGATGTGGTTTCACCATGTTGGCCAGGCCTACCTCAGCCGCCCAAAGTGCTCAGAGACCAGCACAGTGCCCACTGGGGTGGACATCTGACCTTCGTGTTGGGAAATGCCTAGCAAGATAGATTTGGGTCAGATGGTGGAGGCCCTTGAATGCCTGTCTCAGGAGTTTGGCCTTGATCCTGCATTTTCCAGTAGGCTTCAGCTTAAGGGGAGTGGGAGCAACTATGAAATTCACTTAGCATAGTTATCTCAGCTGCCTGCCAAGTAGTCTATTTAGTCCAATTCACAGGCAGAGCTTTGTTGAGCATTGAGAAGTCACTTGCTCCATATGAATCCAATCACCACGGCAGGCACACCTCAAAGAGGGAACACACAGCAGCCTCTGAAAAGCCTGCCCCATACTTCAGCAACTCAATTCATGAATATGCTTTTCCAATGTCTGACGCTGCTGCTTAGCAAAGATATTATGGGACAAATCCTTGATTTGACCTTTTGTATCTCTATCCATCCCACTGTGCTAAAAGCAATTATGTGCATCTTGTGTGTGGCTGTTGGAATGGGGAGTCACTTAGCGATGGGTCCTTTTCACACTCCAACTGTCCTCTCGCTCATTCCTTTCCCTCTCTCAAGCTGGCCCGCACAGCAGGCCTCCTCGGCTGCTTGGCAGAGTCTAAAATGGCATCAGGGGGAGGCAAGCAGGGATGTAAACAGGTGGAAACAGTTCCTGTCATGGTGATTAGCATTCTTCTTGGCCAGGCACAGCTATGGATGAAAGAATGGGGCCACAGGGGGAACAGGGAGGAGGAAGCTGCCCAGGGAGCGGGAGACAGAGGAGAGATGAACTCTTTGTCAAAGGCACAGACAACTTCCTGCAAAAACTTCCTAGGAAACAAAGCAATCCCAGTGTCAGGGTGGGTAGTAGTGGTCTCTGCTGGGGACAGATCACTTGTCACTGTCTTCTTTGCCTGTACTAAGTAGACTCGTGTATGCTTATGTCTGTGTGATTAAATACGAAGATTGACGTCTGTGTATGATAGAATGTACAGCTATGTCTTTGCGTATCTTACGTTGATAACAATGTTTGAATGTCTGTATAATGCCTGTGTGTTATACATTTATATACTGTGTCTATATACTTATATGTATATGATGCCTATGTCTATATATTTATATGTATGGGTGCCTCAGAGAGCTCATGTCGGTGTGTGTCTACATATGTGTTAGAGTGTGTATATGGCGCATGAATGCATGCATGACTGTGCGCATGTCATTTCCAGATGTGTTGAATTCCTTTATGTATATGCGTGCGTGGGTGTGCATGCTGGAATGAAGTACTAGAAAAGGACTGAGTGGGAAAGAGCTCCCGTATCCTCTTGCTGGAGCAGTACAGCATGACTACAGAGGACACTCCAATCCTGTCCAGAGAGAGGAGCCCTGATCTTGCTAAATAGGATGAGGGTCTGGATCTTCAGGAACTGGTATCGTTTACTCAGTTCCCCACTTCCCCCAAACGCCAGGCCTAAAAAGTAGGGGGAAGACCCCAGAGCTAAGGAAGATATCCAGCAAGACAACAGAGGGAGAGAGTTAAAATGCTGGAGGCAAGACTCTGGAGGAATTGGGGGAAGATCAAGGATTTTTTCTGAGCTTTTGAATATAAATAATTTACCATGGGAAAGTGAGCCGGACTCTTGGGCAAGAGGTAAATGCAGATATAATAGTGAGTAAAGTGATCTGCTCTCAGCTGAGGCTCACTCCTGATTGAGTTGGGACTTGGCTGCAGAAGGAGAGTAAATAAAACCGGTGCTTGGTGGGGAGTTATCTGAGCTGACCTAGACCAGCACTGCTGTTTGAAAGAGCTGAGGACACAGGAGTTGGTCCCAGGTAAAGTCACCTGATGGAGTCACCATTGACTCTGGAAACTAGGGCAGAAAGGAGAAAATTAGCAATGTCTACAGCCAGAATTATGCCTTGTTACCCAAAAAACTTCCTTGGCCAAGAACTCTGGGAGGCTGATGTGGGTAGATCGCTTGAGCCTAGGAGTTCAAGACCAGCATTGGCAACATGACAAAACTCCATCTCTATAAAAATACAAAAATTAGCCGGGCATAGTGGTGCATGCCTGTGGACCCAGCTACTGGGGAGGCTGAGTGGGAGGATGAATTGAGCCCACGAGGCCGAGGCTGCAGTGAGCTGTGATTGCTCACTGCACTCCAGCCTGACAGAGCAAGACCTTGTCTCAAAACAAAAACAAAAACAACAAAAAACCTCCCAAGCACAGCAGATTTTACTGCAATTGGCAGCTTTCTGCCATACCAACTTCCAGCCATGTGTGACCTGGCATGATCTTACCACCTATTACAGATCACCTTTGGGCCACTCAGGTTATTCTCAAAGTAAGAAGGGAGTGATGAAACCCCAGGGTCCGGCCATTCACTTTAAAAATCATCCAAGAGGCTCATTGAGACAGGCCTTTTATGATTACTCATTAATTGTATGCACATTAAGAATGGAGATATAAAATAAAAATTATCCATGAGTGCCTGTAATCCCAGCACTTTGGGAAGCTGAGGTGGGTGAATCATGTGAGGTTAGGAGTTCAAGGCTAGCCTGGCCAACATGGTGAAAACCCGTCTCTACCAAAAGTATAAAAATTAGCTGGGCGTGGTGGCAGATGCCTGTAATCCCAGCTACTTGGGAGGCTGAGGTGGAGGCTGCAGTGAGCTGAGATTGCACCACTGCACTCCAGCCTGGGCAACAGAGCAAGACTCTGTCTCAAAAAAAAAAAAATTATCCATGAGGATATAACCTGGCAATAACCAACATTTAACATTCTGACAGATAGCTTCCCAGGCTTTTTCCCACCTTCCTTTGTTTTCTGTGTATATAGCTATTCACATGTACATATATATCTATAAGCTATAACTTATTTTCTTCACTTATTAATACATCAAATATCTTTTCGTATCAATACAAATATACATTATATTTATTTTATTTTATTTTATTATTTTAAGACAGGGTCTCGCTCTGCTGCCGAGCCTGAAGTGCAGTGGCCCCATCACAGCTCGCCGCAGCCTTGACTTCCCAGGCTCAAGCGATCCTCCCAGCTCAGCCTCCTGAGCAGCTTGAGCTACAGGCATGCACCACCATGCCCAGCTTTTTTTTTAATTTTTAGTTTTTGTAGAAACAGGCTGATCCTGAACTCCTGGGCCCAAGCGATCCTCCTACCTTGGCCTCTCAAAGTGCTAGGATTATAGGGGTGAACCATACACTGTCAGTTTATTTTATTTGTTTGTTTGTTTGTTTGTTTATTTATTTTTGAGATGGAGTCTCCTTCTGTTGCCCAGGCTAGAGTGCAGTGGTGCCATCTTGGCTCACTGCAACCTCCACCTTCCGGCTTCAAACGATTCTCCTGCCTCGGCCTCCCAAGTAGCTGGGATTACAGGTGCCTGCCACCACACTCAGCTAATTTTTTGTATTTGTAGTAGAAATGGGGTTTCACCATGTTGCCCAGGCTGGTCTGAAACTTCTGACCTCAAGTGTTCCATCTGCCTCGGCCTCCCAAAGTGCTGAGATTACAGGTGTGAGCCACTGCGCCCAGCCTTATACACTGTCATTTTAAATGGCTGCTAAATATCTCTTTGCATGGGCACATTATAATTTATTTAACAGATCTTCATTTGTTAGATATTTACGGTTTTTTCTTTTTTTTTGGTCTGGATTTTGAAACTTGTGAATAATGATAATCCATAATTTAAAACAATAGTTCTTTTATAGTCCCCTAGGTGGTACTGGTGGCAAAGGTGACATTCGAAGCAGAATGTTTGACTCTGGGGTTTTATCACCCCCTCCTCAACTCGAGAATAATCTAAGGAGGTCTGAAGGTGACCTGGGATGATGATAAGATCATGCAGGTCCCATACCACTAGCTTGAAGCTGCAGTTGCAGGAAGCCACCAGCTGCCATGCAATCTGCAGTGTTTGGAGGGTTTCAGAGTGATGGATCTTATCTGATTGTAGACACTGCTAACTTTCTCTAGGAAGCAGCCTTCTTGTTCTGGTTCCATGCACAATGGCAGCATCACTGAGAACCCTATGGAGAACTACCACTCTCTGCCTTCAGCCCTTGCAGACAGCAGAGAAGGCCAGGGCACAGAGCAGAGACTTCAGCAGACTTGCTCAATCTCGGCAAAGAGTTTCATATAGAGGGTGTTTTTCCTGTTCTGGATCAGTCTGGTTGCTATTTCTACCTGGATCTCCTGAAATTTGTTTTGCCTGCTTTGGCCTTCAAGTATTTTCTGAACAGAAGGAGGAAGCAGAGATTAAGAGATACCACAGCTCTCACTCTTCCAGACCCAGGTGAACGCTTCATGTCTCCATAAATCCTCCCAGGCAGGGGGCGGGATTTCTCCGTCTTGGCTCCCACACCTCAGCCCGTACTGCTCTTACCACAGGACTGTCTGCACCTGAGACTGAGAGCCTCTCAAGGCCAGGGACTAGATTCTACTTACCTGCTTGCACGCAACACCTGGCCTAGTGTTGTACACATGGCACAATGCTTAATGAGTGCTGCATAGAAGGGTACGTAGCAGCACGAACCCACCCCAGTTCCACTGCATCATCATTCCAGCCAACCCCCGATGACCAGTCCCCTCTGCTCCTGCGGACGATCTCAGCTAAGTAAGCCTGTAGACTCTGAAGCCAGGGCATGTGGGTTCAGATCTCTTCTCCATTTACTAGTATGATCTTGGGTTACTCACCTAACATAGCTGTGCTTCAGTGTCCTCATCTGTCAAATAGAGGTAACAATAGGACCTACCTCATTATTAGGCAGGGTGAAGATTATTTGGCTAGTGTGTGTAAAGCACTAAGAGCAGTAGCGGGTACACGGGAAGTTCTCAGTCATGGCTAGCTGTGGCCATTCTTTCAAAACAAAAGAAGTGTTCCTTGAGTGAGCCTTATAGCCAACCTTGGAAGACTTGGCTTCTTGTGATTACATCTCTTCTGACTGTTTAAAAGTAGCTCTGCTCTTTCAAGTTTCTCTCTTCCTCTCTCTAGGGGCCTAAACCATGGCTCTCTGGAAGCCATTAAGCATAGCATGACCTGTGCTGTCCATGTTTATCCAATGAAGAGTACCTGGACTTTATTACTCTACTGCATCAGAGGTTTGTTTTTTTGTTTGTTTTTTTTTTTTTGAGACAGGGTCTCACTCCTGTTGCCCAGGCTGGAATGCAGTGGTGCCATCACAGCTCACTGAACCCTCGACTTTCTGGGCTTAAGTGATTCTCCCATCTCAGCCTCCTGAGTAACTGGGATTACAGGTGCTTTTGTAGAGATGAAGTTTCACCATGTTGCCCAGACTGGTCTCAAACTCCTGGGCTCAAGTGATCCACACACCTTGGCCTCCCAAAGTTCTCAGATTATAGGTGTGAGCCACGGCACCCGGCCCAGAGGTGGGTCTCTCTCAAGCACATGTTTCAGGGATTAAAGGATAATCTTTGTCCCCTGACCTTACACAATCAAAATCTGATGCTTGGTTCCAAACTCACCTTTGTAATTTCCCCCCAGGACCCTGGAAGCCCCATTCATGCCAGTAGGGTGTTGGTGGCCTATAGTGACACCAAGACTGTTTGAGGTAGACACAGTGACTCATTGGCACATTGGCTTTCATCAGAAGAAAATGACACATGCTCTAAATTGTACATGGAGGCTTGGGTATGGGCTCATGGAATTGTTCACATTCTCAGAGTCCTTTGTAATATCTAGTACCTTACATTTCTTAAAAAGAGCTTTTCTGGGGCCGAGCATGGTGCCTCATGTCTGTAACCCCAGCACCTTGGGAGGCCGAGGTGGGTGGATCACTTGAGGTCAGGAGCTTGAGACCAACCTGGCCAATATGGTGAAACCTATCTATGAAAAGTACAAAAAATTAGTCAGGCATGGTGGCAGGCACCTGTAATCCCAGTTACTCAGGAGGCTGAGGCAAGAGAATGACTTGAATCCCGGAGGCAGAGGTTGCAGTGAGCCAAGATTGCGTCACTGCACTCCAGCCTGGGTGACAGAGTAAGACCCCACCTCAATAAAAAAATAAAAAATAAAATTTAAAAATTGACTTTTCTGGAATTAGAAAAACCGTGTGGGTCTCAAGCAAGGCAAGTCTTTCACAACATGTGGAGGAGGTAAACTCTGTCCCTAGTACATTCATCTGTTCATTCAAGCCCTGTTTACTGATTCATGCTGTATTTGTTGAGTGACTATTATGCTGGGCAGTGTCATAGCCAAAAGTCAGACATGGAACTTGTGCCCTGGGGGCTCACAGTTAACCGGAGGATACAGGCAATACATGTAGTACAGTGCATAATATGCTCCAATGAAGGAAGTACAAGGAACTATGGGGATATGAGGCTGGGCCATCAAACTCTGACTGAGATGAGTGGGGAAGTGTTCCTGGAGGACTGATGTCTGAAATGAAATCTGAAGAATGAATAGGAGTTAGGCAGTCAAAGGAGTGGGTGCAACATGTTTAAAGCAAAGGTCAGAAAGCAAATGAGAGCAGGGAATGGGGAAGGGCATGAAAGATGTTGGGTGTTGCACGATTCTAGTGTTACAATGGCAAGGGTGATGAGAGATAAAGCTGGGAAGGCAGGCAAGGGCCAGAGCATGACGGGTATTGTGAGCCAGGTAAGGAACTGGACTGTTCTCCCCATTCCATAAATATTGTCCTGTGTCCCATTCTTCCTGATTCCCAGTTACTGTCAGCTGATAAGGCCTAATACTCACTGGGAAGGTGGGGAGGTGCTGCATTTTAGAAAGGACCACAGAGGAGAAGTAAAACATTTTGCCCAAGACAATGAGACTATAATGGTGTAATGACAGGCAGTGGGATGGACATTCCGAAAGTGGGGAATTTGACTGAAATCCTCTTCAAGCAGCACTTTTTAAGTAATTGGCTGCTGCTGAGACTCAGGAGACTGAGTTCTTTGTTTTCGTTTTTCCTAAGAGTCAAGTGGACTAATTTTTGCCTCGTAAGAACACAGAAGCCTTAACTTTGTGCATTGTGCCCAGGCAGTAGCCAGCAAGCACACAGGAGCAGTTTAAATAGACTGAAAGCAAGGGGACATGTGTCACAGGGCCTCTCACAGCAGACAGCACAGAGTAGACACTAAATAAACACTTCCTGAACTTGACACCCTTTTGACTAGCCATCCTCAGATGCTCACTGGCCCCTCCCGAGCACCAGGCATAGTGTGCAGTAAGTGGTACTAAGAAGTACAAAGACAAATTAAGACCCAGGAGTGTGTGGTCCAGTTCAGGAGTTCAGACATCTCCACTTTAAATGCACATGGCACCACATGGCAGTATTGAGGCCCAACAAATGGATGGCTGAGACAAGCAGGGCTTTGGGTGCTGTCTTCTGGAAAGTTTCCTGGAGGAGACAGGACTTGAGGAGGTATATTAGTCTGTTCTCATGCTGCTATGAAGAAATACCCAAGACTGGGTAATTTATAAAGGAAAGAAATTTAATTGACTCACAGTTCTGCATGGCTGGGGAGGCCTCAAGAAACTTACAATCATGGTGGAAGGCACCTTTTCATAGGGCGGCAGGAGAGAGAATGAGTGCAAGTAGGGGAAATGCCAGACGCTTATAAAACCGTCAGATCTCGTGAGAACTCATTCACTATCACAAGAACAGCATGGAAGTAACCACCCCCATGATTCAATTACCTCCCACCGGGTCCCTCCCACGACACATGGGGATTATGGGAACTACAATTTGAGATGAGATTTGAGTAGGGACACAGCCAAACCATATCAGTCTGCCCCTGGCCCCTCCCAAACTTCCTGTCCTCATATTTCAAAACACAATCATGCCTTCCCAACAGTCCCACAAACTCTTAACTCATTCCAGGGCACATTGGCTCACACCTGTAATCCCAGCACTTTGGGAGGCAGAGGTGGGTGGATCAACTGAGGTCAGGAGTTTGAGACCAGCCTGGCCAACATGGTGAAACCTGTCTCTACTAAAAATACAAAAATTAGTCAGGTGTGGTGGCAGGTGCCTGTAATCTCAGCTACTTGGGAGGCTGAGGTAGGGGAATGGCTTGAATCCAGGAGGTGGAGGTTGCAGTGAGCCGAGATTGCACCACTGCACTCCAGCCTGGGTGACAGAGTGGGACTCTGTCTCAAAATAAAAAAAAAAAAAAGAAAAAAAAGTCTGAGTTCATTCCAGCATTAACCCAAAAGTCCAAGTCCAAAGTCTCATCTGAGACAAGGCAAGTCCATCCTGCCTATGAGCCTGTAAAATCAAAATCAAATTAGTTACTTCCTAGATACAATGGGGGTCCAGGCATTGGATAAACACACCCACTCCAAATGGGAGAAATTGGCCAAAACAAAGGGGATACTGGCCCCATGAAAGTCCAAAATCCATAGGGCAGGCATTAAACCTTAAAGGTGCAAAATAATCTCCTTTGACTCCATGTCTCACATCCAGGCCGTGCTGATGCAACAGGTGGGCTCCCACAGCCTTGGGCAGTTCCACCCCTGTGGCTTTGCAGGTTACATCCCCGCTCCTGGCTGCTTTCACAGGCTGGTGTTGAGTGTCTGCAGCTCTTCCAGGCGCATGGTGCAAGCTGTTGGTAGATCTACCATTCTGGGGTCTGGAGGATGGTGGACCTTTTCTCACAGCTCCATTAGGCAGTGCCCCAGTGGGGACTTTGTGTGGGGACTCCAACTCTACATTTCCCTTCCTCACTGCCCTAGCAGAGGTTCTCCATGAGGGTTCTGCCCCTGCAGCAAACTTCTGCCTGGACATCCAGGCATTTTCATACATCCTCTGAAATCTAGGCAAAGGTTCCCAAACCTCAGTTCTTGACTTCTGTGCACCAACAGACTCAACACCACATGGAAGTTGCTAAGGCTTGAGGCTTCCACTCTCTGAAGCCATGGCCTGAGCTGTACCTTGGCCCCTTTTAGGCACAGCTGGAGTGGCTGAGATGCAGGGCACCAAGTCCCTAGGCTAACACACAGCAGGGGGTCCCTGGGCCTGACCTAAGAAACCATTTCCTTCCTCCTAGGTCTCTGGGCCAGAGATGGGAGAGGCTGCTGTGAAGGTCTCTAACAGGCCCTGGAGACATTTTCCCCATTGTCTTGGTGATTAACATTTGGCACCTCGTTACTTATGCAAATTTCTGCAGCTGGCTTGAATTTCTCCCCAGAAAATGGGGTTTTTGTTTCTATTGCATCAGCAGGCTGCAAATTTTCCAAACTTTTATGCTCTGCCTCCTCTTGAGTACTTTGCCGCTTAGGAATTTCTTCTACCAGATACCCTAAAACATCTCTCTCAAGTTCAAAGTTCCAAAGATCTCTAGGGCAGAGGCAAAATTCCAGCAGTCTCATTGCATAGCAAGAGTCACCTTTACTCCAGTTCCCAAGAAGTTCTTCATCTCCATCTGAGACCACCTCAGCCTGGACTTCATCATCCTTATCACTATCAGCACTTTGATCAAAGCCATTCATCAAGTCTTTAGGAAGTTCCAAACTTTCCCACATCTTCCTGTCTTCTGAGCTCTCTAAGTCTCTAGGAGTAAAAAGAGTAGAGAAAGGGGAGGTGACACCAAGGTTCATTAAGGTATATTGACCTGCAGGTGATGAGAAGTCAATATTGATTTCTAGTGGAAAGTTTTACTGTGAATCAAAATCCAAAGTACAAAAGAGTTGTTTGATGTTTTCTATCACAATACAGCTCACTGATGTGTAGGCTTGGCTATAATTTCATTTTGCCTCCTGGGGCAAAGTTTATAACAAGTACATTTGAAGGCAGAAACATGTTCTTTTCCCTAGGTGGGTTGAAAGGGTTGCCTCAGGTCTGGCTGTGTCAGTGAGGGCTGTCATGCAAAAAAGGAAAACACAGGTAACCAATCCTGCGTCTTCCTCCCCGTTGCTCTGCGCTGCTCCGAAAAGTCCCCATTCTGGCTCCCTTTTTCTTCTTTTTTTTAAAAAAAATTTAAAAGTAAACTTTAATGTCAAAAATGAAAACTTGGGGAGGGCAGAAAGATCACACACACGGCAGCCACTTCACACTTGGAGGGTTGCACAGCAGCCGGGCAGAGGTGCTCCTCACTTCCCAGGCAGGGTGGCCTCTGGGCAGAGGGGCCACTTCCCAGACGGTGTGGCGGCCGGGCGAGGCGCTCCTCTCTTCCCAGACGGAGCGGCGACTGGGCAGAGGCGCTTCTCACTTGCCAGATGGTGGGGCGGCCGGGCAGAGGCTCTCCTCACTTCAGAAATAAGTCCCAGAACCAATGTCTCTCTCTGTTCTTTGCCCCAACCTCCCTGTCGCTCTGGTCCTTTTTCCCGAAGAAGCAATAGAAGGGACCCTCTCTGGAATTTGCTTATCTGACTTCTAAGAACGCTTAAATGCAATTGTCTTAAGACTCCCTCCCTGGGGATCTCATCAACTAACCAGGAATGATCAACCATGAGAGAAGAGACTCAAGTCATCACCATGCCGAGGCTGACTTTTCCTCTGTTATGCGGGTAGCTCCAAGAGATTACCCGCAGCGGGGAACTTTAGTTGCATAATAAGACAACCTTTGTTCCTGTGAAGCAACCTCTGTTCCTTACGTTTCTGTACTGGTGGCCTCCCAACGCCATTCGTTCTCCCTAATGATTTACTACCCCTTCAAAGAATTGTCTACAATTCCCATCTCCCCCCTCCCTTATGAAAAAAGGGGAGCTTCTGGACTGCACTGTTTTTTGGGTGATCAGTCTGTAATTTCCTCCCATGCATGTTAATGTTTTTATGCCTTTTCTCCAATGAATCTACCTTTAGTCAGTTGGTTTTCAGTGAATTTTCAGACACTTCCCTGGAGGAGACATGAGGGCTTTAGGTGGCAACCTAGGGAGGTTACAGGGAGCTGCTCTTGGCAACTATAACTGTAAGGGAGTAAGGACTAAGCAGAGAGAGAAACTGAGCTCTGGCACTGTTAATAAAGGCCTCCATTGATCCCGTGGGGAGCTCTGAAGCTGGGATAGTCTTTTAGAATTGCTCTCAAATGGCTGCGTGCAGTGGCTCATGCCTGTAATCCCAGCACTTTGAAAAGCCAAGGCAGACGGATCACTTGAGGTCAAGAGTTCAAGACCAGCCTGACCAACAGGGTGAAACCCCGTCTCCACTAAAAAATACAAAAAATTAGCTCAGCATGGTGGCATGCGCCTGTAATCCCAGCTACTCGGGAGGCTGAGGCAGGATAATCGCTTGAACCCAGGAGGCAGAGGTTGCAGTGAACTGAGATCGCAACACTGTACTCCAGCCTGAGTGACAGAGTGAGACTCCATCTCAAATAAATAAATAAATAGTTCCGAATTGAGGCAAGGGAGCTGAATCCTTGTATCCCTATTTTGACCACTCATTAGATGCATTCCCGTCCCCCCTCCAGGAGGGGTATACCTGAGAAAGAACTCAGCTATATGACTTCTGTGCCCAACATTCCTGGCAGATCTAAAGGGCAAATCTAGATGGTGCACTGCAGTCTCTACTCTGAGGGTCATCATGGAGAGAGAGGTACAGAGTCATCTGTAGAGGAGTCCAAGCTGGTGACTGGTTGGGAGTTGCAGCCTGACCTCAGAAGATCTGCAGAACCAGTATGAGGAGAGGTGGAGCCAAGTCACTACGGAGGAGGTGGCAGCATTCCGGGGGGAACAGGGCTGTGCATTTCCCAAGCGAAGGGAACACATTGTGCTTCATGCCACCCATGATGCCTCAGCAGCAGAGGCAGAGAACCAAAGCCAATGCCTGGAGATAAGTAGGAGAAGGCAGCTCAGCTGGAGAGCACGTGTACAGCAGCAGCCCTTCCCACAAGGCCATGAGGTTCTGTAGGGCCTTACTGCTCTCAGCTACTATCTTGGAAGGGAGGAAGGGAAGCCTTCTCTGGAGGAGAGATTTTAGGGGATATTTGGAAGACTGAGCAATTTACATTTGAACGACTGTAATTTCTCAGCAAAAACTGAGTTAACAACTCTCAATCCCGCCATTTTTTTAAAGCTAGATGTAATAGAATTCGCCTATTTATTTATTTATTTTTGAGACGGAGTCTCTCTTTCGCCAAGGCTGGAGTGCAGTGGTGCGATATCGTCTCACTGCAACCTCCACCTCCTGGATTCAAGTGATTCTCCTGCCTCAGCCTCCCGAGTAGCTGGGATTACAGGCGTATGCCACCACACCCAGATGATTTTTTTTTTTTTTTTTTTTGAGATGGAGTCTCACTCTGTCACCCAGGCTAGAATGCAGTGGCGCGATCTCGGCTCACTGCAAGCTCTGGCTCCTGGGTTCACGCCATTCTCCTGCCTCAGCCTCCCGACTAGCTGGGACTACAGGCGCCCGCCACCACACCTGGCTAATTTTTTATATTTTTAGTAGAGACGGGGTTTCACCATGTTAGCCAGGATCGTCTCGATCTCCTGACCTTGTGATCCACCCACCTCGGCCTCTCAAAGTGCAGGGATTACAGGTGTGAGCCACCATGCCCGGCCCACACCCAGCTGATTTTTATATTTTTAGTAGAGACGGGGTTTCACCATGTTGGCCAGGCTGGTATTGAACTCCTGACCTCAGGCGATCCACTTGCCTCAGCCTCCCAAAGTCCTGGGATTACAGGTGTGAGCCACTGCACCTGGCCAGAATTAGCTTCAATTGGGAAGCTTAAGTCGTCACCTCATCGTAACCATTAGAGGAACTGGGGTCTTTTATTTTTTGTTTTTTGAGACAGAGTTTTTGCTCTTGTTGCTCAGGCTGGAGTACAATGGCGCAATCTCAGCTCAACACAACCTCTGCCCCCCGGGTTCAAGCGATTCTCCTGCCTCAGCCTCCAAGTAGCTGGGATTACAGGCATGCACCACCATGCCCAGCTAATTTTTTTGTGTTTTTAGTAGAGCTGGGGTTTCTCCATGTTGGTCAGGCTGGTCTCAAACTTCCGACCTCAGATGATCCGCCTGCCTCAGCCTTCCGAAGTGCTGGGATTACAGGCGTGAGCCACTGCACCTGGCCTGAGGAATGGGGTCAAGAGAGAAAGAAAAAGTAAGTTACAAGGAGTAAAGAAGCAGGCCTGTGCAGTGTCCCACACCTGTAATCCCAGCATTTTGGGAGACTGAGGTGGGAGGATCCCTTGAGGCCAGGAGTTTCAGACTAGCCTAGGCAATGCAGAGAGACTCTGTCTCTAAAAGAAACTAAAGAATTAGCCAGATGTGGTGGTGTGTGCCTGTAATCCCAGCTACTAGAGAGGCTGAGGGGGAGAGGATTCCTTGAGCTCAGGAGTTCAAGGCTGCAGTGCTTATTTATGCACTCCAGCCTGGGCAACAGAGCAAGACCCTGTTTAAAAAAAAAAGTGAAGAAGCTAATTTTTTCCCCCAGCTGAATTCTGATATGTAAATTTCATCCCTCCCAGTTCCCTCTTTCCCTCAAGCCTTATCCTAAACAACTACTTCCAAAGTTATCTTTAGGAAACACAGGTTTGATCATGATGCTTCCCTGTTCAAACCATTGATGGCACTCCAATTGCATGTAGAACACTACACTTGATCTTAGCCAAAAGGCTGAGAAGCAATTGCCTATAAAATAAAGTTAAAACTGCTAAGCTTTTCATACCCTGTCTATTCCCACCTACCATTTCCAGAGATATCAGCCCTGTCTCAAGACAGGGTTTTGCCATGTTGGCCAGGCTGGTCTCGAACTCCTGACCTCAGGTGATCCGCCCACCTCAGCCTCCCAAAGTGCTGGAATTACAGGCGTGACCTACTGTGCCCAGCCTTGGCTACTTTTTCTTTAAAGTTTTTGTAGAGATGAAGTCTTGCTATGTTGCCCAGCCTGGTATCAAACTCCTGGACTCAACAAACCCTCCAGTGCTGGCCCCCCAAAACACTAGGATTACAGGCATGAGACACCACGCCTGGCCCTAGCACAGTTTTTTGGGTTTTTTTTTCACTGTGTAAGGAATTTTTATTAAAGCAAGAATTTTATAATCCAAATTACGTTTCCTTGCTCAGTTATCAATTCTGTTACTTAAAACAGAACTGACATTTTGAGCTATTTCACAGTAAATAATTATAAAATTAAAGAAAGGAATGCTTTAAATTTTTGTACTTTGCTGAAAATTCTTTTTCCCGGGGTCTATAAAAGATTAATTTGTTTTTATATTTTACTACTTTTTGTGGTTTTTTTTGTTTGTTTTTAAATCAATAAGTAATCTAGGACTAGCATTATGTTTGCTAGACCTGGCATTTGCTCAGTACATAAGGTTCAAAGTTTCCTTTCCTTTTCTTATTTGTTTTATAGTTTGCAATTTTTTTCCATAATATTTAAGTTTTCTGATGTTTAGATATTTCTCTTCGGTGCAGCACAAGTTTCTTTTCATGGTTCCTGATCAATTTTAAACAGTTGAACAGCAGTGGCACTGTTAACTGCTTTCTGGGCAGCCTCTTTAGCTCGGTGGGCTTGTAGTACAGCTACAGCTTCAACAACCTTAGAATGGAGTGACTCTGGAGACTCGAGCATATGAAGAAGTTCTGAATTATCAGTCTCCAACCACATGCCAGTGATTTTACCAGCAAGAGTAGGGTGCATAGCTTGAATAAGAGGAAACAGCCGTTCACCCAATATTCGCTTTTGCTCCTGAGGAGGGGCAGATGCCAACATGGAAGCAAAGGTTCCTTACCTTGTACATGAACAGCAGCAGGCTGTTGCATTGTAACTTGAAGCACAGTTTTGTTTTTTGTTTTTGTTTTGTTTTTTTTTTACCATGTCTTTAAAGGGGTTTATTAACATTGGTAATGGCTGCATTAATTCAGGTGGCAACTTTTATTTATTTTTATTTATTTATTTATTTATTTATTTATTTATTTATTTATTTTTTATTGATCATTCTTGGGTGTTTCTCGCAGAGGGGGATTTGGCAGGGTCATAGGACAATAGTGGAGGGAAGGTCAGCAGATAAACAAGTGAACAAAGGTCTCTGGTTTTCCTAGGCAGAGGACCCTGCGGCCTTCCGCAGTGTTTGTGTCCCTGGGTACTTGAGATTAGGGAGTGGTGATGACTCTTAACGAGCATGCTGACTTCAAGCATCTGTTTAACAAAGCACATCTTGCACCGCCTTTAATCCATGTAACCCTGAGTGGACACAGCACATGTTTCAGAGAGCACAGGGTTGGGGGTAAGGTCACAGATCAACAGGATCCCAAGGCAGAAGAATTTTTCTTAGTACAGAACAAAATGAAAAGTCTCCCATGTCTACTTCTTTCTACACAGACACGGCAACCATCCGATTTCTCAATCTTTTCCCCACCTTTCCCCCCTTTCTATTCCACAAAACCACCATTGTCATCATGGCCCGTTCTCAATGAGCTGTTGGGTACACCTCCCAGATGGGGTGGTGGCCGGGCAGAGGGGCTCCTCACTTCCCAGTAGGGGCGGCCGGGAAGAGGCGCCCCTCACCTCCCGGACTGGGCGGCTGGCCGGGCGGGGGGCTGACCCCCCACCTCCCTCCCGGATGGGGCGGCTGGCCGGGCGGGGGACTGACCCCCCCACCTCCCTCCTAGACGGGGCGGCTGGTGGGGCAGAGGGGCTCCTCACTTCCCAGTAGGGGCGGCCGGGCAGAGGCGCCCCTCACCTCCCAGACAAGGCGGCTGGCCGGGCGGGGGGCTGACCCCCCCCACCTCCCTCCCAGACGGGGCGGCTGGCCAGGCGGGGGGCTGACCCCCCCCACCTCCCTCCCAGACGGGGCGGCTGGCCAGGCAGGGGGCTGACCCCCCCCACCTCCCTCTCGGACAGGGCGGCTGGCTGGGCGGGGGGCTGACCCGCCCACCTCCCTCCCGGACGGGGCGGCTGGCCGGGCAGAGGGGCTCCTCACTTCCCAGTAGGGGCGGCTGGGCAGAGGCGCCCCTCACCTCCCGGACGGGGTGGCTGGCCGGGCGGGGGGCTGACCCCCCCACCTCCCTCCCAGACGGGGCAGCTGGCCTGGCGGGGGCTGACCCCCACCTCCCTCCCGGACGGGGTGGCTGCCGGGCGGAGACGCTCCTCACTTCCCAGATGGGGTGGCTGCCGGCCGGAGGCGCTCCTCACTTCTCAGACGGGGCGGTTGCCAGGCGGAGGGTCTCCTCACTTCTCAGACGGGGCGGCCGGGCAGAGACGCTCCTCACCTCCCAGACGGGGTCGCGGCCAGGCAGAGGCGCTCCTCACATTGCAGACCGGGCGGCGGGGCAGAGGCGCTCCCCACATCTCAGAGGATGGGAGGCCGGGCAGAGACGCTCCTCACTTCCTAGATGGGATGGCGGCAGGGAGGAGGCGCTCCTCACTTCCTAGATGGGATGGCGGCCGGGCAGAGACGCTCCTCACTTTCCAGACTGGGCAGCCAGGCAGAGGGGCTCCTCACGTCCCAGACGATGGGCAGCCAGGCAGAGACGCTCCTCACTTCCCAGACGGGGTGGCGGCCGGGCAGAGGCTGCACTCAGCACTTTGGGAGGCCAAGGCAGGCGGCTGGGAGGTGGAGGTTGTAGCGAGCCAAGATCACGCCACTGCACTCCAGCCTGGGCACCATTGAGCACTGAGTGAACGAGGCTCCGTTTGCAATCCCTGCACCTCGGGAGGCCGAGGCTGGCAGATCACTCGCGGTTAGGAGCTGGAGACCAGCCTGGCCAACACAGCGAAATCCCGTCTCCACCAAAAAAATACGAAAACCAGTCAGGCGTGGCGGCGCGCGCCTGCAATCGCAGGCACTTGGCAGGCTGAGGCAGGAGAATCAGGCAGGGAGGTTGCAGTGAGCCGAGATGGCAGCAGTACAGTCCAGCTTTGGCTCGGCATCAGAGGGAGACCGTGTAAAGAGAGGGAGAGGGAGACCGTGGGGAGAGGGAGAGGGAGAGGGAGAGGGAGAGCAGTTTTGTTTTTTTTTTTAACCTCCCTCTTTTTTTTAACTTCCCCAAAGTGCCTATAGGATTCACTGCTCCCTCTACCATGATTCTATAACACTTTGTAAAGATCTGTTACAAATCCTGACACACTGTAATATCATTTGCTGTGAAGATGCCTGTATCTGTACTCACCCTTAGATTATGAATCCTACGCATCCTTCAAATCCTCACCTCCTTTTTATAGCTTTGTTGTTTGTCTCCTGAATGACTCTGCTGTTCTTACGTACCTTGTCCTAACCTTGGCACACTTAGGCAGGGGAGCAACAGAGTCACTGTAACTGCGATGGGATAAGAGATTTAATTCCATAGATTAAAGAGTTAGAATTTACAAAAGAGCTGGGGAACTGAAGATCCAGAACAGGAAGTTAGAGAATCAGAGAAAGAGTCACCCACCTGTCCATCCAAAGAGCCAACTCTATCTAGTCACTGAGGCAGAGGCATCCATGGGAAGCTGTTGCCTCTAGGTAGCTACCCTCTGTGTCAATTCACAACCAATAATTTGGTGTTGGGGAGGGGCCACTGTTGGTCAGTGGGGCCAGACTGGTCACAGAGAGGGAGAGTGAGAACAAGCTGGAAACTGCTGGGCAACTCTGTGTCTGTTGGTCATCTCATCTTACCATCAAATGACTCTCAGAGAAATGACTCCTCTTCCAAATCTCATGCAAGTTCTTTTGCCCAACTTTAACTCAGAACCATACAGAGAAGGAGACCCTGGGAACACCAGTGTAGCCAACTTGACACAGCACAAACAACCATGACATTGTATTATAGCCATCATTTACTTCTGTCTGTCTGCCCCTCAGCAAGGCTGAGAACTCCCCAGTGTGAGCAAGAATTCACTTACTTTTTTTTTTTTTTTTTTTTGAGACTGAGTCTTGCTCTATTGCCCAGGCTGGAGTGCAGTAGCACAATCTCGGCTCACTGCAACCTCCACCTCCTGGGTTCAAGTGATTCTTGTGCCTTAGCCTCCTGAGTAGCTGGGATTACAGGAGCGCTCCACCATGCCTGGCTAATTTTTGTATTTTTTTTTTTTTTTTTTAGAGACAGGATTTCACCATGTTGGCCAGGCTGGTCTCGAACTCCTGACCTCAGGTGATCCGCCTGCCTTGGCCTCCCAAAGTTTGGGGATTACAGGCATGAGCCACCATGCTCAGCCTGTCTTCCTTTTTTAAAAACTTTTTTTTGGTGTAGTCAAAGCCTAGGACATTATTGGCAGCATTGTAGACTAGATATCAATGGCTATTTTTGGAATTAAATTCAAAATGAAATACACTGAATTGAATAGACAGCAACTGAGTCTTATCCTTGTGTCTACAGCTCGGAGCACAGTACCTGAGGGCTCATGCTTCTCAATGGTGAGCGTCAAGTGGATATTTGTTAACACATGGAATTTCCCGGAGAGTTTGTTTCAGAAGGAAGATGGAATACACTTTGAGTGGAGGGTGAATCTGAGGATAAGTTCCAGCTGTTTCTATTGTTCATTGTTTGATTTTTTGATACTAGCCATTCTATTAGAAGAAAACATAGGAGATATGCTTCAGGACATAGACTTTTTTCATTCAAGATTAATAGAAGACATGGGCAGAGGGGTATGTGTGCGGGGGTGGAGGAATTATGCCCTTTTCCATGGGAATGAGAGAATGTGGAGAATGGTGCCTTGTGCAGAACAGAGCTCAGGGAAGAGAGAGGTAATTGAAACACCTGGTGATACCAAACCGTCATCTCAAGATTTTCTTATTGCTAAGCGCATGTTTAACTTCTTTTTGGTAATTTGGCTGGGAATCTGCCTCTACGGCAGTAGTTTGTCCACTTAAGTATATCTATATAAAATCAGCAGTGCCTTGTTGTTTTAATAACCTGTTTCACTCGACCAAATGAAAAGCCAGATTTTGACAGATTCCTTCTTGATTGGGGGATGTGTGCTGCTGTCTATCTGTAGAGATGGAGAATTGTGATTGGTGTTTTGTTTTTTTTTTTCGCCCCCACAGTTAAAGCATGCTCCTGGCTTAGGAACGGCAAGAAGCCACAGTGTCTTGCAGCTGCTCCTAAAGACTTCTTATCTGGGTGTGGGGGCTCACACGTATAATCCCAGCACTTTGGGAGGCAGAGGCAGGCAATGGCTTGAGCCCAGGAGTTCGAGAACAGCCTGGGCAACATAGTGAGACCCCCCCCATCTCTATTAATAATAATAATAATAATAAAACAAAACCTTCTAATTCTGGGTCAACCCTATACTTCCCCTGACCAGCTGTGGAGCTTTCTTCATCTAGGGCAGCAAGACGTCAAAGGCAGAGGAGAGGTTGACGCTTCCTGAAATCAGAATTTGTCCTCATACAGCAACTCTTGCCAGGCCTAGAAGAGAAAAACCTCTCAAAATTTACCTGCAAAAAAGGGAGAGAAAGAGTAAGAAAAAGTTTACTCACACTGGAAAAATGCCATGGTTAGCAATGACCAACAAAAGCTCTTCCTGGATTAGGAGTGCAGACCTAGATACTTTGGCCTGACCATTGACTGAAATCTCTCTAGTCTGATCTCTTAATACACACACACACACACACACACACACACACACACACACACAAACTCGTACTAGATACATAAGAGTATATTGGCCAGTTGCAGTGGCTCACCCCTGTAATTCCAGCACTTTGGCTGAGATGGGTGGATCACCTGAGGTCAGGAGTTCAAGACCAGCCTAGCCGACATGGCAAAACCCTGTCTCTACTAAAAATACAAAACTTAACCAGTCAAATAATAAAAAGTGTTGGTGAGGATGTGAAAATATTGAAAACTTCATATACTGCTGATAGAAATATAAAATGGTGCCATCACTTTGGAAACCAGTCTAACAGCTCATCAAAAATTTAAACATAGACTTTGCATTTGGTCCAGCAATTCCAGTCCTAGTTGTATACCCAAAAGGAACAAAAATAGGGCCAGATGTGGTAGCTCACGCCTATAATCCCAGCACTTTGGGAGGCCGAGGCAGGTGGATCACTTGAGGCCAGGAGTTTGAGACTAGCCTGGCCAACACGGCAAAAACCTGTCTCTACTAAAAATACAAAACTTAGGCTGGCATGGTGGCACATACCTATAGTCCCAGCTACTCAGGAGGCTGAGGCAGGAGACTCACTTTAACCTGGGAGGCGAAGGTTGCACTGAGCCGAGATTGCACCACTATATTCCAGCCTGGGTGACAGAGTGAGACTTTGTCTCAAAAAAAGAGTATATTGCCTGTGTTATGAGAAGAACCAGTTGTACTTCTTATAAGAGGCTTCAATTTGCATTTCCTTAATGATTAGTAATATTGAGCATTTTTTCATATATTTGTTGCCCATTTATGTGTCTTTTAAGAAATGTTCATTTCAGTTTCTTTGCCTATTTTTAAATCAGATTATTTGGGGATTTTTGCTGTTGAGTTGTTTGAGTTCCTTGTGTATTCTAGATATTAGCCACTTGTCAGATGAATCATTTTCCCCCACTCTCCAGGTTGTCTCTGTACTTTGTTGATTGCTTCCTTTGCTATGCAGAAGCTTTGCCATTTAATACAGTCCCATTTGGCTGCTTTTGTTTTTGTTGCTTGTGTTTTTGAAGTCTTAGCTCAAAGCTTTGCCTAGACCAATCTCCTGAAGCATATCCCCTATGTTTTCTTCTAATAGAATGGCTGTTATCAAACAAACAGCAACAGATACTGGCAAGGATATGGAGAAAAGGGAACTCTTATATACTGTTGGTGGGAATGTAAATTAGTATAGCCATATGGAAAAGAATATAGTGGTTTCTTAAAAAAAAAAAACAACTACAACTAAAAATAGAGCTACCATATGATCCGTCAGTCCTACTACTGGGTATTTATACAAAGGAAAGAAAATCAGTATAACAAAGGGATACCTGAAACCTCATGTCTATTGCAGAACTATTCACAATAGCTATGATAGTTTGGGCAAAGTGGCTTACACCTGTAATACCAACACTTTGGGAGGCCGAGGTGGGTGGCTCACTTGAGGTCAGCCTGGTCAACATGGTAAAACCCTGTCTCTACTAAAAATACAAAAATTAGCCCGGTGTGGTGGTGCATGCCTATAATCCCAGCTACTGGGGAGGCTGAGGTACAAGAACTTGAACCTGGGAGGTGAGGTTGCACTGAGCTGAGATAGCGCCATTGCAACCCAGCCTGGGTGACAGAGGGAGACAAAAAAAAAAAAAAACCTCACAATAGCTATGATATGGGATCAACTTAAATGACCATCAACAGATGAATGGATGAAGAAAATGTGGTATATACACAATGGAATACTAGTCAGCCTTAAAAAATGAATGAAATCCTGGCGTTCACAGCAAATGGATGAGCCTGGGGAACGTTATGTTAAATGAAACAAGGCAGGCACAGAAAGATAAATACTGCATGTTCCCACTCACATGTGGAAGCTAAAAAAACTTTTTTGAGCTCATGAAAGTAGAGAGGAGATCGTGGTATTAGAAGTTAGGAAGGGTAGGAAGAAAGGAAGGATGCAGAGAGGTTGGTTAAAAGATAACAAAATTACAGCTAGTTAGGAGGAATGAGTTCTAATGTTCTTCAGCACTGTAGAGTGAATATAATTTATTGTGTATCTTCAAAAAGCTAGAAGAGAGGATTCTGAATGTTCACAACACAAAAAATAATAAATATTTGAGATGATGGGTATGCGAATTACCCTGATTTGATCATTATACATTGAATACATGTATCAAAATATCACTCTGTATCCATTAATATGTACAATTATTGCATGCCAACTAAAAATAAAGGGAGCAGGGAAGAGCTTTCATTTATAAGGCACTTTTTGCAAACATTATCTTGTTTCATCCTCACATGAGAAAACCGAGGGTCAGAAAATAGCTTGTCCAATGTCACATAGATGTCAAGTGCTGGAGTCTTTTTACTCCAAAACCCATGCTATTTCAGCACCTCAAAAGTGCCTCACACACACACAGGGAGCCAAAGCCACCGGAGGGTTTGTTAGAGGAAAAAAATATTAAAACTATATTTATATGGCTGGGCACGGTGGCTCATGCCTGTAATCCCAGCACTTTGAGAGACTGAGGCAGGTAGATCTCCTGAGGTCAGGAGTCTGAGACCAGCCTGGCCAACATGGTGGAACCTCATGTCTACTAAAAATACAAAAATTAGCAGGGCATGGTGGCATGTACCTGTAATCCCAGCTACTCGGGAGTCTGAGGCAGGAGACTCAATTGAACCTAGGCGACGGAGTTTTCAGTGAGCCGAGATCACACTGCTGCACTCCAACCTGGGCAACAGAGCAAGACTCTGTCTCGAAAAAACAAAAACAAAAACAAACAAACAAAAAACAATATTTATAGCTGGGCATGATAATTATGTGGGGCCTGAGACAAGAGGATCATTTGAGCCCAGAAGTTTGAGGCTGTAGTGCACTATGATTGTGCCTATGAATAGCCACTACACTCTAGCCTGGGCAACATAGCAAGACCCCAACTCTAAAAAAGTTTTTTTAACTTAAAAAACAATATGCTAGGCCAGGTGTAGTGGCTCATGCCTGTAATCCCAACACTTTGGGAGGCCAAGGCGGGTGGATCACCTGAGGTCAGGAGTTTGAGACCAGCCTGGTCTAAATGGTGAAACCCCATCTCTACTAAAAATACAAAAAGCCAGATGTGGTGGCATGTGCCTGTAATCCTAGATACTCAGGAGGCTGAGGCAGGAGAATCACTTGAACTTGGGAGACAGAAGTTGCAGTGAGCCTAGATTTTGCCACTGCACTCCAGCCTTTGCAACAGGGTGAGACTGTGTCTCAAAACACACATGCACACACACACACGCACACGCACACAAAACTATATTTATAACTGGGCACGATGATTATGTGGGGCCTGAGGAAACAAAAAACCCACTATGCTAATAGTGTGACCTTCATCTGTATGAAAACATATTTATATGTATATACACCTGCACAGAAAACAGGAGGGCACAATACATTGAAATAGATGGGTATATTGGTGACTTGTTCTTTTTGACTCTCAGTATAACCTAGAGCAGCAATGTCCAATAGAGCTGTCTGCCATGATGGAAACGTCTGTGTTGTCCAATATGACTAGCCACTAGTGACATGGGTTTATTGGGCCCTTGATGATGTGCTATATCTGTGAAGTACACACTGGGTTTTTAAGACTTGGTCTGAAAAGCAAAATGTGAAATATCTAATTAGTTATTTTTTATATTGGTTAAATGTTGAAATAATAATATTTTGAATATATTGGGCTAAATGAACCAGTGTCAAAATTAATCTTATTTATTTCTTTTTTCTTCTTTTAATGTGGCTATTAGAAAATTTTAAATGATATATGTGGCTCACACAGTATATTTCTATTGAACAGCACTGGTCTAGAGTGCTTTTTTTTTTTTTTTTTTTTTGAGACAAGGTCTTACTCTGTCGCCCAGACTGGAGTGCAGTGGCATGATCTCGGCTCACCACAACCTCCGCCTCCCAGGCTCAAGTGATTCTCCTGCCTCAGCCTCCTGAACAGCTAGGATTACAGGCGCATGCCACTACGCCCGGCTAACTTTTGTATTTTTAGTAGAGATAGTGTTTCGCCATGTTGGCCAGGCTGGTCTTGAACTCCTGACCTCAAATGATCCACCCACCTCGGCCTCCCAAAGCACTGGGATTACAGGCATGAATTACCGCACCCGGCCTAGAGTGCTTTTTGTTGTTGTTTTTTCTTTTAGTCAACTGATCATATCACATGGTCTAGAGTTTAAGTGCATGAAATTTGAAATCAGACAAACTGGAGTTTAATTCCCAGTCTTCACTTTTCTAACTAGGTGACCTTGAGCTGGTTACTTAATCCCCAACCCTTGTTTTTTTTTTAGTTGTCAAACAGGGGTAATGGCTGAACCTAACTCAGATAGTTCTGTGAGGATTAAATGAGTCGCTCTTGTAAAGGGCCTATTACAGGGAATACCTGCCATATATTAACTGCTCAATAAAAATTAATAGTTATTCTGATTTCTAAATTTTCTATGGTGAATATGAATTTTTTATGTAATAAAGAGTAAAAAGAAAATCAAAACAATTAAATTTAATATTAAAGCAATTTATCCTTAACTACAATCAGAAGATAAATATGTTGTTCTAAAGCTGTGTGATAATGTTTGCTTTGTCATGTATTGGGGGTGTGTGTGTGTGTGTGTGTGTGTGTGCGCGCGCAACCCTTGGATGGGAGTGGAGTTGAGGACCGTGACGTGACCATTTATTAGGTAATCTCATTCTTCCCTCTGACCCTGGTCCTCTCTATTCCATCAAGGGGAGGGGATAATTGCATCATGGTTCTCCCTGGCACTCACAACACACCATGTGTTCGCCTATATTTAGCCAACATGAAGTCACTGAAACTCTATGCCCACTGGAGGCAATTTGTGCTTTGTTGTTTGTGGCTCACATGGCTTCTATCCTGACTGCTCTGCATAGTTTATGTCCTTAGATGAATTTAAAGGACTGAAAACCTTTTGTTGGTGGAAAAACTGTGTTTGGGGAGTCAAAACTGAAATACCAAATCAATGAGATCCTTGGAAGCGTCCCTGAGATGAATACCTGATGTTTCTTGCAAGCCAGGGAGACCTCAATTATCCTCTTCTTTGACAGAAGGAGAAGGACCAGGGTGAGCAGGCTGGGGAGGGAGGAATTGTCTATATTCCACTCAAATGGTAAAAGCAACACGTCCATTCAGCGGCTCCCAGTTACAATGCCAACTCTACTCTCCTTCCAGCAATTAGAAACGACACATGGAGGCCCGGCACAGTGGCTCATGCCTGTAATCCCAGCCCTTTGGGAGGCTGAGGCAGGTGGATCACTTGAGGCCAGGAGTTCGAGACCAGCTTGGCCAACTTGGCTAAACCCTGTCTCTACTAAAACAAAATATTAGCTGGGTGTGGTGGTGCATGCTTGTAATTCCAGCTACTCGGGAGGCTGAAGCACAAGAATCACTTGAACCTGGAAGGCAGAGGCTGCAGTGAGCTGAGATCTCACCATTGCACTCCAGCCTGGGTGACAGAGCGAGACCCTGTTTCAGGAAAAAATAAAAATAAAAAACATAAGGGCTGGGCGCAGTGGCTCATGCCTATAATCCCAGCACTTTGGGAGGCCGAGACGGGTGGATCACTTGAGGTCAGGAGTTTGAGACCAGCCTGGCCAATATGCTGTAACCCTGTCTCTACTAAAAATATAAAAATTAGTGGGGCATGGTGGTGCACACCTGTAATCTCAGCTACTCAGGAAGCTAAGGCAGGAGAATTGCTTGAATTGCTTCAACCTGGGAGGTGGAGGTTGCAGTCTGGGCAACAGATTAAGACTCCGTCTAAAAAAAGAAAAAAAAAAAGAAATGACACACAGAATGAAGACACATAGCAGCTCAACAAGCCTAATATTACAAGAGGACAAGAGATGGAGGGGCTGCCCACAAGGTGTGGTTTCAGAAGTTCAACCTGTTGGCTGCTACTTAGATTTTACTCTCAGTGTCTCCTTCCTCTAGCTTGAGGCTCTGAACGTGTGTGTGTGTGTGTGTGTGTGTGTGTGTGTGTGTGTGTGTAGGCAGGTAAACATTGGGAACCTCAGCTTAGCATCTCAATTCTCAATTTTTTGTCTGTCACTTTGGATGAAAATTGTAGAAGAGACTTACTCCTATCAGAGAATACAGTTTTGTTTAACAAACAAAATAGTTTCAAGGGAGTGGGCAAAGAAATAAGGCAAACACTATTATGTATATTTTTGAGACAGGGTCTCGCTCTGTCACGCAGGCTGGAGTACAGTGGTTCCATCATAGCTCACTGCAGCCTCGACCTCTTGGGCTCAAGCGATCCTCCCACCTCAGCCTCCCAAACTGTTGGGACTGCAGATGTAAGCCAGTGTGCCCAGCCAATAAGTTTTAAATAGTCATTTAGTCATTAATTCAACAAATATTTATTGAGTACTCAGTGTGAATAATACTAGTTACATTTCACTTGTGTCATTGCTTTATCTGTTTCTATTAATCATAATTATTTATATATTTTTATTACAAATTAACAATTTATAATTGTATATATCTATAGGGTAAAAAGTGATGTTATGATTTATGAATACAATGTGGAATACGTAAGCCAAGCTAATTACCATATCCATCACCTCAAATATTTATCATTTTTTGTAGTTAGAACATTTGAAATTTACTGTCTTAATTTTGAATTAATTATAATGTTTATAGTTTTACTAAAAAACATGTTTCCAGTCTCATTCTTCTTCACTTCCACTATAGATTTGGTAAGCTTATTAAAAATGTATCCTTGGGTAACATTAAAAAGAAAACAAAAACAACCACATAAGCTCAACTCACTCACAAGGCAATTTGAAGAGGGCCCTGGCTTTAATGCTCTATCATTATATCCCTATGGGCTGTAACAAAGAGGTTATGGACAATTACCAGCACACCTGTTTTCTCTTACAAAGGACGCAAGCAAATAAGAGTCAGGTGAATTCATTTCAGGAGAAACAGTGAGTTAACTCAGATTTATTAAAAAGTAAATTATTTCAAACTTCGGCACTTTATTATTAGTAACAAGTTAATTTCCACATACCTCACACTCTAATGAGAATGTCTGTGTTGGACAGCAACCAGTCATCAACACCTCAGTGTGAATGAGGATCTGAGAGTAGATTGTAAGAGGTGGAATGAGGCACAGAAAACAATGGGTCCTTGGAGTAGGGAGTGGACAACCAGGGGACAAAATGTCTCTAACTTCCTAATTTTGCACAGGGACCTTGTCTCAGGAGTAACTTCCCTATGTCCTTGTCCTACTGGCCTCAAAATCACAGAAACTGAGTTCTTTAAAATTGTGGTTTATATTTTACTGCCGCTAATTGCTATGATTATCGCTACTAATTACCATGATAGAAAAGGAAAGTCTGCTCTTTCTGAAGCTTTTATACATTGACAGTCATTATAGTCACCACTTACGGTAAATTTTTGAATGCTTTAATTGGTTATAGTGAGGCTGGGGGTAAATACTGTTACTATGTTTTTAAGATATAAATACATAAAAATAATAATTCCATTAGTACAACAGTCTCAAATGTGCCACAGTATAATTATCAATAGCTTTTACCGCTATAACTGCATAACAGGGTACTTTTTCAAGAATGTTCTGTAAAGATGATGTATTCCAAATCTGTGTAAAAAATAGATTATTCATTAAATGGGGTACCCACCTGAAAAAGAAAATGAAAGTGAATCTCTATCTTGATCCTCATAAAATACATTTCAAACAATGTATGATTTAAAAATAAAATAAATGAATCACTTCTAGAAGGTAAACTGAGCAAATATTTTTATAGTCTTGGAGTAACGACATTCTTTTTTAGCTGAAATCCTCAAGGAAGATTGTCAGTTGGGGCTTTTTTTTTTTTAAGTGGAAATGTCTTCAAAACAAAATACATAAGAAACAAGGTTGCATCAATGCTGGGGAAAATATTGCAATATTTGTGACAGAGGGATATGATACGATATACATAAATTTACATATAATGACCACAATAACTTTTACATGTAAGAACAAACAATCCTGCCTGGGCGTGGTAGCACACGCCTGTAATCCCAGCACTTTGGGAGGCCGAGGTGGGCAGATCACTTGAGGTCAGGAGTTCAAGACCAGCCTGGCTAACATAGTGAAACCCTGTCTCTACAAAAAATACAAAAAATTAGCCAGATGTGGTGGCGGGTGCCTGTAATCCCAGCTACTCGGGAGGCTGAGGCAAGAGAATTGCTTGAACCCAGGAGGTGGAGATTGTAGTTAGCTGAGATGGAGCCACTGCACCCCAGCCCAGGTGATAGAGCAAGACTTTGTCTCAAAAAAATAAAATAAAATAAAGAACAAACAATCCTAAAAATAGGTGGGGGCGGGTGTAAAAAAAATGACAAACAATCCTAAAAATAAATGGGCAAGGGGCTTGAATAAGGAGTGCACAGAAGTACAATGGTCGCCAAACTATTCAGCACAGTAAGATGTGAGAGCCAGAAACACTTTGGAGATGACCAGCCTAACCCACTGCTTTACACAGGAGGAAACAGAGGCTCGGAGATGTTTGGTGATGTGCCTTATGTCACCTCACCAGTTGGTGCAGATTTAATTCAACTTCACATTGAAACAGTCTACAGGATCTTTACACATCGAATGTGAGGAAAAGCAGATCTAGTTGCAGCCCCCACATTCAGACTTCCACATGTCGCCCTTGGAAAGCATCAGGGACAACACCTGGAAAGAAAATGGAGATCCCAAGGCCCCATTTGCACTCTTGGTTGCAGAACACGTGAGATGTGAGCTCATTTGGCCTGGGCCAGTCACGTAGCAGCTTCAGAGGCTGGGATGTGAGACACTGAGTTAAAAAGACATTCCAGGTCAGCCACCATTTGTTTGGATGACAGCCTCTAGCCCAGCTCTGCTAAAGGTCACTACCTGCAGGGCAAGGCTTTGCTGACAATGGATGCAAAGACCTGGCCAGCAGTCCAGGGCTGGACACTGATACAATCTGAATAGAAGTCAAGAGGGAGGCAAAGAAAGCAAAGGATGTGTCATCCTAGTGGCTGCCACTATCACCCAGGTCAGGGGTTCCCCAAGTCTGGACTGCACACAACTGAGGGCATGGGAAATAATTATTTTAGGTAGCATCCAGATACTTTATATTTAATGGGCTTGTATTTGTTTTAATGTGTGTAAAAACATAACTGGAACATCAAAATCATGATTTCATATATATGGGGTTTTTTTGGTGGTGTTTTTTGTTTTTTGTTTTGTTTTGTTTTCTTTATTTTTTTAGGATGAGGCTGCAGTAGGTATTTAGGTTAAAAAGTGACTTGACTTAGGCCGGGCATGGTGGCTCACGCGTGTAATACCAGCACTTTGGGAGACTGAGGTGGGCAGATCACTTGAGGTCAGGAGTTCGAGACCAGCCTGGCCAACATCGTGAAACCCCATCTCTATTAAAAATACAAAAATTAGCTGGGTGCAGTGGTGCATGCCTGTAATCCCAGCTGCTCTAGAGGCTGAGGCAGGAGAATCACTTGAACCCTGGAGGTGGAGGTTGCAGTGAGCCGAGATGGCGCCACTGCACTCCAGCCTGGGCAACAAATAGAGACTTTGTCTCAAAAAAAAAAAAAAATTGACTTCATTTAAAGAACAATACTAGGCCAGGCAAGGTGGCTCATGCCTGTAACCCCAGCACCTTGGGACGCCAAAGCAGGAGGATGACTTAAGCCCAGGAGTTTGAGACCAGCCTGGGCAACATAGGGAGACCCCATGTCTACGAAATTAAAAAAAAAAAAATTAGCTGTGTGTGGTGGCATGCACCTCTAGTCCCAACTACTCTGGAGGCTGAGGTGGGAGGATCATTTGAGCCCAGGAGGTCGAGGCTGTAGTGAGTTCAGATCACATCACTACACTCCATCCTGAGCAACACAGCGATACCCTGCCTCAAACAAACAAACAAACAAACAACAAAATAAAGCACAACACTAAGCAATTAATGGTGCAGGTGTTATTTGAATACGGTCACAATTGTGAATGAGTTATGCAAATGACTGAAGTTTGGGAAACACTGATATAGTCCATGTTGTATAATTTTTTTTTTATCACCCTGGAAAGAAATGCAGTTATTATTATTATTATTTTTTTTTTTTGAGACAGAGTCTTGCTCTGTTGCCCAGACTGGAGTGCAGTGGTGCGATCTTGGCTCACTGCAACCTCTGCCTCCCGGGTTCAAGCGATTCTTCTACCTCAGCCTCCCGAGTAGCTGGGACTACAAGTACGCACCACCATGCCCGGCTAATTTTCGTATTTTTAGTACAGACAGAGTTTCACCATATTGGCCAGGCTGGTGTTGAATTCCTGACCTCGTGATCCGCCCGCCTCAGCCTCCCAAAGTGCTGGGATTACAGGTGTGAGCCACTGCGCCTGGTCAAGAGATATATTTTATAATGCCTGCCAACCCATACATACATACATTTATGCAGGAGTACAAAGCTTTTGTGAAACAACATTATTCCTGTTTGTGTGATGCACTCTGGACCCTAGATGCATTTGACTTTCACTTTCCCTTTCTTTCCCCTTCTCCTCATATCTCTAAATCCTTTCTGTCAGTTCTGCCGCTGCTGCCTTTTTTTTTTTTTTTTCCGAAAAAGAGTCTTGCTCTGTCGCCCAAGCTGGAGTGCAGTGGTGCCATCTCAGCTCACTGCAACCTCTACCTCCGTGGTTCAAGCGATTCTCCTGCCTCAGCTTACCAAGTAGCTGGGATTACAGGTGCACGCCACCCCGCTTGGCTTTTTTTCTTTTCAGAAACAGGTTCTCACTCTGTCACCCAGGCTGAAATGCAGTGGCACAGTTATGGCTCACTGCAGCATCGACCTCCTGTGCTCAAGCAATCCTCCCACCTCTGTCTCCTAAAGCACTGGGATTACAAGCATGTGCCACCATACCCAGGCCAGTTCTCCTTCTAAAAGGTCTTTATTCATTCTCTTTCTCATCTCCAGTGCTTCAGTCCTGGTCTATGCCCCATCACCTTTCACTTGGACTATATCTTAACTCATCTTGTCACTTCCAATCCAATTTTTCCCCTTCAATAAACCCTCCACACTATTGCCAAAAAGATCTTTCAAAAACTCTGATTTGGTGGGCATGGTGGCTCACGCCTGTTATCCTAGCACTTTGGAAGGCCGAGGCAGGCAGATGGCTTCAACACAAGAGTTCAAGACCAGCCTAGGCAACATGGTGAAACCCTGTCTCTACAAAAAATAAAAAAAATTAGCCAGGCATAGTGGCACATATCTGTAATCCCAGCTACCCGGGAGGCTGAGGTGGGAGGATCGCTTGAGCCCAGGAGTTTGAGGCCACTGGGATCATGCCACTGCACTACAGACTAGGCAACAGAGCGAGACCCTGTCTCAGTAAAAAAAACACAAACTCTGATTTGGCCCTGTCATGCCCCAGGGCACAGGAGAAAGTCCAAGCTACTCAGTAAGACTTTAAAGGAATTTGGTTGCTGGTGCCTGCTGACCTTCCCATACTCAAATGCTGGCACATCAGGACTTGAAACCCTTCTAGATTCTCGAATCGAGTGCTCTTCTCAAGACATCATACTGCCTCCTCAAAGACACTCTCCTGGTTGTTCTCATTCCACATGTGATACCTGCAGAGGTGACTCCTGCCTCTCTGGCACAGGGCATTTTGAGTAAACCCTGTTCTGAAATAAACAGAATGTCACAAAGTAGGTTGGACATGAAGGGTATTGTGTCTTTGAACACATAATATAATCAGTGGAGGTCACAGAATGAACTAGTGATCAAAGTGAATCAAAAGGAAATTAAAAGTGGACCGGGCGCAGTGGCTCACATCTGTAATCCCAGCACTTTGGGAGGCTGAAGTGGGTGGATTACCTGAGGTCAGAAGTTTGAGACCAGCCTGGACAACATGGTGAAACCCCGTCTCTACTAAAAATACAAAAATTAGCCAGGCGTGGTGGCCGGCGCCTGTAATCTCAGCTACTCGGGAGGCTAAGGCAGAATTGCTTGAACCCGGGAGGTAGATATTGCAGTGAGCCAAGATCCTGCCGCTACACTCCAGCCTGGGTGACACAGCCAGAGTCCATCTCAAAAAGAAAAAAAAAAGGGAAATTAGAAGTGTTTATTAGGCAACACTGCACTCACACTGGAGCCCGCCAATACTGCACAATGATCTGTGCCAGCCCCACTTTGCAATTCTCCCACAAGAAGCCAATGTCTCCAGGGAGCAGACAATGACCCACTGCTTATATTTCAGTCTGGATTAGTTCACAACTGAGCTGTCACTTCCAGCGGTCTTCTGTGGGGTTTGATGTGCCCCCTTGCCAAGGACAGCAATGTGAGTCCTGAGACTTTTGGCCCACTGCTGTCCCAGCGGCCTTGGGCATTTCTGGTACAAAGGGTAAGAGTGTCAGAAACCTGTGAGATTGAAAGGCCTTTAACAGCTTCTATTAAATGTTTGCTTATTCATTTATCTAAAAAATATTTATCCAAAAAATATTTATCCAGCATATACTACATGTCAGGCACTAGACTACGTGTGAAGAGATAATGGTGAGCAAGACAGGTGGGGTCTGGCTTTGGTACTCTTGATGCTTCTAGTTAGCTTAGGGTTTAAACAAGTGATTTTCATAAATCATGATTCCAGCTTTGATAAGGGACATATAGAATGGTATGGAAACACAGTGCAAGAACAGCCAAAGCCAGGGGGCTGCGGTAGGAACACTGAGGCCAGGAATTTGAGACTGCAATGTGCTGTGATCACCCATATGAATAGCCAGTATACTTTAACCTGGGCAACATAGAGAGACTCTTTAAAAAAAAGTTAGGGCCGGGCGCGGTGGCTCACTCTTGTAATTCTAGCATTTTGGGAGGCCGAGGCGGGCAGATCACTTGAGGTCAGGAGTTCGAGACTAGCCTGGCTAACATACAGGCTGGTCTCTACTAAAAATACACGTGCCTGTAATCCCAGCTACTTGGGAGGCTGAGGCAGGAGAATCACTTGAACCAAAGAGGCAGAGATTGCAGTGAGCCATGATCGCACTGAGCCAAGATCGCGCCACTGCACTACAGCCTGGGCGACAGAGCTATACTCTGTCTCAAGAGTGGAAAAAAAAATAGGAAAAAATATAATAAAAGAATAGTTAACCAAGTGTGGAAGGAGTAAGAGGTGGCTTCCAGGAAGAAATGATTCTTAACCTAAGACCTCAAGGATGGTGTGTAGGAACTAGTCAGAAAAGGATAGCGGCAGCTATAGCCAGTAGAGGTGCTAGCATGTGCAATGTGCAGAAATTGGCAGCCAGAGAAACAGTTTCAGACTGCATATCTGATTATATCAACCCACACCCTCATAGTGCACACTTTTTGCTGCCTCTCCAAAAGACCGTTTCCCTCTCCCTCCCTCCTTGCTGGCAGAAAACTCCTTCTATGAGACAGGCTCCCTAGTTCCTTCTACTAGGCCTTGGGCACATAACCTAATTGTGGCCAGTGAGGCTGACATAAATTCTCTGCTTGGCCAAACTCTAGTCAGCCTTCTGAACTTTCTCCTAGGCCCATCTGTATACTTCCTTGTAAAATCCAGTTTTAGCAAAAACCCCGCTAAGTCAATTTGGCAAGAATATCCCACTCTCAATGTCTGATCGCCTTTAATATCTGACTGAGTTCCTCATTCTCCATCATCTTCCAGATGATAACTGATAACCATGGGCTGCCTTCAACAAGAATCCTGTCAGGTCAGTTTAGCCAGAATTTCCCCTAACCCACTCGGATGCCTTTCTCTCTCCCTCCCTCCCTCCCTCCCTCCCTTCCTTCCTTCCTCTCTCTCTTTTCTTTCTTTCCTTCTTTCTCTCTCTCCTTTCTTTCTTTCCTTATTTCTCTCTCTCTTTCTTTTCTTTTCCTTTTTTTTGGTCTTTCTTTCCTCCCTTCTTCCTTCCTTTCTTCCTTTCCTTCCTTTCTTCCTCCCTTCCTTCCCTTCCTTTCTATTCTCAGGGTCTCACTCTGTTGCCCAGTCAGGAGTGCAGTGACGCGATTGTAGTTTACTGTAACCTTGAACTTCTGGGCTCAAGCGATCATCCCACCTCAGCCACCTGAGCAGCTGGGACTACAGGCGTGCACCACCATGCCCAGCTAATTTTTTTAGTTTATGTAGAGATGAAGTCTTGCTACCTTGCCCAGGCCAGTCTTGAACTCCTGGCGTCAAGCCTCCCACCTCAGGCTCTCAAAGTGCTGGGATTACAGGTGATAGCCACTGTGTCCAGCTTATGTTTTCTCTTAGTAATTTTCCATCCACTGCCCCCCCAACCACAACCCTGCTTCTTAGCTTAAATTCCCAGTGGCCCTTGCTGTCAGAGTTGAGCTCAATCTCACTTGCACTGGAAAATCCCATTTCAGTAGTCCCTACACCTATGACAATGGTCCTGAATAAAGTCTTCCTTACTGTGCTTTAACCAGTATCATTAAATAATTTTTTTTTGTTAACAGGGCCTGAGGGCAAGTCTGTTTGGGGGTTTCTGGGAAAGGTTTTCCTCCTTTGTAAAAAGTTGCGAGGAAAAAAAATTTAACTTTCTTTGGCTAGATGGAGTCATGTCTATACGATACCTGGGACTGAGGCAGCTACTTTGTGGCCATAAGGTAACAAACCTAAGGACAAGTCCAATAGGCTAAGGATAGTGAAGATAAAAGGATCCTTCATGACAATATTGACCACCCCAAACTACTCTGGAAGCACCTGTCTTTTGCTTTTTGTTATATGAGATAATAAATATCCTTATGTTTAAGTCACTTCTAGTTGGGTCTTCTGTTATATGTAGCTAAAAAACCTTCTCACCAATACAGCCCTTAAATAGTTGGCTGGGCGCAGTGGCTCACGCCTGTAATCCCAGCAATTTAGGAGGCCGAGGCAGGTAGATCACCTGAGGTCAGGAGTTCGAGACCAACCTGGACAATATAGTGAAACCCCATCTCTACTAAAAATACAAAAATTAGGCCAGGCGTGGTGGCTCACGCCTGCAATCCCAGCACTTTGGGAGGCCAAGGTGGACAGATCACTTGAGGTCAGGAGTTTGAGACCAGCCTGGCCAAGATGGCAAAACCCCGTCTCTACCAAACATACAAAAATTAGCCGGACATGCTGGCGGACGCCTGTAATCCCAGCTACTCCGGAGGCTGAGGCAGGAGAATCACTTGAACCCCAGTGGCAGAGGTTGCAGTGAGCAGAGATCCTGCCACTGCACTTCAGCCTGGGTGACAGAGTGAAACTCTGTCTCAAAAAAAAAAAAAAAAAAAAAACCTTTAAATTATGTATGTATGTATTTATTTATTTTAGTAGACACGGGGTCTCAATATGTGGCCCAGGCTAGTCTTCAACTCCTGGGCTCAAGCAATCCTTCCACCTTTGGCTTCCCAAACCCATTATTTTTAGAATGAAGAAGGAATTCTCTTGTGACTCCCAAGGCCCTACTTGACCCCTGGGAAGTGTGCTCTTCTGTTTTCCCCCGCGCTCTAGCACCACTCGCCTTCTTTCACCTCCCTCTCCCCTGCAAGAAAAAACCTTTCATACCCGCGGCTCTCTCTGCCAGGAGAACCCTTCCTCCTCCATTCCCCTACCTGGTTCTCAGCACTTTGAGGTGGTTTGTAACGCAGCAAAACTGATCCAAAAGTAAAATGAGTTTGTGTTTGTTTTCATCAAGTTAAAAACCAACTCATTTTCCTTTTGTGTATCATCTGCAGGGGAAAAGCAATAATGCGCAGTTGACCTTCCCCGACCCCGGGCCCAGCGCATTTCTGGGGCATCTCCCAGCATGCTGCTTGTGTCCTGCAGAAAGCTCCGCAGCCTCCTTCTCGCATTAGCCTGACGGGAAAGTAAATTAGGGCTATTCCACCCCTGCACTCCCTCCCCCGCCCCAGTCCCAGCGAAGCCCGAAGCAAAACCCCAAATCTTGTAGCCCTCTGCGATTAGCCTGGCCATGCCACTGCTTCTCCCTCCAGGACTGGAAATCTGGGAACTGCTTTCATTAAGGGTGCCCAGCCTTGAGGATTGTGTCCCCGCCCAGTTTTAGCTAGAAGTTATTCTGGCAAGAGTTCACGGTGTCTGACTCCTTTTATAAAAAGAAGGCTCCCAGGAATCAGAAGCCAGACGGGACAGCGCAGTAACGCCCAATGGCCCGGATTACGCAGCCCTCGTTTTCCTCTAGCTGAGGTCACGGAGGAGCTTCTTGCCCCTCTGTGGGTTTCTTCCCTTCCCCGCGCCTTTCCAGCGCCGGCCAGTTCTCCCCCAGTTCCCTTCCAGCCGTCCCAGGTCCGCTTCCCCTGGGCCCGGAGCCGCCGCGCCATTGAGGACACTCTCCTCGAGGTGGCAGTAGAGAGCCGTTCACTGCCCAGTCCGCTGACGTCACCTTGTTTACCCGGCTCCGGGTCATTTTTAGATCTAAGATCACAGGATGTTAATTGGGCCAATGATTTCCCATTCATTTGGGCAAAAGGCCCTCCTACTGGGCGTTCGGACAAGTACGATGTCCTTCTTGATACATATTGCTGCGGGGAGTATTTATTTGCAAACACTTGTAGTTTCATCTTCAGGAGATAAGGGTGCTACCAGTGGCTCCATGCTATGGGCTTTTTAGGGTCACTTGAGTTTTGGAGCCTGAATGAGGGTGGCATTAACTGGGGAGAGAAGAAAGGGTAGATATTACAGTGGTGTTTGGGGAGGCATCCTTAGAGCCAGCAGAGAGCCTCCAGAGGGAATCTGCCTTTTTACTTCACCTTCCCTTCCCCTTGTAAAGTAACCACTGCAGTCAGTCAGCAGGAAAGCCTTTGGACTTTGGAACTTGGAGGGAGAAGGAAAGCAGCTGATTTGGCCTAATTGTGTCCTGATTAGTCGTGGGAAGACACCTTGTAACTTAGGGGCCAAGAGGCCCCTGCTTTGGATGCTCTCACCCAGGAATTGGGTCTGAATGCCTCAGAGCCATAAATCACACGTTTCACACACTGGAACTTTTCATCCCAACAGTAGCAAGCACACACTATTTCTTACGGGTCACTCCTAGCTACCCAGCTGCGGATGAGGAAAGGTGAGGCACACAGCAGCTGAATGACCGAGCTCACTCTCTCATCTCCAGGCCCTGCCTAGTTTTAGCAAAAGTAAAAGCATCAAAAGCACCGGGACGCCTGCTCTTCCAGCGCCAGGTTTGGTGGGTGGGGAATGGAAGGAGCTGGGAGTTTGTCTCCGACTGTTCCAGAGGCAAAATAAGCAAATACAAGCAAAAAGGATCAGCTGTGAGATCCTTTACAAGACAGCAGAAGCGTCTTATGCTAAGGAGAAGAAAGAGAAAAGCTATAATGTTAAAAACAAATGAGCCTTAGAAGTTTTTAAAGTGCCTGCTCCTTCCTCTCTACCTCCCATTCCACCTTTTTACATGCTGCTGCAGCTGCCATATGAATACCAACTCCCAGAAAGGGCAAAAGCGCTCTTCCTAGTTTGCAGTCCACTGGAGTGATCAGGCTAGGCTGAAGAGATAGATGGTTTTCATGCAGGCAAGAAGAGAAGGAAAATTCGATTCAGTTCAATTCAACAACCATTTCTTGAGCTCCTATTCTGCGTCAACTACTCAGACAGGCAATTTAGCTTATGAAAACATGGAAAGATACCATTCCTGCCACTGTGGAACTTTGAGTCTTGATGAGTGTATAGACATGGGGAGCTTTTTGTTCCCTTGGTAAAGCACAGGATGAAAGAAGGATGGAGAGAGACATTACATTGCAATAGAAAGGGAGAATGCCAAGTGAATGGCTTTGAAAAGCATTTCTCCACTCTGCTGTGGCATCTGCTTAAAAGTAGTGTTGAGGACAGAACCTGGAAACAGTGGGAGAGCTGCTTGGCAGAGAACAGGAGTCCCACACTACAGGCACTCGGACCTCTAAGGAGGCTGAGAGAGGCTGAAAGAGAAGAGAGGAAGCCACTTGCTCAGAGATCAAACTGGACATTGAAGGGCAGGGATTTTGGCAAAAGTTAAGAAGCATCACAGAACCATGCAAGGAAAGTACAGGGGTGTGGAGCATCCCCTATAGCTGTCCCAGGTGTACGTTCAGGAAAAGCATTTAGACCCAGCCTGAGTTTCTTGCATCTGTGAATAGGAAGAAATATGTGACCAGGAAGAAATAAGTGCTCCCAGGTCCCCTCGTCACCAATAATATCATCTTTTCAAAGGCCTTTTGTTGAGAACCTGGTGATAATTCAGATCCATCCTAACCACAGGGAGGTAGAGAGGAAGGAGCAGGCACTTTAAAAACAAGGAGAAAGCAGACAATGAAAAGTTTTTATTTTTCATGGTTATATGAAATTTTGAAAATATTTCTGAAGCTCTTAAATTGTTAAATTTAAAACAAATACAGACAACAGCATAAAACAAATATACAGCTTCAAAATGCATAAAGCAAACATTCTAGTAACCTTGTAACCACCCATGAGAAGAGATAGGACCATGTCAACCACCCCAGCAAGAACTTTTTAAACCATAGTAACTGCTGTAGGCTCCAAGACTGGGCGGATTACTTCCAGGATGTTATGAAGCCTCCAAGGAAGGAAAGGGCCTTTCAACTATCAATCAGGCAATATGATCAAGTGCATATAATAGTGTCACATACAAAGTGTAGGACCCTATCCCCACACATTTACCTCAGAGAGGTAAGGAAGGAAGAGGACGAAAGAAGAGAGAAAGGACAGGAAGGAGACAAGGAAGACAAGAAAGGATTCAGTATTCATAGAGTGCCTGCTATATGCTAAGTGCTTCACCTACGTTCTCTGTCCCTTTTAATTTTTAATTTTTTTTTTTTTTTTTTAGTGGGGGACAGAGTCTTGCTCTGTATTCCAGGCTGGAGTGCAATGGCATGATCTTGGCTCACTGCAACCTCCACCTCCGGGGTTCAAGTGAGTCTCCTGCCTCAGCCTACCCAGTAGCTGGGAATACTGGCGCGGGCCACCATGCCTGGCTAATTTTTGTGTTTTCAGTAGAGATGGGATTTCACCACGTTGGCCAAGCTGGTCTCAAACTCCTGACCTCCAGTGATCCACCTGCCTCAGCTTCCCAAAGTGCTGGGATTATAGGCATGAGCCACTGCGCTCGGCCTGTATGTTATCTCTGAAGGAGATACATGAAACATTAATCCTTACTACAGTTCTGAGGTTAGTGTTGTTAGGCCTACTTTACAGATGAGGACACTGATGCACAGAGAGGTTAAGTAACTTGTGCAGAGTCACATGGCAAGAATGGGGCAGAGTCGCTCCAGAGCTCCAGTCTTCCTCCCCACTCTAAATAGTGTTATGTATTAACACTATTAGTTAGTGTTAGTTATGTTAGTTAGTGTTAGTTAGGTTAGTATGCTGGATGCTTCAGTTTGCCTTTCTAAATCGACTCGTGATTCTTTTCTACTCTGCCCTATGCCACTAACGGTATCAATGGGCTTGGTTACTCTTTGGCTTCTAGTTGGGTTTAGCCAGTGGGTATCCTAGGTAGGAGATCAGAGGGAAGAAAAGGTGTGGGAGCCCTGGGGGATCACCTCTGGGCTGGCTGTATCCTTTGACACATGGTCACAGCTCTTCTCAGGTGCTGCTAAACATGCAGGGCATACTCTACAGGTTCTGGTGACTGCACCACTCCTGACCCCTTGAGGCCTAGGGTGGCCAAGTTGCTGTTACTTATTACACTACCCCTGTGGTTTCCCTACATCCTGCCTGCACCTTTGTAAATAGCCCCTTTATTCAACTCTTCTCAAATTACTCAATTTGAGTGTGCCATCTGTTTCCTGCCCAGGTCTGGCCTGATATAAATAGAAAGTCAGGAAAGCAGCAGCCCAGAGGCCTCCCCGCTAAGTGGGCAGCATTCCTCAAGGGTACAGGACCAGTCACAGGTGAATCAAGACACCCTCTCATGTGAAGGGCTTCAGGACGCGCTCTGTCTCTCTCCCTCTCTCTCTCCCTCTCTCTCGCTCTGTGTGTGTGTGTGTGTGTGTGTGTGTGTGTGTGTGTGTGAACACATCTTTGGCTTCCATGTAAGCCTAGACATCCTCCCACTGTTTCAGGTTTCTCAGTGTTATGCCAAGGAGCTCTTGCAGTGTCTGTTCATTGATTCAGAGATTCGTTCATTGATCAGGCCTTCACAGTGTTTCAGGAAATGTGAAGAAAATTCCATCTTTGGGTGACCATTAGATGCATGAGACTAATAGGAATTGGAGAAGGAAGAGGTGGTAAGCCAAGGATAAACACTGCAGATGGTGCCGGAATGGTCTCTAATCTGTCTCAACTAGCAGCTCTGGGGGTTTATGGCAGTTGTCTCTGGGTTTTTATGGTCAACTGCCATCCTCGTTTTACAAGGGAAGAAAATGGAAGCTGGAGGGTATGGGATTTATTCATTTCCTTGGGCAAGGTCAACAAGGAGAGGCAGTGCTTGATAGGAACTGAAGAAACCCCCACACTTTCCTACCCGTGTCCTGCAGAGTCTCCAGAAAATAATATTCAGTCTATAACACCTTCCAAGCTTTTACCAGAATCAGTCCTCTCTTGAGCAAGCCAGGATCAGAATAGGGCCAGCGCTCAGTCCCAAGAGCTTAGTACCACCATTCTCTGTCTTTACTGGGCACCACGTGCGTGTGTGTTTGGGGAAAGTATCTGGGGAGGTGATGGGGAAGGGAGAGGCAAACACAGGAAACAGCTCTTTTTGAGCTTGTCTGCAGAGACTGTATTATGAATATGAGAGATAGGATTTCCCTCAGTGAGAAATGCATGAGAGAAGCCAGTGTCAAGAGTTTTAGCCTTTCCCAATTCCAAATGCCATGGCAAGGTTTGCAGGACCAATCCAGACACCCAGTATCAAAATGTCCAAGGGTGTTTCCCATTCCTCCTTCTTGCTTAGAAGCAGCATCCAGGACCTCTCATAATGGCTGCTTTGGATGAGGACAATGGCTTCATTACCCATCCAGGCAGTTTCAGGAGATGGGGTTTCTCCTTTTTGTTTCTTCTATGCCATACCATCAAACCAACTAGTCTTCCTCAGTATGCTTGTCCTCATTTCTTCCATTGTGTGGAAGCTAAGAAGAGGTGGAAAGTAGAGAAAAACATGGAGGCAGACTAGATCTGGGTTTGAATCTGTGTTGCAGGACATAACAACTGGGCAACTTATATAAATTTACCTATGGCTTTAGAGTCTCAGTTTCCTCATCTGTAAAAAGCAAATAATAAAAATCACCTCAGGGAGTTATTGTGAGGATTAAAGTCAATGGTTGTATGGTCCTGGTGCATGGTTGGTGCTCACTAAACAGTATCTGTTATAATAAGGTTCCCACTAAGCTGGCCTTTCACCTAAATACCTCCTATACAAAAAGATCTGTTTAACTAATTTTGTCAATTAGGATGATTTCAGCTATAATAAACAAAAAATCCAACTGAGAATAGCTTAACAATAAGGAACACAGTATTTATTTAGTAAGAAATCCAGAGGTAGCCTCAGGGTTGGCTGATCCATAGCTTAACAATATCATGGATCCCACACATTCTTTCATCTCTCTGCTCTACATCCTCAACCTGTCTGCATTGTCCCCAGGTAGTCTTCTTGTGGTTTCAAGATAATGGGCACAGTTCTAGGAGTCACACGGAAACACAACACTGAAAGATGTCTTTCTTTCTTTCCTTTCTCTTTCCTTTCTTTCCTTTCTCTTTCCTTTCTTTCCTTTCTTTCTTTCCTTTCTTTCTTTCTTGATGGAGTTTCACTCTTGTTGCCCAGGCTAGAGTGCAATGGTGTGATCTTGGCTCACCGCAACCTCTGCCTCCGCAGTTCAAGCAATTCTCTGGCCTCAGCCTCCTGAGTAGCTGGGATTACAGGCTTGTGCCACCACGCCCGGCTAATTTTGTGTTTTTGGTAGAGATGGGGTTTCTCCATGTTGGTCAGGCTGGTCTCGAACTCCTGACCTCAGGTGATCCGCCCACCTCGGCCTCCCAAAGTGATGGGATTACAGGCATAAGCCACCACACCCCACCCAGGACTGTCTCTTTCTATGTCTACCTTTTAAAGCAAGGAAATCCTTCCGGAATCTCCCCAGCAAACTTTTGATCGTACCTCATTCGTCAGAATTATCTCATTTACTTATGTTTGATCAAGAAGAATATGATTACTGCAACTGATTGTTTCAATCAGGTTTTATTGCTGAAACAGGGAGGATGATTATTAGATACCAAATGCCAGGTTTGAGTGTGTCCTCCGGAATTCAAGTGATGGAAATTTGGTCACTGATGGGGAAGTGTTGGGATGTGGGGCCTTAAGAGATGATTAGGTTGTAAAGAGGGATTGATGCCATTCTCACAGGACTGAGTTCATTCTTGAAGGAGTGAGTGAGTTCTCATTATTACAGGACCGGGTTCGTTACTATGAGAGTGTGTTGTCATAAAGTGAGGCTGCCCCTTGTGTTTTGCCAGTTTTGCCTGTGCCCACTTCTCCTGCTGCTTCTCTGTCATGTTATGATGCAGCACGAGGCCCTTACCAGAAGCTGATCACATGTGGTCACCCTGTCTTGGACTTTCCAGCCTCCAGAAACATGAAACCAAACAAACCTCTTTCTTTATAAATTATACAGTCTGTGGTATTCCATTATAGCAACAGAAAATGGACTAAGACATCATTTAACCAATGATCTGCTCCATTTTTTGTCTACAATATCACCACCTCCAAATTTATTGAGCACCTATTATGTTCTCAGGCTTTGGAGGTACAGACACAATAGTTTAATGTCAACCACTGCAAATTTAGAATCTAAATAATGGATTTTAACTCACAGAGAGGGGACTCCCAGAAATTTCCTGTGAAGCAAGGAGCTAAAGGGCAAGGCTGAGGTGCCTGGGCCAAGTTCATAAGTATTTATGGCCAGGCAGCTGCAGTTTTGAAGGCATGGCTTGCTAAGGAGGTGAGGAGCTCCCAATGTTTCAAGCTGGCACTCAGCTCCCAATTACGATTCCACAATTATTAGCTTTGATTCTGTGAGAAAGGAACACATCAAAGCCAGAATCCGATGAATTAAAATGTTGACTAATAGAGCTAATTATAGTTCAGTCATCTGAATTTTCACACAATGAGCTGAGTTCTCATGAAAGCCTTCTCTTGGGCAGGAGGCTTTGATGATGAAGCAGCTATTTATGTCCCAGACCTAGTCCTCCTCACTCTGGCCAGGGGATCTTCACTGAAGTGCCTTTGGTCAACTCAATCCCTTTATGAGTTTGGCCCCAGGTTTCTTAAAAGCTAAGGAAACACAGTTGAGGTGGAGATTACGAAGATGTTGGGAGCAAGACTGCCCTGCCTGGAGAAACATCTAACCAGTGTGTCAGGATGTCATGAAAGGATTCTTTTCATTTTCAATTTTATTCCAGATTTTAAAATACTTAGGTAATTTACATCACCTAATTATACTTTAGGGAGAATCTTCTCAACATGTCTCAGTTGTCAGATGCAGAGTGGTATAATAAATTTTAATCACTGTTTAGATGTTCTTTGCTGCAGAGTTAATAATATAGACTAAGCCTAAATCTTTGATGAGCTAGAATAGGAGAATTCCAGCTATAAGGTAGCTCTTCCAAGAGAGAATTCACTAATTTTAAGCATCAGTTGGGTACCAGAAAAAATGATGTGTTAAGGAGTGGTTCTCAACTGGGGAAAATTTTTGGACCCCTCCTCCCTTTACCCCCTGCCAGGGACATTTGTCAATGTCTGAAGACAGTTTGGGTTGTCACAACTGGGGAGGTGGCAGAATACTATTGGCATCTAAAGGACAGAGATGGTGCTAAATATCCCCCCAATGCACAGTTCAGGCCCTCACAATAAAGAACGGTCGGACCCAAAATGTTGATAATGCCAAGGTTGAAAAACCCTGTGTTACAGGGTGAAAGTTTTCTACTCAACATTAGTCATACATTAAGGTGACAGCATCTTTGCTTAAATGGTGTTACATGCCACCAAAAGATATATTTGGGCAGACTTCTTTACATTTAGCATTTCTAAAAGAGAGCTAAGAATAAAGAAGTGGGTTGAAGACATGACTGTCGTAGTCTTGAGTCTTATGGGAGATGATTAATTCTTCCTACTCAATATGCTTGCTCCTCAGGTAGCCTGTACTTGATGAATGACAGTGATGTCTGTTTATGGATGCACAGGCCCACTGATTAGGCATTCTTCCTGTCTGGATAATTTTAAAAGTAGGTATATAGAACATGATCCACCCAGTATATTTCTGTCCCCAAAATACCTCTTTATTAAGGAAGTTTTTATTAATCTCTATTATAAATATAATATATAAGCAACAAGAAGGTTTAAAATAACACAAGGCCTAGGTACAAATAAATACCCTTGTAATCAGCTGTTATCGAACAGTGCCTACATCAACCAAGACATTTTTACCTTATTCCTGACTCTAATCCCTTCCTATGTTATCCATTGTATTTAGAACTTGAAGTTAATTTATCTTTCTACACATTCTTAACGGTAAAGACTTTCTGTTTTGTCTTATCCTTTTGGAGAAAGGTTACTTCAAAATTGTTTTAATAAATACATAAATATAATTTTAAAAGTTCAATAGTATTAAAAGACCAGTGAAATTCAGCTGTTTCCTTTTTTATTCTTTCTCCCTCTCCCCAGTCTTGTTTCTTCAGGCATTTACACATTGCCATATGTTAAATAATATGCATGTACTATTCTCTTTTGATTAGATAATTTAGATATATGATTTTCCTATTACGGTAAATGAGAATTTAGCACTCTTTTCAGCCATCTCTTCTGTTTTCTCTCCCTAATTCTCCCTACATAATTATATTATAATTTTTGGTTAATTCACTGTGTGTTTACATTATCATATACATGTAAAAAAAGTGGAGCATTGTAGTGTATTATGATTAAATTTCTTTGTTGCATTTTGTTTTTCCTGAAGTTAATAATTGCCTTGTGTTTTCATTAGTGACTACTTTAAATTTCTTCCTTTGCAGTCACTTTGATCAAAAGTATTATACTGACTGGGTGCAGTGGCTCATGCCTGTAATCCCAGCACTTTGGGAGGCTGAGGCAGGAGGATCACTTGAGGTCAGGAGTTCAAGACCAACCTGGGCAACACAGGGAGACCCTGTCTCTACAAATAATTTTAAAAATTAGCCGGACATAGTGGCACATTCCTGTGGTTCCAGGTACTTAGGAGGTCAGGAGGAGTGCCTGAGCCTGGGAGGTTGAGGCTGCAGTGAGCTGCGATCTTGCCACCGCACTCTAGCCTGGGTGACAGAGTAAAATGCTGTCTCCAAAAAAAAAAAAAAAAAAAAAGCATTGTACTTGTCACGTAATTTCTCTTTATCTAGCTGACATTTAGCTAACATTTTAAAGTTTTGGCCCCTGGATGTCATCTCTCTCATGAATCACTAAAAAGAGACTAACCTAGAGGCACAGCCCATTTGCCATATTAGCTTTATTTTCCCGAAATGGGTCATTCTTCAATCAGGGGTTTTCATTGCCATTTAAAAACCTACCTCTGCCAGGCAATGTGGTTGATGCCTATAATCCCTGCACTTTGGGAGGCTGAGGCAGATGGATTGCTTGAGGCCAGGAGTTCGAGACCACCCTTGGCAACATGGCAAAACCCCATCTCTACAAAAAATACAAAACTTAGCTGGGTGTGGTGATGCACGCCTGTAGTCCCAGCTACTCAGGAGGCTGAGATGGGAGGATCACTTGAGTCCAGGAGGTTGAGGCTGTGGTGAGCCATGACTGAGACACTGCGCTCCAGCCTGGATGACAGCAGGAGAGCCTGTCTCAAAAAAAATAATAATAATGACGTTAAAGAAGTAGCAACCCTCTTCTGGCTTCTGGCTTCATTGAGAATGGTCTATCACATCCTCAGGATTTATTGCCCTATTCCTACAGTCTGCTCTATTAGGATCTATGCGGTTGCCAATATCTGAACCCCCAAGCTGGTATTCCTGGCCCCAAGTGCGAGAGGATCTGTCATAGAAGATGAGAACTCCGATATTGAGGAGATGGAACCTCACTAAAAATAGGCATGTTTCAATTCCTCCAGAGAAAAGGCCTCATTCAGCAGAGCATCTCCATCAGAAGAGCTCCTCTCCTGAAGTATGCTGGCGTCTCATGGTGCTGATGGCGGCTTCCTGACTTAGCTGATTTAGCTCTGATCTGCCCACTCTTGGAGAATGCTTGATCATGGATCATGGCAGCTTCTTGGTGATAACTGGCCTTAGTCTGCCAAGCCTATGTCTATTCCTGTACCCCTTCTTATAAAATTTCTTCCCATCCAAAATCAAGTAGTTGAGGGAGGAAGTCAAGCAGTCTACCTTAAAAAATTTTAAAGCATCCAGGTCTTCCCCCAAACTCAATAACGCTTGCTTCTAACAGAACAACAGGCACACACACGCACGCTGAGGCTCAGTAACACTATCTCTTCCTCAGCGATGACCCTGGGTTTCTACTTCTGTATCTCTGCTCACTTCTCAACACAGAACAAAGGGATTTTTGTGGGGGCAGACACACCCCACATTCCTAGTTTACAGAATTTATTTTTGGCCAGAGCTGCATTTAGCAATATATGAGCAACTCTACTAGTAATAAGGAGAGGAAGAAGAGAAGGCGTATGTGTGGATTTATCTTCCTAGGGCTGTGTGGCTCAGGTTAATATTTAAAATGGTCTTGCATTCTCTGAGCACACACTGACTGTCTGATGGGGGAGGCGATGAGGAGAGGGACAGGTGGCATGGGGAAAGCTGACCTAGGATTAAAAATTAATTGTGCTCAATTTTCAAATCAGATCATTGTAGACAGATGGCTATGAATTTTAATGTGATTTCATGTTTAACTTTTTTTTGAGGAGATTTAAACTCTATTATTCACCAGCTAGGCAATTTATGAACTCACATTTCAGCTTTAATTCTACCCCATCACAAGCAGAATTATAGGGCTGGAAAAACTCCACCAATCATCCTCTGTTTGAAAGAACCACACCCAAAGCCAACCAAGGCAACAGGGATCCCTAACACATCTTCTATGCCTTCTAATTTAAGGTATTCCACAGCCAGTTTCTCTTAGGAGCAAATTCTGGTGTTCTGCATTTCTATTCTGTCAGCCTCTGCTATGTTCCCTCTTCCCCTGCTCCATGAAGCTGGGTAGACAGAGAAGGCTTCCACCCACCCCAAGGCTTCATCAGTTTCAGCCTCAGCCTTAACATCGCATGGGGCCTGACATCCTGTTCTGTGGGCTGTGAAGTCAGTCATGCTGAATCGGGCCACAACCCTGCAACAAAAGGGAGGGAGAGTAAACAGGGAGAATCCTGCCCACTTAGGGTATAGGACTTGGGCTGGAAGGAACGAACCCAATCCCAGAGACTGGCCTCCAACAGAACTTGGCCTATTCAAGATGTGGTACCCAAAGGGCAAAGAAAGCTTTGGACAAACAGTGATATTAGGGGGTCCTATTTGGATGGTGGTGTATAGCAGGGAGGGATTCCAGGCGGCAGCAATAAGGCAGGAATTAAATGCAGCAGAGTTGTGGTTCTGGAAGAGCTGAACACTCATGGAGTATATTGGCAAGTAGATGAGGGCACAGAGAGAAATATGTTTTTTGTTTTTAGTTTTTGAGACAGTCTCATTCTGTTGCCCAGGCTGGAGTACAGTGGTGCGATCTCGGCTCACTGCAACCTCTGCCTCCCAGGTTCAAGCTATTCTCCTACCTCAACCTCCCAAGTAGGTGGGATTACAGGCGCCGGCCACCACACCAAGCTAATTTTTGTATTTTTAGTAGAGACGAGGTTTCACCATGTTGGCCAGGCTGCTCTTGAACTCCTGACTTCAAGTGATCCGCCTGCCTTGGCCTCCCAAAGTGCTAGGATTACAGGCGTGAGTCACCACGCCTGGCCGAAATATGTGTTCTTTAAGGAAAAGAAACTGGCAAGAACAAGGCAGGGTATCAGGGCCATGAATAAGTAAGCAGGGGATCAAAATAGCCTTCAAGCTCTGGAGGGAAAGTGGGGCCCCTTGGAGCAGTCATTATAGATGCAGCGCTGCTCATCCTGCCTACTCTGCCTGAGTGCCTCATTACATCGTTGAAGTCAGTGACCTCCAGGATAACTGCCTTTTTTTAGATCTCCAGTCTAGGCCCTTTCCTGGACTTCAGCCCTTCATATCCAGCTGCCCACTGGGCCCTTTCACTTACATGTCCAAAGAAACTCACTCGTTTTTTCCAACCTGCTCCTCTTCCTATACTCTTTATTTTTTTATTTTTTTATTTTTTTTTTTGAGACGGAGTTTCGCTCTGTCACCCACGCTGGAGTGCAATGGCGCGATCTCAGCTCACTGCAGCCTCCACCTCCCAGGTTCAAGCAATTCTCCTGCCTCAGCCTCCCGAGTAGCTGGGATTACAGGCGTGCACCACCATGCCCGGCCAATTTTGTATTTTTAGTGGAGATGGGGTTTCACCATGTTGGTCAGGCTGGTCTCAAACTCCTGACCTCAGATGATCCACCTGCTTCGGCCTCATGAAGTGCTAGGATTACAGGTGTGAGCCACCGCACCCGGCTACTCTTAAGAGAAGCAGTCATTCTTGTCTCTTCCTTCTTCACACCCACTATATTTAGTCTTTGGTCAATTTCAGTTGCTTTGGCCTCCTAAACTGCTCCTACTTCCATTCCCTCTCTGCTATTTCAGTACTAATGTCTTCATTCCAGTCACCATTACCTCTCACCAGAATTTGCACTACAACCTCTTAACTATTCTCCCTGCCTCTAGTGGTGCATGCCCTTTGCCAGTCCTTCCTCCTCAATGCAATCCCAGTTTGATGTCTCTTTTGCTCATACTCCTTCACTGCTACCCATTGTCCCCAGGATAAAGTGCAAAACATATTAGTATAACTTAAATGCTCATGACCTGCCCCTCTTGCCTGTCCATCTTCACCTCTTGTCCCTTCCTACACCCTCCACTTCATTGTCCAGCCATGTCATTGTCTAGTAGGTCCCTGAAGAGCCTTGAAGTCTCCACAGCTGTGCACCTGGGGTTCTCACTGTTTTCATCTGGGCAACTTTTACTCATCTTGTGGGATTCCATGCAAAGGATTATCTTCCCCAGGAACCCTTCTCTGGATAGGGCACCTCCTACATGCTCCCATACCTGCTCAGTCTCCCTCTGACCTCATGCCTGTGTCTATCTCCCTGACTAGACCGGGAACACTTTGAGGTAGAAACCGGGTTTGTTTTTTTTTTGCTGAGGAGCAGTTCTGCAATGGCGAGATGATGGCCTTCGGAATCAACCAGATCTGTGTTTGAAAACCAAATGTAGGTTAACACTCCCTGGGCATGAGTATCATCTCAGGATCTCTGTCTCATTAACTATGAAATAATAGCACTTCCTCCTAAGCAGTTGTCAGGATTAAATGTGGTAATAACACAAAGCACTTGGCATTGAGCCTGACACATCGTAGATGCTCAATATCGTTGGATGAAAAAGTTCAGGAGGAGAAGCTCCAAATAGGCTTATGGGCTTGTGGTCAGTCATGAGAGAGGCTTATGTGAGTCACCGTGGCCTTGGCCAGCAAGGCAGAGAGACAGCAGAGCTGGGTGGAGTTGAGGTCAGAGCCTTTGTCTAGGGAGGAAATGCTAACTGAGCAGGAGCCAGGCAGCAACCAAGACTGATGAAGAGCAAGACAGGGAAGACAGAAAGTTAATGCAGGAGGCCTCGGTGAGATTGCATGGCAGCATCTGGCTGGGCCCTTACTGAAGGTTCATGGCCCAGCTCAAAAGGGCAGGCTTGCCAAATGCTTTAAGCCAGCACTGGGCATTAGGAAGCACATTCTCACCCTCAGTCTTGAAGCTTTGGCCAACACTCTTGCCTGATCCCCATCTCCAGAGGTTTGGCTTCAGGTGCTCTAAGGTAGGCCCAGGATCGGGCATTTTTAGAAGCTCTTCAGAGAATTCACGTGCATTGAAGGCTAAGAATCATCACTCTAGAGTGAAGGCAGCCCTGTACAGATTGGGGAAGGAAGCACCACATCTCAAAGGCTACATGGTCACTGGGTTTGCCCCTGGGCCTCTAGGCTGTTTTCACTGATGATAACTGAGGGGATCAAGAGTGGAAGGTGGCTGCTACTCACTCACCTACCCTGGTGAGGACTAGCTTAGCTAGATCAAGTGTGAGGGAGCAGAGGAAGACAGAGAAGAAACAACGAGGCTGGGATGAATGCACATCCTTCCTTATCTCAGAATCCCAGCCTGCCTGCCCAGCCCCTCCCCAGAGGAGATCAGTTGCTCTTTGAGAGGTAGGAAATCCTTTGGGAGGTGATGGGATGGAGAAACACCTTCTCTTCCTTTGTATTTATTCCAGTGGTAGAGGGGGAGGCCAACGGGAAGTTGCTTTTACTTCTCCTGGGGAATAGCTCAGAGATAGCAGTTTAGAACTCAAGGCCATTCAGATAATTTAAAGAATTTTTTAAGATAAGAAATGAATCCCCAGCCAGATGCAGTGTACTCTTAGTTTGAAGAGGTCATAAAACAGAATGAGAACAAAGTCTTATTAGAAAATTAGAATCAACTGACATTTATTTGAAAAATGCCTACTTCTCTGCTCTGTGGATTTCTACAATCTGTGTATCTGCTCTTTTCAAAAGTAATCCAGAAGATACATATATTATAGTTCACAAGGAACAGACCCACGAAGAAGTGGCATCGCAAAGCGACTTTCAGTAAAACTATCCTTTATTCGACCACCTTGGTTCTCACTAGACCCTGCAAATGTTTGATCATGCAAACATGATCAAGCATCATTGATCATGGGTCTATGCAATTCAAGCAGTCTCTTTCTTAATCCCAGCATAGAAAAGATGAAAAGAATAGCCATGAATCAGTAAGAAGTACAAGTGGGCCCGGCACGGTGGCTGACGCCTGTAATCTCAGCACTTTGGGAGGCTGAGCGGGTGGATCACAAGGTCAGGAGTTCAAGAACAGTGTGGCCAAGATGGTGAAACCCCATCTCTACTAAAAATACAAAAATTAGCCAGGTGTGGTGGTGGGCGCCTGTAATCCTGTCTACTCGGGAGGCTGAGGCAGAGAAGTGCTTGAACCCAGGAGGCGGAAGTTGTAGTGAGCAGAGACCACACCACTGCACTCCAGCCTAGGCGACAGAGCAAGACTCCATCTCAAAAATAAATAAACAAATAAGAAGTACAAGTGGGCTGGACATGGTGGCTCACACCTGCAATCTTAGCACTTTGGAAGGCCAAGGCAGGAAAATCACCTGAGCCCAGGAGTTCAAGACCAGCCTGGGTAACATAGCGAGACCCCATCTCTACAAAAAAATTTTTTAAATTAGCCAGATGTGATGGCGCACACCTGTGGTCCCAGCTACTTGGGAGGCTGAGGTGTGCAGATTGCTTGGGCCCGAGGGGTTGAGGCTGCAATTGTGCCACTGCACTCTGCCTGGGCAACAGAGTGAGACCCTGTATCAAAGAAAAAAAGAAGAAGAAGAAGTACAAGTGGCATCCCCTCCCATCAGCCGTCAGTGCAGAGGCAAAGCCCTGAGCGGGAGAGCACATGAAATAAAAAGTAACACAAGGCATGAGGTCTACTTGTTTCTAACTTCTATGTGTGTTTCTATCTCCCCAGCCCCCTACCCTCAACACCCTTCACCGATGTGCACCTATATAAACACCTATTCCTCTTACCACCTTACACTAAAATCCCTTCTATACAAGAACTATAGCTTTGTGTCAACAAAGCATTGCACCCCTATGCCAAAAACAAACAAACAAACAAAAAACCTTAGAAATGTTGTCATGTGGTTCGTAATCTTCCTGGAACTTACCTAATTGTAAAAAGACCCGAAAATAAAAGGACTTCTGTTCCCTATGGGCAGAGAAGTGACGTAGACTATTTTATAGTTCAATCATCTCTTCCTTTCTGGAAATTAACAGCTCGAGTCTCTATTGATTTAACATGCTGTCCCTGTGATACAGTGGGGGGTTCACACAAGTAATGAGGACAGGCCGTTCTGTGATTATTGAATCCTTCTTGTTCTTTGTTTTGTAATTTTCTCTACATGATAACAACTCCAATACATGGAATAATCTACTAAAGGGAACGAGACCAACATCTGCATGTCCTCTTGTATTTTGAAGATATAGACTGAAACATACTGTAGAAATAAGGAGATTTCAGTCTGTGTCATTGCATTGTGCTTCTGAACCACAGATATTCTTGTGAAAGAGCAGGCTCTGCAATACATTAGGACAATAAGCAAGTGCCTGGGCAGGAAATAGAGGGAGGAATGAATATACTCCTTGATTTTCTTTCCTGGGTCTCTGACTCTTTGTTTCAGAGTACTCTGAGGCTGTGTTTGCTGGGGATGATATCAACTTGCTGTGGGTAGAAATTATGACGGTGGCCTAAATTAGGCACCATGACTTCAGTGTTGGGATGAAGCGGAGGAGGGAGGAGAGGAGGCCAGAGCTGCTGTTTAAAGTACACTAAATGGAGTAACTGTCAGGATCGATCAGTTACTTTGTACCAAATTGAATCTTCAGGGATGATTCTTCCCTTTGTTTTGAGGAAGGAAGAAGCAAAGTCCTTTATTCCTCATGATTTTAAGGACAAGGGAAAGTCTTCCAAATTGTGAGAGGGGAGAAAATAAAAAGAGAAGCCTCGTTACCCTGACTACTTAGCAAATGTTCAATGAGCATCTTCTATGTGCGGAAGCCTGAGCTGGCAATGCAGGAGAAGCCCTGTCTCTGCTGTGGAACGGGGAATCGTGTGGGTGGAGAGGTCACCATGACATCCTGGCTTGTACCATGTTTGGACAGTGTTTCAGTCTCACACACTATTACAAGTCAGTAAAATTGGCTTCCGCAATCCTCCTCCCCACGCTTACCTTGTCTGGGGTCATCCCTGTGTGGTCTTCAGGTTTTGCCCCATTGCCTCCCAACCTGGACCCTCCCCTTTCATTTTCCCCTCCCTGAGTGCACCATCATTCTTTCTCTCACTTAAATGCTGCATGGGGCAGTGGAAAGAACATCGGTCTGCCCTCACTGGCTAAACTTTGATAAGTCGTTTCATTTCTTTGAGGTTCAATATTTCCTGTAAATAACAATAGCAACACTTGTGAGGATTACATGAAATAATGATTGTGAAATTCATTATAGCTAACCTTTTTTTCACTTTTAAAAAAATAGGCCGGGCGCAGTGGCTCACGCCTGTAATCCCAGAGCTTTGGGAGGCTGAGGTGGGTAGATCACTTGAGGTCAGGAGTTTGAGACCAGCCTGGTCAACATGGTGAAACCCAGTCTCTACTAAAAGTACAAAAATTAGCCGGGCATGGTGGTATGAACCTGTGAGCCCGGGTACTTGGGAGGCTGAGGCACGAGAATCGTTTGAACCCGGGAGGCGGAGTCTGTGGTGAGCCAAATGCCACTGCACTCCAGCCTGGGTGACAGAGTAAGACTCTGTCTCAAAAAAAAAAATTATATATATAGAGAGAGAGACTGAGAGAGAGAGAGAGAGAGAGAGAGAGACTCTGGTCTCCAACTTCTGAGCTCAAGTGATCCTCCCACCTTGGCCTCCCAAAGTGCTGGGATTACAGGCATGAACCACTGCACCAGGCCATGATAGTTAATCTTTACAGAAGATTTGGCACATGCAGACATCATGCTGAATGCTCGGTGTACAATATCCCATGTCATCCTCCCAACAGTCAGTAATGCAGGCATTCTCTTCCTCATTTACAGGGAGGAAACTGAGGCTGAGACTCAGTAACTTTCTCAAGTCACACAGCCAGTTTGTGGAAGTGTCAAGATTGAATCAGTTTGTGTCTTATTCCAAAGTCCATGCTAGTAACCACAATACCACACTGCCTCTGTAAATGACCCTGTAAAATGTTATGTCAACAGAAGATAATTTTTACTAGAATCACAGCTAACACATAGTACCATTCCTTTGTAGACAAATTTGAATGTACCAAAGATCACATCATTTACAGATTTTTTTTAAATTCAGGGCAATTAATTTACATACAACCACAGGCTTGTACAGGTGAAAGGGACCTTTGAGATGATCTAGGCTTGTGGTTTTCAAATTTTGCTTCTCAGAGGCCACATATCAAGCTCGGCTTTGATCTGTTTTAGAATGCAGTGTTATTTGTAAGCAGCATTTTGTCTGAAGAATGGTTCTATAGCTTATTCTTTTCTAATCCACACTATTGTTATACAGTGGCCTTTTTTGTGGCATTTTACTGAAGTCTTTAAAGACAAAAAGAGGCCCAAGTTTTCCTGACTTCTGATCCAGGAGTCTCTCCATTCCTCAGCCCTATCTCTTGACACACTGTGTCCAATGCAGTAAAGCATTGAGAATATTAAAAATTAATAATCAAGAAGGACTTTTGGAAAGAAATCTCTCTCTCTCTTTTTTTTTTTTTTTTTTGAGACAGAGTTTCACTCTTGTTGCCCAGGCTAGAGTGCAGTGGCGTGATCTCGGCTCATCGCAACCTCTGCCTCCCTGGTCCTTGTTGAAGCAGTTCTCCGCCTCAGCCTCCTGAGTAGCTGGGATTACAGGCACGCGCCACCATGCCCAGCTAATTTTTGTATTTTTAGTAGAGACGGGGTTTCACCATGTTGGCCAGGCTGGTCTCGGACTCCTGACCTCGTGATCCGCCCGCTTCAGCCTCCCAAAGTGCTGAGATTACAGGCGTGAGCCACCGCACCTGGCCCGGAAAGAAATATCTTAAGAGAGCAAATAGGTCTTGCTGATCTAAGTAAAGGCAATGTAAGTCTCAACCACAAGAAAATGAGGCATGGTAATGGGAATAAGAAAAAAAGATTCTGAGGAGGCTTGGAAATGATGGCAGCAACGAGTATTATGGAAGTTGTGTCCTATGAGAATAAACAGAAAAATACCATTTTGTTACAGGAAAGGGGTCCAGGTACAGACCCCAGGAGAGGGTCCTTGGATCTCGCTGAAGAAAGAATTCAGGGCGAGTCCACAGAGTAAATTGAAAGCAAGTTTATTAAGAAAGTAGAGGAATAAAAGAATGGCTACTCCAAAGGCAGAGGGCTGCTGGTTGCCCATTTTTACGGTTATTTCTTGATTATATGCTAAACAAGGGGTGGATTATTTATGCCTCCCCTTTTCAGACAATACAAGGTAATTTCCTGATGTAGCCATGGCATTTGTAAACCGTAATGGCACTGGTAGGAGTGTAGCAGTGAAGACGACCAGAGGTTACTCTGTGGCCATCTTGGTTTTGGTGGGTTTTAGCCAGCTTCTTTACTGTAACCAGTTTTATCAGCAAGGCCTTTTTGTTGTTGTTGAGGAGGAGTCTCCCTCTTGTTGCCCAGGCTGGAGTGCAGTGGCGCAATCTCGGCTCACTGCAACCTCTGCCTCCAGGGTTCAAGCCATTCTCCTGCCTCAGCCTCCTGACTAGCTGGGATTACAGGCACCGGCCACCAAGCCCTGTTAACTTTTTGTATTTTTAGTAGAGATGGGGTTTCATCATGTTGGTCAGGCTGGTCTCAAACTCCTGGCCTCAGGTGGTCCACCCACCTCGGCCTCCCAAAGTGCTAAGATTACAGGCGTGAGCCACCACGCCCGGCCTATCAGCAAGGTCTTTATGACCTGTATCTTGTGCTGACTAAGTCCTGTGACTTAGAATGCTTTAACCATCTGGGAACGCAGCCAATTGGTCTCAGCCTCGTTTCACTCAGCCCCTATTCAAGATGCAGTTGCTCTGGTTCAAACGCCTCTGACAATTTCATGAGGTCTTTAGGTTCATCCATTCATTCCACCATCATTTATAAACCGTCTGCTGTATGCCAGGCACTGTCGTAGGCAGAGGGACCAAAAGGTGAATAAAACAGTGTCCCTGGCCGGGCACGGTGGCTCTCACCTGTAATCCCAGCACTTTGGGAGGCTGAGGTGGGCGGATCACCTAAGCTCAGGAGTTTGAGACCAGCCTGGCCAACATGGTGAAACCCTGTCTCTACTAAAAATACCAAAAATTAGCCGGGGATCGTGGCAGGCACCTGTAATCTCAGCTACTCAGGAGGCTGAGACAGGAGAATCACTTGAATCCAGGAGGCAGAGGTTGCAGTGAGCCGAGGTCGTGCCATTACACTCTGTTGCCTAGGCAACAAGAGCGAAACTCTGTCTGAAACAAACAAACAAAAAAACAAAAAACAAAACAGTGTCCCTGAGCTCACAAATGGGTGTAGGGTTGGCCATGAGGCTGAGGGGTTGTGCAGTAAAACCAATGATAGGGATCTACAAAGAATCTTAGAGGTACTTAGAGAAGGAACAGATGTTCCTTCTCTCTCATCCAGCCATTAGTGGGGAGAGGTGGTGGTCAGGAAACACTTCCTGGAAGACAGAACACCTGAGAGAATTCAAAATGAGAGGAGATCCACGTGGGTGAGTAGCCTTGTTTTGGCCTTAGGTAGAACAGAATTTAGTTTCTACTTTCTCTGATGAGGCAGAGACGGGCAAGATGGCAAGTCTTCTTGACTGTAAGTCACAAACTGATAAACCCAAACCACATTGTCTCAGGGCAATTGCTAACTAGAATTTCTGCTTTCAATTACTAAAAATAGTTTCTTCTAATAATTTTTTCTCACAGAGATGAAAACAGCTATTCCTCAGAGTCAGAGCTGGGGAGTATCTTCCTCAGTGATCACTTAGATTTTAGCCCCTTTGGATGGCTTCTAAATAAGTGTATGCTGTGGTAGCTACACTACATATCTATGGGATGCTTGCAAGAATACAAAAATGAACTTTACTAGTTATGAGAGACTACATTGCTGAAGCCAATGGACTCTAAAGTACAGTGGTTCAAACCCAATAGAAGATTATCACACATAAAGCAGGGTGAATATTCCAAGTCAGCTGCAACGGTCTTCCGCATGGAAAATCAGGACTGCGAGCTCCTCCATCTGAGATTCAGCTTTCCTAAGGTCTTGATGTCTCTTTGGTCCAGTTAAAGGAAGTGGGGTGGGGAAGGAAGGTGTGGACACTTTCTTAAAGGGCTACGCTAGGGACTGGTACACCATATTTCTCCTTATATTTTGTTGGCAAAAATTAATCACATGGCCACAGACAGCTGCAAGAGCTGCTGGGAAAGTTAGTTCCAGGTTGCGCAACTGCTTCCAGTCATAACTCTATTTCTATGGACGAGGAAGATCTTGGTGAGCAGCTATTGTCTTACTCACAAAAGCTGAGAGAAAGAAAATGGATAAAATGGATAGCCACAGAAAATCTAAGTTAAGTCACTAATAAAAATGCCTCTCTGCTCCAGAATGTTTTATTATTATTTGCTTGGTAATATAAATACCTGACCAGAAATACCCTTCTTAAAAGCTTCAGATACAAGCCCATCCATATATGAGCAACAACCAGGTGATTATATATTGTTCATTAGTTAAAACCCTGGTTCCTTTTTTTTTAATTCCATGAATCTGATAATGAGATAGTATTCACAGCAGGAAGTCATGGGAAGCTGTCAGATTTTTCTAATCAGAGCAATTTAAAAACATAAATATTTTTCAATGCCTTTCCTACACTAAATATTTTGGGGTAATAGTTTTAAAAAACACTGTCATAAATAGATATATTTATATACATACACACACAATTAAGACCGAAATACAAGTGATGTAACTCAGTAATATTACTGATTGCTAAAGGGGTTGTTCAGGAAAAAATGTAGGTCAGAAGGCATGGTGAAAGGAAGATTAGTGCAAAGCCTGAGCTATGGGTAAAATGTTGATAGGTATAACGGATGGGGATATAGATTGGATGTTTGTCCCCCCTTCAAATCTCATGTTGAGATGTGATCCCCAATATTGGAGGTGGGGCCTGGTGGGAGGTGATCGGATCACAGGGGCGGATCCCTCATGAATGGTTTAGCACCATCCTTTTGGTGATAAGTGAGTTCTTACTCTGAGTTAATGAGATACCTGGTTGTTTAAAAAGTGTGTGGCACCATCCCCCTCAACTCTCTGTTGCTACCACTCTCACCATGTGAGACATCACTTCTCCCCTTCACCTTCCGCCATGATCAGAATCTTCCTGAGACCGTCACCAGAAGCCAAGCAGATGTTGGTGCCATGCTTGTACAGCCTGCAGAATTGTGAGCCAATTAAACCGCTTTTCTTTATTAATTATCCAGTCTCAGTATTCCTTTATGGTAACACCAGAATGGCCTAACATGAATGGGAAGTCATTACATGTATCAGAGTTTCAGAAGCAGATGAGAACAAAACATATGCAGGGCAGAGGGGAGATCATCATCATGAATGCAGAAGTTGATAACAGTGACTCATTATGATGGAGATTTTCCATGAATGAGATGAGGGTCGGAGAACAGGAGTTAACCTTCTATTCCCTAGGTGAAGATGAGGCAAAAAGTAGTATGTGTAGCTTAAAAACAGACCGATGACATTCTGTTACTGTCTTCATTGAAACATTATGAAACATCAGTTTAAATATGTTATATTTAATCATTTATTGAAAATGTTTGCTGGGCATGGTGGCTCATGCCTGTTATCCCAGCACTTTGGGAGGCCAAGGTGGGCAGATTACTTGAAGTCAGGCATTCCAGACCAGCCTGGGCAACATGGTGTAACTCTGTCTCTACTAAAATAACAAAAACTAGCCAGACAGGGTGGCACGTGCCTGTAGTCCCAGCTACTCAGGAGGCTGAGGCAGGAGAATAGCTTGAACTCGGGAGGCGGAGGTTGCAGTGAGCTAAGATCACACCACTGCACTCCAGCCTGGGCAACAGAGCGAGACTCCATAAAAAAAAAAAAAAAAAAAAAAAAAAGAAAGGAAGGAAGGAGGAAAGAAGAAAGAAAGAAAGAAATGAAAAGAAAAGAAGAAAAAAAAGTTTGACTTAAAAAAATTTTTTAGCCTGGGATAGATTTCAGGTTTGAAGCACCTGAAACAATTTTCAGATGAAAAATAAGATTCTGGCCGGGCAAGGTGGCTCACGCCTGTAATCCCAGCATTTTGGGAGACAGAGGAGGACCGATCACAAGGCCAGGAGTTCGAGACCAGTCTGACCAACATGATGAAACCCTGTCTCTACTAAAAATACAAAAATTAGTCAGGCATGGAGGCGCGCACCTATAATCCCAGCTACTTGGGAGGCTGGGGCAGGAGAATCGCTTGAACCCGGGAGGCGGAGGTTGCAGTGAGCGAAGATCATACCACTGCACTCTAGCCTGGGTGACAGGGCGAGACTCCATCTCAAAAAAAAAAAAAAAAAGAAGATTCCATTTAGTATAAGTGTGACTGATGTGATGTACTTAGTAAAAGGCCAATAAATAATTGTTATTTAATTGATAAACATTGACAAGCACCTTAAGATAGATTCATAGAATCTATGTAGTAGGCAGAATTTTAAAAGTAGCCACTAAGATTCCTATCCCCTGGCTCTTCAACCAAACACAAATCTAGGCAATGCTATGAAGCAATTTTGCAGGGATAATTACAGTCCCAAGTTAGTTGACTTTAAGATATGGAGGCAGTGAGTTATCTCTGGCTGAGAGCAAAAGATGATGTCGGAGAGATCGACAAGGCATGAGAAGAACTTATTGGGCTATTCCTGACTTTGAAGATAGAGCAGACCACATGAAAAAGAATGTGGATGGCCTTTAGAAGCAGCAAGTGGCCTCTGAGTGGCAGCCACCAAGGAAACAAAACCTCAGTTGCAAGGAACTAGATGCTACCAACAACCTGAATGGAGTTGGAAGATTCTTTCTGAAAGCTTCCACATAAGAGCCCAGTCTGGCCAACACTTTGATTTCAGCCTTGTGAGACTCTAAGCAGAGAGCCCGGTTGAGCCCCTCCAGACTTCTGACCCTCAGAACTATGAGCTAATATGTAAATGTTGCTTTGAGCTGCTAAGCATGTGGCGATTTGTTATATAGCAGTAGAAAACTAATACACATAGATATGTGAATGAGATTCAAGCAGATGGCCAGATGTGGTGGCTCACACCTGTAATCCCAGCGCTTTGGAAGGTCAAGGCAGGGGCATCACTTGAGGCCAGGAGTTCGAGACCAGCCTGGCCAACATGGTGAAACCCTGTCTCTACTAAAAATACAAAAATTAGCCAGGTGTGGTGGTGGGAGCTTGTAATCCCAGCTACTGGGGAGCCTGAGGAAAGAAAATCACTTGAACCCAAGAGGCAGAGGCTACAGTGAGCTGAGATTGCACCAGTGCACTCCAGCCTGGGCGACAGAGCAAGACTCTGTCTCAAAAAACAAACAAACAAAAAAACAAATTTAAGCACAGTGTGGTGGCTCACGCCTGTAATCCCAGCACTTTGGGAAGCTGAGGTCAGCTGATCACTTGAGACCAGCATGGGCAACATGGCGAAACTCCATTCTCTACAAAAAATACAAAAATTAGCCAGGTGTGGTGGCACATGCCTGTAATCCCAGCTGCCCAGGAGGCTGAGGCGGGAGAATCACTTGAGTCCAGGAGGTGAAGGTTACAGTGAGCCAAGATCATGCCACTGCACTCCAGCCTGGTGACAGAGCCAGACCCTGTTAAAATAAATAAATAAATATATATATATATATATATATATATATATATATAGTACAATCTCTGCTTATTTTATATATATATAATTTATATAATATAATATAATATATAATTATAATATATAACATAATATATATTATATAATATAATATATAAATATGTATATTTATATATATATAAATTATATATATATATATATATAAAAATAAGCAGAGATTGTACAATTCAAGACCCAGTTTTAATCTTCCATGAAATCCTTCCTGATCACCCCAGAGTGATCCTTTTTTCCTCTCTACTTTTACAGGACTTAGTTTTTTATCATTCTGGAATCAGATATCACAAATTACCTGGTACTTTGTGTACCTAACTTGTTTTATCCCCCCAGATGATGAGCTCCTTGATGGCAAGAATCAAGTCTTTGCAATTTCTGCTTCTAAGAGTTCGAGATTATAGGAGGAGGTGGTATGCAAGCCAGATTTTCAAGAATTTTCTATCAAAAAATACAAATGAAATGTTCTTGAGGATGAGCAAATGGCTATTGATTTCTCTCAATAAATAAGAACCTGAGACAATACTCAGTTGCTAAGATCAATGTTAAAGATCTGTGAGTGCTAGCCTGACCAGGGTACTATTGCTACATAATGGGCAAACCAGAATGACTGGTTTGACTCATAAAGGTATAATTGAGACCCTCCTCCATTTATGAGTCTGTTTTATTCTTAGTGCCAGTTATTACTCCATAACCATGCTTTCACCCTGTTCCTGTTTGCTGCTGAAGCTGTGATCCTGGCAGGGCATTAAAGCCTGGCTTGCAAATTCTAATGTTTTTTTCTTAGGTAATCATGTGAAAACAGTCCTACCAGCCTCTAGATGCAATATCATTTATTTCCAAGAAGCTCCTTAATTCACATCTTTTTGATGCACATCTATTATAAGTGGATTTCATCCATGTACTTTTATGCATAAGCCACTAATGCAAATAATTTAAATATTTTTAATGTCCACATGTTATAAACTGGTAGACTGATTCTGTAAAGGATTGGCAATGCACTCACATAGTTCTGGAAGGAGTGTGAGAGCCTTCTTGGGACAGATAATTCATTTCTTCTTCCTTCCCCCATGGGTAGCAAAGGAAAAATTATCCCTTTTGAGGAAACCTGCAGTGATAGAGCGAGTGAGGGAGTGATCAGACAATCCCTGAAACAGAATATTTTGCTTGGGATCAGTGGGTTTGTGTGTGTGTGTTTGCTTTTTGTCTTTTTTTTTTTTTTTTTTTTTTTTTTTTGATACAGGGTCTCACTCTGTCACCCAGCCTGGAGTGCAGTGGTGCAATCTCAGCTCACTGCAACCTCCAACTCCCAGGTTCAAGCGATTCTTCTGCCTCAGCCCCCCAAATAGCTGGAATTACAGGTGTGTGCCATCACACCTGGCTAATTTTTGTATTTTTAGTAGAGATGGGGTTTGGCCATGTTGGTCAGGCTGGTCTAGAGCTCCTGACCTCAGGTGATCTGCCCGCGTCGACCTCCCAAAGTGCTGGGATTACAGGTGTAAGCCACTGCACCTGGCCAGGGACCAGTGTTTAACCTGAGGTTAGAATGCCTGGCCAGGTGTGGTGGCTCACGCCTGTAATCCTAGCACTGTGGGAGGCCCAGGTGGGCAGATAACCTAAGGTCAGGAGTTTGAGACCAGCCTGGCTAACATGGTGAAACCCCGTCTCTACTAATACACAAAAATTAGCTGGGCTTGGTGGCGTGTGCCTGTAATCCCAGCTACCCAGGAGGCTGAGGCAGGAGAATCGCTAGAAACCGGGAAGTGGAGGCTGCAGTGAGCCGAGACCGGGCCACTGCACTCCAGCCTGAGCAACAGAGCGAGACTCCATCTCACAAAAAAAAAAAAAAAAAAAGCCTGATTTTAGGAAACTGTCATGGCATTCAATGGTGACTGGACCTGGTAAGTTTAGGAACAAAATCAAATGTGGTTTTCTTTTTCTTTTTTCAGTTAAAAAAAGATTTTAAGATTTGCCAGCAATATTTTTACTGGATCCTCAGCCTCAAGTACCCTACAATTGTTCTTCTACTTTTAGACTAATCTATTCACCCCTTTTCCCGTTTTGCAGTAATTCAGAAAGTATCTTAAAGTCCTACTCAGTCCCTTCCACCACTGCCATATTCAAGTACGTATTGAACAAATCCAGGATATTCTACCTCCAAAATATCTTTCTTTCTTTCTTTTTTATTATTTATTTTTTTGAGATGGAGTTTTGCTCTTGTTGCCCAGGCTGAAGTGCAATGGCACAAACTCGGCTCACCACAGCCTCCATCTCCACCTCCCGTGTTCAAGCGATTCTCCTGCCTCAGCCTCCCGAGTAGCTGGGATTGTAGGCACGCGCCGCCACCATGCCCAGCTAATTTTGTGTTTTTAGTAGAGACAGGGTTTCTCCATGTTGGTCAGGCTGGTCTTGAACTCCCCACCTCAGGTGATCCGCCCGCCTCAGCCTCCCAAACTGTTGGGATTACAAGCGTGAGCCACCGCGCCCAGCCTCTCAAAATATCTTTCAAAATCATTCTCATGTCTCCATCTTCATCCCCCTCCTTTGGTTAAGATCTCCAGTCTCCTGGCCTTTCTTCCCTGCAAACTTGAGCTGAAATGATTTTTCTAAAACATCAACCTAGTCATAACTCTCACTGTTTTGCTTAAAATCCTCCATATCATTTCCATCAGGGTATACTTTAAACTCATGAGCTAGACAGACCATGCCTTTGCCTGCTTTGCCAACTTTAACTCCTGTCTTCTCCCCCTTCTTTTGCTTCAGTATTTCTCAAAGTATAGTCTTTGGACCATCCCCAAAAGAATTGCCACTTATTAAAATTACAGATTTGGCCAGGAGCAGTGGCTCATGCCTGTACTCCCAGCACTTTGGGACGGGGAGGCCGGTGGATCTCTTGAGCTCAGGAATTCAAGACCAACCTGAGCAACATAGTGAGACCTCATCCCTACAAAAAAATTTAAAAATTACTCAGGTGGGGTGGCATGCACCTGTGGTCCTAGCTACTCAGGAGGCTGAGGCGGAAGATCACTTAAGCCCAGGAGGTCAAGACTGGAGTGAGCCGTGATTGCACCATTGCACTCCAGCCTGGGTGAGAGAGGAAGGCCCTGTCTCCAAAAACATTAAGTAAATAAATAAAATTACAGATCACTGGGCCCTGTCTGAGGCCTGTAGAATCTGAAACCATGAAGGTAGGATCCAGAAATCTTTCTGGTTAACAAGCATCACCTCTGAATTGATTCTTAGGCAACATGAAAACAGAATAGCTGCTAGTAGCTACTTCTTCAGTGCCTCACATTCTCTCTTCTTCTTGCCTTTGATGGGATTGAAAATATGCTTCCCCAAAATATGGCACCTTGACATGTAACGAAACAGCAGAAGCAAGCCATAGAAACTAGAAAGAATTCCCTCTGCCCCTTCTCGCCTGATGTGCGCCATAAAACCCAGCTGACCTTCCCTGAAAATAGGTCATAAAACCTCATTCCAGATATTCTGCGGATAGACCCTTTCCTATACCCAGAGGAGAAGACTATCCTTACTCTGGAAGACACACAGAGATGCCAAGAAGACTCTAAGCAAACAGGCCTTGCTTACCTCCCCACAGTGCATTGCCATTGGCTCATACCTTCTGTCCTCTGATCATATTTCTGCAACACTGTCCATAAAAATATAATTTTTCCTCTTTCTTTGGGTCTTCATTTCTGAAGGCTTCTGTGTCACATAAATTTAAATTAAATAAATGTGTATGCTTTTCTCTTGTTAATCTGTCTTGTTATAGGGGCCTCAGCCATGAAGTTTGTGATGGGTGAGGAAAAGCTATCACTGGTCCCCAACACCTTTCTTTGTGCTGTGTGCCCCGCACACAACACATGCTTCTTTGCCTGGCTGACTTTGGACTGCCTTTCTAGAATAGTTTAAATCCTCCCTAAGAGTCACCTCGAGAGGCTGGGCACTGTGGCTCATGCCTGTAATCCCAGCACTTTGGGAGGCTGAGGCAGGCGGATCACCTGAGGTCAGGAGTTCGAGACCAGCCTGACCAACATGGAGAAACTCCATCTCTACTAAAAATACAAAAAATTAGCCAGATGTGGTGGCGCATGCCTGTAATCCCAGCTACTCGGGAGGCTGAGGCAGGAGAATCGCTTGAACCCGGGAGGTGGAGGTTGTGGTGAGCCAAGATCGCGCCATTACACTCCAGCCTGGGCAACAAGAGCTAAACTCCATTTAAAAAAAAAAAAAAGAGTCACCTCGGGAAGCCTTCCCTGACCCTGCTAGGCTGTCTAAGGAACTAGCTTCTGCATTGCCCTTATCAATATTATCAAAAAATAACAATATTTGTTATTGTTGGTGATGATTCTTTTACCACCAGATTAGATGCTTATAAATGGGGACTGTTTCTTTCATCTCTGTCCACAGAGTTTGGCAGAGTTCTGCGGATGTTGTGGTTCCTAGTAAGTATTTGTACATTTGTGAATAAATAAATGTACAATTTTCAGATCTTAGTATCTTCAGTATCTTCACATAATTTGATACGAGGAAAAAATTAAGAGTTTCTTAAACTCAGGGAATTTTGCTTTTTTCTAGTAGACAGTCATTGATTGTAACTCATAGCATCAATAATTCCAATCACTGGTAGACAACAGTTTTGTAGATAAAAACACTTGTTTCTCTGAATTTTTCATTTTTTCCCGAGGATGCCCTGAGCTCTGATGTACTGTGCTATAGGAAAGACAGATGGATCTGGGAGTTGGACAGTCCTGGATTTCAATCTCAGCTCCGCCAAGCGCTAGCTGTGTGACTTTTAGCAAGTTTTTAAATTTCTCTGAGTCTGTTTCCTCATTGTGTGAGTCAGAGAAGCCTTTCTACACATGAACAGAAGTAATGATAGTATGCAGTCATAGAGGGAAAATGGTATGGAACAAAATACAGTGTGTAAGACAATAGCAGGTAGTGAAAAAAGATCATTCTCTTTTCTTTATAGTAAAAAAGGAACTTAAATTGTTACTGCATTTCTGTTGTTTGTTAAGTGTTTTGTTAGATGTTGGAGATGGAAGAGTAATGGATAAAAATAGAGAGATTATATACTTTCTAATTCAAGAGATAGTATTTTTGAGAGAGCTTGTAAGGTATTGAGCATTATAAACAAATTAATAAACCAATTTTATTAATTTTTATACACAAAAAAGTCTCAGCTACAAGGAGACTGCCAGTTGTCCTCTAGAATCCGTTCTCTCCTTCTTCTACAGTAGTAGAATCCTTAACTTTAAGCCAAGTACATGGCCACCTGGAATAAAAAGGTTACAGTTACATGTGACCATATGTCTTACTTTTGGCTAATGTAGTATGAATATAATGTAAGGAAATTCCAGGAAGCATCCTTAAAGAGAAGAATGCTCTTCTTCCATTTTCTTATTTATTTGTTTATTTATTTATTTGTTTGTTTGTTTGTTTATTTGAGACTGAGTCTCACTCTGTTGCCCAGGCTGAAGTGCAGTGGCTCAATCTCAGCTCGCTGCAAACTCTGCCTCCCGGTTCAAGTGATTCTCATGCCTCAGCCTCCCGAGTAGCTGGGATTACAGGCACATGCCATCACGCCCAGCTAATTTTTGTATTTTTAGTAGACGCAGGGTTTCACCATGTTGTCCAGGCTGGTCACGAACTCCTGACCTCAAGTGATCCGCCTGCCTCAGCCTCCCAAGGTGCTGGGATTACAGGCGTGAGCCACCTCTCCTGGCCCCATTTTCTTCTTTTTGCTGATAGATGGTGGACTTGATAATTGGAGTAAGAAAAGTCACTGGGGCCATAATGTAGAAGCTATGTGTTGAGGATGGAGAAGCAGCAAAACTCAAGGAGCTTGGTCCCTGATGGTCTCAAGATGCTATCATATTAGACATATATTGCCTGTGTTTATCTGAGAGACAAATAAACTTTAACTCACTGTTTGGGGGGGGCTTTCTATCACTCACAGCTGAAGTTAATCCTAATGCAAACTAATAGGTATTTACAAAACTTCAAGCTGCCTTTCCAGTCTGGTCTCGAACTCCTGGCCTCAAGCAGTCCTCCCACCTTGGCCTCCCAGAGTGTTGAGATTACAGGCATGAGCCACTGTGCCTGGTCCTTTTTTTGAGTTTTTAATGCAGAAAGGGTTATGTCATAATGGTGAGTTAAAACAATGCAGGAGACAACGTTGTGTGTGCAAAAATACATAGAAGACATATAGGAAGAAAATATACCGAAGTATTAATTTATTGGCTTAAGATAATAGAAAAATGGGTAGGTTTTTTTCCAGTTTCATATTTCTGTATTTCCCCCCAGTTTTTAATTAAAAATTATATTTTCCTTTTTTTTGAGACAGAGTCTCACTCTGTCGCCCAGGCTGGAGTGCAGTGGCGCGACCTCGGCTCACTGCAAGCTCCGCCCTCCCGGGTTCACGCCATTCTCCTGCCTCAGCCTCCCGAGTAGCTGGGACTACACGCGCCCACCACCACGCCCGGCTAATTTTTTGTATTTTTAGTAGAGACGGGGTTTCACCGTGGTCTCGATCTCCTGACCTCGTGATCTGCTCGCCTCGGCCTCCCAAAGTGCTGGGATTACAAGCGTGAGCCACCGTGCCCGGCCTATTTTCCATTTTTTTAGTGGATATACATTTCAGTTCAATTAGTAGTAGTCATTGTACACATCTCAGTGCTTTTGTTATCCTGTAGTTCTAAAAACTTGACGTCATTTCCTATATCTGGAGTTGATCACAGCAAAGTGGTTGAGAGCATGACTCTTGAGTCAGCCAGTCCTGGGTTCAGTATTGCATTCTGACTGTTTGACCTCTGGCAAGTTACTTATCTGGGCTGGTCGCGGTGGCTCACGCCTGTAATCTCAGCACTTTGGGAGGCCGAAGCGGGTGGATTGCTTGAGGCCAGGAGTTCGAGACTAGCCTGGCCAAATGGTGAAACCCCATCTCTACTAAAAATACAAAAGTTAGCCAAGTGTGATGGCGGGCCCCTGTAATACCAGCTACTCAGGAGGCTGAGGCAGGAGAATTGCTTGAACCCGGGAAGCAGAGGGTGCAGTGAGCCGAGATGGTGCAACTGCACTCCAGCCTGGGCAACAGAGTGAGACTCTGACTCAAAAAAAAAAAAAAAAAGAACTCAGGTAAGTTACTTATCTGAACCCCAGTTTCTTTATCTGTAAACTAGGCATGATAATTTTACCTATTTCATAAGATTATGGCCTGAATTAAATAAGGTAATGGGTATAAAAACTGCTTAGCACCATGTGCATAGTAAGCAGTCAATACATTCTGCATAATATAGTTATTATATCTATTTCTATGTATCAATAGAGTCTACTTACTGGCATTTTCACCAGCCACATAATGTCAGTATTTTATAGCTTGCTTAGCTCTGTCCTTACTACTAGAAATGGATGTTGTTTTCAATTTTTCATTAGTAGATGAAATAGACTTGAATTATTCAAGAGAAGAGGCTCTCCCTAGCCAGAGAGTCATGGGTGAAAGCTAAGGTGACTATCTATGATCTGCTAATAAGAAAACTATAGCATTTAAAATCAGGACTGTTTCAGAAATCCTGGAATATTATTACTGATAACAATTTAGCAAGTGGTTAAAAAACAAATGGCATGGTGTTCCAATAAATATGTATTAATTTGTTTTAAATAAAAAATTGTTTCAGTGAGAGCAAAAAAAGCCTTATTTTCAGACAAGTAAGATAATAGGCTAGAGAAGTGTGTGTGTGTGTGTGTGTGTGTGTGTGTGTGTGTGTGTGTGGTGGCATGATTATCGAGGAAGGATCTTGAGGGGTAGTCTGAAGAGTTTGAATTAGATACAAAAAGAGTTCTGGGCCAAGTGTGGTGGCTCATGCCTATAATCCCAGGATTTTGGGAGGTCAAGGCAGGAAGATTGCTTAAGGCTAGGAGTTTGAGACCAGCCTGGGCAACATAATGAGACTGAGTCTCTAACAACAATAACAGCAGAAGTGTTCTGGAATAAATATGAATTCAACTAGTAAGCTTTTCAGTTTTTTCTAGTGTTCCCCTCAGGGTGGTCAAGGGTTTATTTTTATTGGAAATTATATTGTAACAGAAGTACAAAGTAACACATGCTCAATTATAAAAGAAAAATCATAAAAGAAACATCAGGAGGGTTAAAAGTAAAACAAGGAAAGAAATCAGCATGTATTCTTTTGAAACAATAGAAAGAATTCCTATTCATTTTAAATTAAATACTAATAAAGTCTTGCTTTCCATAAAGGGATAAATAAATCTGTTACTATTTTTATTAAGAGACAATCTGGATGATTGGAGAGCTATACTTATTTAACCAGATCCTAAGATAAATTAGTAGTTGTTCACCCAGTATTTCATGTTTCCCAATACCTCCCAGCCTCCTTGTCAGTTTAGGGCCATATGACCAGTCCTTCCTGGTAGACTGTGAGCAGAAGTGATTATGTTTGGGCCACTATACTTAAGCCTGGGCAACATAGCAAGACACCATCTCTTTTTTTTAAAAAAAAAAAGGGATATGAAAGACTTTTATTCACTATGAATACTTTATCATATATATATAATGAACTTCCTCCATTTGATAGAGTACAGGGAAAATTTATTGAGAACTTAATTCAGTGCCAAGCCCTGTTAAAAATATACCATTCTAATATAGTACATTAAATTCTAAGTGAATTATATGTATTAACATTAACTCATTATAGCCTTAAAATAACCCTACAAAATGGATGCTATTATTATCCATTTTACAGATGAGGACAGTAGGCACAGATGGGTTAAAGACCTGCCCAAGAGTACACAGATGGTGAATGATGAAGCCAGAATTTGAACCCAGGCAGTCTTTCTGGAGCTGCATGTACAGCCTTTACTAATTCCAAGCAACAACGTTTTGAATCTATGAATTCTGTGGTTAGATTTTGTGGTTTGCTTTTTTCCCCATGCCTTGCATGCAGTGCTTGAGTCACGTTTCCTCTTTGATGCCTTTGAAAAGTGACTCTTTGGTTTGGAAACCAGTTAAAATTCTTGCCCTAAGAAATGGTATATTTCAAAACATGAGTAAACATAGTATGAGCTGAGGATCAGTGCTTTAATTGCAACCAATTCAATTCAACAAAGTGTTTGTTGAGTAACTACTATATGCCAAGCTCTGTATTGTGTACTGGGGATACAATAGAGACGCTATCCTTGCCTCATAGGACCAAGCCACCATTACTGAGGGGTTTATGGTATTTTCCTCAGGTGTGTTAGTGAGGAAAAAAATCAGGACCATGGTGTTTTCTATCTATACTAAGCTACTAAGGAGGAACTTAGAAATTAAAACTCAGAATTTAATAATGTTTATTTACTCGTTTAAAATGCTAATAAATCAGCCAGTTGCGGTGGCTCGTGCCTGTAGTTCCAGCACTTTTGGAGGCCGAGGCAAGTGGATCACCTGAGGTCAGGAGTTTGAGACCAGCTTGTCCAATATGGTGAAACCCCATCTCTACTAAAAATGCAAAAAGTAGCCAGTCGTGGTGGCATATGCTTATAGTCCTAGCTACTCGGGAGGCTGAGGCAGGAGAATTGCTTGAACCCGGGAGGCGGGGGTTGCAGTAAGCCAAGATTGCGCCACTGCACTCCAGCCTGGGCAATGGAGGGAGACTCTGTCTCAAAACACTAAATAAATAAAATAAAATAAAATACTAATAAACCCATTATATAAACAGGTTGACAATAATGATATGTTTGATGAAAACAATTATTTCCAAAACAAAAAAAAAATGGTGAAAAGAGTGGCATTGGTTTTCTCTTCTTTTGGCTAGTCTCCATAATATCTTACTTAATAGAAGACAGGTAGGTTGTCATACCCACTTCTGCATTCGATCTATTGCAATATGTTGTTTTAGTTGAAATATATGAAGAACATCTGGCCTCACACAGGTAGTTGGAAAAGGAGGGACATTTTAGTAGTCATTTCAGATTCCGATAAGTGTGGATATTCTTATTTGATATTACACCAAAACTTGACAAGTTGTAGTTTCCTAAAGGTTAGTAGCAATTTGAGATCTGACCTTCACATGCTGTTATATTAAAATCAACTTATCTGGCCGAGCGCAGTGGCTCATGCTTGTAATCCCAGGGCTTTGGGAGGCCAAGGAGGGTAGATCACCTGAGATCAGGAGTTTGAGGCCAGCCTGGCCAACATCATGAAACCCCATCTCCACTAAAAATACAAAAATTATCTGGGCGTGGTTGTGCATGCCTCTAGTCCTGGCTACTTGGGAGGCTGAGGCAGGAGAATCACTTGAACTCAGGAGGCAGAGGTTGCAGTCAGCCGAGATCATGCCACTGCACTACAGCCTGAGTGACAAAGTGAGACTCCATCTCAAAAAAAAAAAAAAAAAACAATTTATCTGTCATGCTTTGAATAAGTATTTCACCACTGCATGATTGTACAATATCACACATTGTTCATTCAGAAAACATTGGTCTATTGAGTTATACAGATCTTCCCAATGTTGACACATCTCACTATACAAAACCCAGAAAAATCATGTTCATTAACATCACCACCAATCTCATTGGAAAGGACTTTAAATACGGTGAAGCTGTCAAGTTCACAGTAGCAAACACAGGTTTTCGAAAATTCAGATTTTTTTACTTGAAAGCTCCAATTCGATCACTGGTAAATTTGGAAATACTGTCAATTGTTTTCCCTGAAGTGACAGGCCCACTTTGTTCATTTTTGAAAAAATATCTGCCAAATACCCAAGCATGAATAACTGTAATTCGTCCATCAGTCATTGTTTTAAATCAAAATGGTGTTCCATTAAAAAACAGTTAGTTCACCTTGCCCCTCAAACCACAGGTGCTTTTCCTCAAGATAGCTCCCTAGCTCAGTATTCAGCATGAGGACTTGATGTGTGCTTCCCATTTTGTCACACAACACATTAAAAAGACATGTACTTTAGGACCAAGGTTTAATAAAATTGAAAATTTTACTGCTTCCCCAAGTACTTTTGTTGTTGTTGTTTTTGTTGAGACAGAGCCTCGGTCTGTCACCCAGGCTAGAGTACAGTGGCGAGATCTCGGCTCATTGCAACCTCCGCCTCCCTGGTTCAAGTCATTCTCCTGCCTCAGCCTCCTGAGTAGCTGGGATTACAGGCACCCACCACCATGCACGGCTAATTTTTGTATTTTTAGTAGAGACGGGGTTTCGCCATGTTGGCCAGGCTGGTCTCAAACTCCTGACTTCAGGTGATCCACCCACGTCGGCCTCCCAAAGTGCTGGGATTACTGGCATGAGCCATCACGCTCGGCCCCCCAAGTACATTCTTAAGTGAAACTTGTATTTTAAATTTAATTCATTGTATTTATTTGCTACTAGTGCTTGGCAATAAACAATGTAATGACTGTTATTACAGTTTGGTGCAACTGCCTTCATTGGTGCTAAGGCACCAGCAGTTTTACCCACCATTGGTTTGGTACCATCAATGTTAATATCGACACAATGAAAAAGGCAAACACTGTTTTAGTATAAAGAATAGTTTTGACTTCATGGATTTCCTGAAAGTGTTTTGGTGGCCTCGAGGGGGTTGCAGACCATATTTTTAGAACTGTCATGCTAGAAAATAACTGTATTTCCTCACGAAGACTTTAATATCTGAAATAGAACACCGGGGTAGATCACTGATTACTATACATGCCCTTTTAATAAGATAAACACTATAAAATCACAGACATAAGAAAACAAAAGGATTTAGTACTCATTTAGCTTTTCTAGTGGATGTGCTTAGAAAGCAAACTTAGATTCAAAAGTTTAGAGACTTTAGGCCAGGCACGGTGTCTCACGCCTGTCATCCCGGCACTTTGGGAGGCTGAGGCAGGTGGATCACCTGAGGTCAGGAGTTCTAGACCAGCCTGGCAAACATGGCAAAACCATGTCTCTACTAAAAATACAAAAATTAGCCGGGTGTGGTGGCGGTGCCTATAATCCCAGCTACCTGGGAGCTGAGGCAGGAGAATTGTAAAAGTTTACAGACTTTAAATTTAGATTAGTTAATTCTTTTTGTTTTTAAGCATTAGAAGATCTATTAGTGAGATGGTTTTCTCTCTCTTGTTACTTGTTCTCTAAAAAATAATTATATTAATGAGAAAGGATCCAAATGGACATTTCTCCAAAGAAGACATATGAATGGCCAATAAACATATGAAAAGATGCTCAACATCACTAATCACGAGGGAAATGCAAATCAAAATCACAATGAGATACCACTTCCTACCCACTAGGATGGCTAGAAATTATGAAGTCAGACAACAATAAGTATCGGTGAGGATGTGGTGAAATTATAATCCTCATACACTGCTGGTGAGAATACTTAATTGTCCAGCTACTTTGGAAAACAATTTGGCAGTTCCGTAAACAATTAAACATAGTTACTGGCTGGTTGCAGTGGCTCACACCTGTAATCCCAGCATCTTGGGAGGTCGAGGTGGGAGGATTGCTTGAGACCAGGAGTTTGAGACCAGCCTGGCCAATATGGTAAAACCCCATCTCTGCTAAAAACACAAAAATTAGCCAGACATGATGGCACACGCTTGTAATCACAGCTACTCAGGAGGCTGAGGCAGGAGAATCACTTGAAGCTGAGGCAGAGGTTGCAGTGAGCCGAGTCATGCCACTGCATTCCAGCCTGGGCAACAGACCAAGACTCCATCTCAAAAAAAAAAAAAAATAGAGTTACCATATGATCCAGCCATTCCTTACCCAGGTACATACCCAAAAGAAAGGAAAACATATGTCCGCACAAAAACTTGTATACAAATGTTTATGGTAGCATTATTCATAATAATAAAAATGTGAAAATAACCAAAATGTTCATCAACAGACAAATGAATGAACAAAATTTGGTATATCCATTCGATGACCTATTATTTAGCCACAAAAAGGAATGAAGTACTAATATATGCTACAACATGGATGAACCTTGAAAACATTACGTTGCCTGAAAGAAGTCAGTCACAGACCACATACTAATACAGTTTGACTCATATAAAAGCCCAAAATAGGGAAATCTGTAGAGACAGAAAGTAGATTGGTGATTACTTCGGAGTAGGGTGGCGTGGGGCATGTGGGAGAATGTGCTAGCCAAAGGGATATGTGATTTCTTCTTGAGGTGATTAAAATGTTCTAAACCATCTAAAAGATGGTTGCACACATAAAAAAAAAAAACATTGCGTTGTACACTTTAAATGGGTTAATTGTATGGAATGTGACTCATATCTCAATAAAGCTGTTAAAACTAATTACAGTATAGAAAAAATTAGCGATAAGGTTTTTTTTAGAGAAACTATTTTCTTTTCTGTTTCTTTTTGAGACGGAGTCTCGCTCTGTTGCCAGGCTGGAGTGCAGTGGCGCTATCTCGGCTCACTGCAACCTCCGCCTCCCAGGTTCAAGCAATTCTTCTGCCTCAGCCTCCCAAGTAGCTGGGACTACATGCGCACGCCACCATGCCCAGCTAATTTTTGTATTTTTAGTAGAGATGGGGTTTCACCATGTTGGCCAGGCTGGTCTCAAGCTCCTGACCTCATGATCCACCCGCCTCGGCCTCCCAAAGTGCTGGGATTACAGGCGTAAGTCACCGCACCTAGCGAGAAATCATTTTATAGATGGGAAGACTGATCCCCAGAGAGATGAGGGGACTGACCCAAAGTCACAAAAACCTGGGAAAAGAACCCAGGTTTCTCTTTTTTTTTTTTTTTTTGAGACATAGTCTCACTCTGTCGCCCAAGCTGGAGTGCAGTGGTGCGATCTTGGCTCACTGCAACCACCACCTCCTGCGTTCAAGTGATTCTCCTGACTTAGCCTACTGAGTAACTGAGTAGCTGGGACTACAGGCATGTGTCACCACGTCCAGATAATTTTTGAATTTTTAGTAGAGACAAGGTTTTTCCATGTTGGCCAGGCTGGTCTTGAACTCCTGACCTCAGGTGACCCACCCACCTCGGCCTCCCAAAGTGCTGGGATTACAGGTGTGAGCCACTGTGTTCCGACGAGAACGCAGGTTTCTAATTCCTGTAGTAGAGTACATTTCCTCCCCCAGAATAGTAATACAATGCCCTTTCTTTCACTCCTGCGGTGAAAATGACAATGATCTTACCAAATGCATTCAAACTGGAGTCAGCCTAAGAGGTGAAAAGAAAGTATCTACAAGTACTCTGTCTACAATTCTGCTCTGAACAATGTCACCCTTTGTGGAAAGAAATAGGAAACTGCAGAAAAGCTGAGCAGAATAAGAGAGGAAAAATGAACATCACCTTCTCACTTTCAACACCAAACCACTTATGGGTGGTCTTATAAATGTTGTCATACCAGTGGCATAGGCTTTTGTCAACTCATCTTAAAATAGCTGTCCATAAAAATAGTAGACAAAATACAGCACAAATATTTTGGTACGTCCACTGGGCTAGTAAGTATCATACCCATTCATGTTCAAAGATATAAAGGACAGCAATAGCGCTTTTCTCACAAATGCTTGGGTTGCAATGCTAGTCAGAACTACGGTAATACCTCTGATGTATCATACTTTGAGTTTCAACTTACTTTTACACAATCACATCTGACCCTCAAAACAGCCTTGTGAAATCAATAGGGCAGGTATTATTAGCCCCATTTTGCAGATAGGAAACTATTTTTAGGAAAGTAGGACAAGGTTTATTACCATCCTCATTTTATGAATGAGGAGACTTATTTTACATGAGCAACGTGCTATAAATAGCAACAGGAGAGAGCTTAAACCTGTAGCTGGTACATGAAATTTGGGGAACTATTTAAAACTGGAAACTAAGAGAACAGAGTATGCAGCTGGGATACTCACGAAAATGACAGGTTTATTGCTGCTTTTTATTTATTGCATTCCATAAACTGCTTTTAGGCAGATCAGAACCTGCACTTCCAAGCCCTGGTATGATAGAGAATGATTGACAGGGCTCTGCCTTGCACAACTTCAGGGGACAGCATTCAGATGAAGTGATGCCATCCCCAGAGCATTTGTTACTCAAGTGGAGCCTTGACCCTAAATCAGAGATGCTATATAGATGTCTCAGACACGAATCAGGAAAATCTCTAGACCCATCACAAACTGCACCTCCTCCATGAAATTTCCGATAACTTTTCCTGTCCTAACAGAGTCCATTGTATGCATCATATATTTTGGTATTCAAGTATATTCCATTTTAACTAAAATTTATCTTTTATATTATTCCTCAATGTTTCATCTTTATTTGACTTGTAGTACAAGTTTTATCTTCTTCAAAAGATTCTAACTCTTTGAGGGCAAAAACCATGCTATTTTCCATTTCTTTATGCTTCAAACTTTCTTCTGCATAACGGTAAGTACAGTAGTCAGTAATTCAGTTGAATTCATCAATTTGCCCTCAACAATTTAGTCATTTGATATCATAAGTACAGTAAAAGAATATAAGTAAATCTAGAAATATGTCAATTATTCCATGAATAATATTTGCCTTTGAATTTACTAATTTATTTATACTTCATTTGTATAGCTTTCTCGTGTTTAGATTACTGCCTTAAATCTTTGTGCCCTTATTGGTGAACCATATGGACAAACAAATTTGAATTCTATTCACTAATGCTATTAAGTTTCAAGAGCCAACTGCTGGTAGAACAATTACCTAGTCATTCAAAGGTGTATCTGAATTGCATTTTCTAAGTAAGGAGATGTACATCGCTTATAATTCCAAATAGCTTATCTAAAAGCCATGACTTTAAGGAAAAGTCTAAATTAATTTAAAACAAATAACTCTTTTTAAAAAGTGTATCAGCGGCCAGGTGCTGTGACCACCTGAGGTCAGGAGTTTGAGACCAGCCTGACCAACATGGTGAAACCCTATCTTTATTAAATACAAAATTAGCTGGGCATGGTGGTGGGTGCCTGTAGTCTCAGCTACTCCTTGGGAGGCTGAGACAGGAGAATTGTTTGAACCCGGGAACTGGAGACTCCGTCTCATAAAACAACAACAAGAAAAATGTATCAGCTGGGCACAGTGGTTCATGCCTGTAATCCAGGCATTTTGGGAGGCCAAGGCAGGCGGTTAGCTTGAGTCCAGAGTTCAAGACCAATCTGGGCAACATGGTGAAGACCTGTCTACAAAAAATTAGCCTGGTGCCATGGCACATGCCTGTAGTGACAGCTACTCAGGAGGCTGAAGTGGGAGGATTGCTTGAGTCCAAGAGGTCAAGGCCGCAATGAGCCATGATCATGCCACTGCACTCCAGCCTGGGTGACAGAGTGAGACCCCATCTAAAAAAACAAAGAGAGGCCGGGTGCGGTGGCTCACGCCTATAATCCCAGCACTTTGGGAGGCCGAGGTGGGCAGATCACTTGAGGTCAGGAGTTCAAGACCAGCCTGGCCGAGATGGTGAAACCCCGTCTCTACTAAAAATACAACAACAAAAAAAAAATTAGCCGGGCATGGTGGTGGGTGCCTGTAATCCCAGCTACTTGGGAGGCTGAGGCAGAGAATTGCTTGAACCCAGGAGGCGGAGGTTGCAGTGAGCCAAGATCGTGCCAGTCCACTCCCGCCTGGGCAACAGAGCGAGACTCCGTCTCAAAAAAAAAAACCAAATAGAAAAACAAAACAAAAAGTGTATCAGTGAGAGGTTGACTTTAGCTGCATCTATTATAAATTTGATGTCACTGGTAATCCTAACCAAACAAGGTTTTAGTGTTTTCACATAACAAGATGTCTAGAGGCAGACAGGGTAGCCAACTTTAGGAAATAGAAAGCAGTGAACCCAGTTAAATTTGAATTTCAGATAAACAACAAATAATTTTTTAGTGTAAGTATGTTGCACATACAAGTTTAACTGGGCAACATGCATTTTATCTGGCAATCCTAGGAGCAGGCATGGCTGGTGCAGTTGTTCAAGGATGTCTGCAGACTTCTTTCATTCTATCCTACTGTCCTTTCTTTGTGATTTTACCCTCATGGTTGTAAGATGGATGCTCCACCTCCACATATCAAATTTGTGTTTTAGGTGGGATGAATGGCAAAAGAAAAATGGGAAGGACAATAGAAGTAAGCCAGGTTTTCTGACCCCAGAAAATAAAAGATTCTCTGGAGCTCTCTTTGAATCAGGAAAACAGTACCTTCTCTGGAAACTCCATGCAATAGACATCCACTTACATTTTATCTGCTGGAACTGGGTTGCATGGCCACTACTAGCTGCAAAGGCGACCAGGGAGGTAAATATTTTTAATTGGGTACTCTGCCAATCTGAACAAATTGAGTTTTCATTAGGAAGAAGGAAGAGAAGAGTAGATGAGGGTAGGCAACTTCCAATATCTACAATGAAAGATGAATGTCATTTTCAATGTCCAGTTTCTAATGTTGTGTTCTTATATTTTGTAGTTTATATACACATATATGCATTGTGAATTTTGGAAGATGAAAGACACCCCAAAGGTAGAATTTCCCATTTTTAGTCTTAACTACCTTAGGACCCTCTAACTTTCTAAGAAATTATTGCCCACAGTTTTAAGGATAGTCTTGACTCTAGAAAATTTGTGGGAGGGCTGGGCATGGTGGCTCATGCCTATAATCCCAGCACTTTGGGAGGCCGAGGCAGGTGGATGACCTGAGGTCAGGAGTTTAAGTCCAGCATGGCCAACATGGTGAAACCCCGTCTCTACTAAAAATACAAAAATTATCCTGGCGTGGCGGCACGCCTGTAATTCCAGCTACTTGGGAGGCTGAGGCAGGAGAATTGCTTGAACCCAGGAGGCGGAGGTTGCAGTGAGCTGAAATCGCGCCACTGCACTCCAGCCTGAGCAAAAGAGTGGAACTCCATCTCAAAAAAAAAAAAGGTAAAGAAAAGAAAGAAAGAAAGAAAGAAAGAAAGAAAGAAAGAAAGAAAGAAAGAAAGAAAGAAAGAAAGAAAGAAAATTAGTGGAAAAAAGATTTTGCTGGTAGGCATGACCCGAAAGTGGAAATGGGGTCTCTAGAACCATACTTCAAAGGCTATTGCTAGGAAGATGTGTCTGTTGCCTGGAAGATCCATAATAACTATGTTACTTTG